>NC_000006.12:43999393-44302424 GCF_000001405.40 Homo sapiens | reverse complement strand
GAGGCTGTCCAAGGACATAGGACGACTCATTGAAGTGAGGGCCACGCCTACCACCCCACCCTCTCCTAGCCCTATTACCTCCCCTATTCCTCCCTGGACTCCTTCAGACTCTCCCTAGCACTCCAATTGGGTTGGGCTCCAGCTGGCCCAGATATTTGTCTGCAGGGTGGGTGTCTTCCCTGGCCCTGCTGGTCCCTACCTCAGAGACTATGGCTCAGGGAAGGGCAGGGGTGATGTACTGCTTCTGGCCATAGGCTGTGGAAACTGCTGTGATGCCCCAGTGGCAGCGGCGGGAGCTGCTGGCCACAGTGAAGATGCTGCAGCGGCGTGCCAACACTGCCATCCGTAAGCTGCAAATGGGACAGGTGAGAGGAGGTTTGGCTGCACCCATGTGCCCAGAGACACTCCAGCAGATACACTGAGAAGTCTCAAGGGCTGGGGCATGGGGGTGAGTCAGAGGCTGTGCAAGGACGGGGTGGTGGCAGCTTCCTTCTCCTGCCAGCTGAGAACCATCACCCAGGCCATTCCCCCACTTCTGTCTCTTTCAAACTGTGTTTCTCCCCCAACTCCCAAGTCTGGCTCAGAACCCCCGGAAGCCTACTGACTTGATTAGTGCCATTCAGCCCTGATTGCACCTCCACTGTGGATCCCCCTTTCTCCCGCCCACTCCTGGTCCATCTGTGCTCTGACCTTCCTCCTTTCACCTTCAGCGACCTATTTGTAGGGGCCTGAAGCTATGATGAAAGGGAAGTGGTGAGGGAAGTGAGGAAGGACACATGTGGGACCCAAAAAGGAGGCCACCCTAGGCAGAGTCCCTGCCACCTCTGCCTAGAGCTAATGACTTTTGGGGTGGGTGGGGGAAGCAGGGGATTGCTCAGCTGGGGCTTAGTTCAGAAGTTGGGGCTAATTGGAAACCTGCCTCTCAGCCTGACCCCTCTGCTTGTCCTTCCTGCCCCATAGGCTGCAAAGAAAACTCAGGAGCTGCTGGAGCGGCACTCGAAGGGGCCTCTGATTGTGGACACAGTCTCTGCTGAGTCTCTCTCAGTGAGTGCTAGCCAAGCCGGGCTGCCCCAGGGTCTGGGGAGGGCAAAGTCCTGACCAGGAGACAGCTAGGGGTCTGGGAAGCGATGGGCTCACCATCTGTCTTTCGTGGTCCAGGTGCTGGTGAAGGTGGTACGGCAGCTGTGTGAGCAGGCCCCCAGCACGTCTGTGCTCCTACTCAGCCCCCAGCCCATGGGGAAGGTGCTGTGTGCCTGTCAGGTGGCCCAGGTGAGGGAAGTGGGAGAGCAGCCCACCGCCCCCATTAATACCCATCCTGGTCCAGCTCTCTGATTTTACACCTTTAATTCCTCCCAAAGGGGCCAAGGCTGGGTGGAAGTATCTATGAGGATACTCCAGGACAGGGATGGGGAATCTCCTTGTTCCTGAAAACAGCCCCTCCCCACCCCAGAAGGCACCAAGAGATTCCTTAATTCCTAACCCCTCCCAGGCCTCACATCCCTTGTAAACAAGTAGCAGATGTTCACGTTCATACACCTCCCCACACACATTTCCAGCCCAAACCTTCTCCGGCTCATCACCTGACTGCCCCACCATGTGCCCAGCTGGGAAGGGGGCACTGATGACCTTCAGCTCCACTCTTGAGGGTACCTTGAGTGGATGCTGGCAGGGAGGGCCACTCTGCATCGCTTCCTCTTCTGATTCTGTTCCTAGGGTGCCATGCCCACCTTCACAGCAGAGGCCTGGGCACTGGCAGTGTGCAGCCACATGGGGGGCAAGGCGTGGGGCTCACGAGTGGTGGCCCAAGGCACCGGAAGCACTACTGACCTGGAAGCTGCCCTCAGTATAGCCCAAACCTATGCCCTCAGCCAGCTCTGACCCAGGTCCGCCCAGGGACCCACATGGACTAAAGGCAATGCCAGGAGCCCTGAAGGAGCCAGCAGAACCTTCCCACATGCTGAAGCGAGGACTAGAGGCTGGAGGCCAAGCAGCTGAGCCAAAGAAGATCACCTGGGCCAGGGCCTACGTGACACAAGGAGACATGGGCTAGGGAAGGCAGAACTGGGCCCAAAGACACACACCCCCTTGGTGAAAGAGAAGACATGGACAATTATGGCTGTGACTGCACATTAGAAATTATTTCACTGGCCGGGTGTGGTGGTTCACACCTGTAATCCAAGCACTTTGGGAGGCCGAGGCAGGTAGATCATGAGGTCAGGAGATCAAAACCATCCTGGCTAACATGGTGAAACCCCATCTCTACTAAAAATACAAAAAATTAGCCGGGTGTGGTGGCACACGCCTGTAGTCCCAGCTACTCGGGAGGCTGAGGCAGAAGAATCGCTTGAACCTGGGAGGTGGAGGTTGCAGTGGGCCAAGATCGCACCACTGCACTCCAGCCTGGGTGACAGAGCGAGACTCTGTCTCAAATAATTATTTCACAGAGGATAGCAAGCTCCAGAAGGTTCTATTACCTTTAAAAAAGAGTAGTTTTGCCCCTCCCAGCAACCTAAGACCAGTCTGAACTCACACTGTCTGAAAGGCCACCCAGGATCCAAATCGGGCCATCTTCATTGCCATGAGTGTTCGGACAGGCTCTGCGTGCCAGGCAACAGTGGGCAGACAAAGGGCTCCCTGGCTACTGGGAAGATACAGAACCATCCTGTGAAAATCATTTCAGCACTGGAGACCTTCTTTGCTATTACTTCTTTCATTAACAATGACCTCTAATTTAAATTGGGCCCTGCTGGTTTGTTGATGAATTGAGCAACTGAGAACGTGGCGGGCACTAAACTGACAGTTCCTTCCTTCATGGAGCCTGCTTCATGTGGAGGAAACAGGAAATAAAGCAAAAGAAGAGGGTCAGGCTTGGTGGCTCATGCCTATAATCCTGGCATTTTAGGAGGCTGAGGTTGGAGAATCGCTTGAGGCCAGAAGTGCAAGACCAGCCTGCGCAAACAGCAAGACCCTGTCTACAAAAAAAAAAAAAAGTAATCTTTATGCCTCAGCCTCCCAGGTAGCTGAGACTACCCACACCTTGGTCCCAGCTACTTGGGAGGCTGAGGTGGGAAAATCACTTTGCCCAGGAATTCAAGGCCGCAGTGAGCTATGATTGCACCACTGCACTCCAGGCAACAGAGTGAGACCCTGTCTTAAAAAAAAGAAGGGAGAAAGTGTCAGATGGTGATGAGGTCTGGGGGGGAAATAGAGAATGGGGATCAGGAGTGTGGATGGTGATATTCCCTCACCAAGAGGTGACATGTGAGCAGGGAGCTGGGAGGTGAGGGTGTGACCCGTGTGGAAATCAGGGAAAAGCATTCCAGCCTGAGGGAACAGCCAATGCAGAGGCCGTGAGGTGGCCAGTGCCACTGAGCAGTGAGCTGGGATAGGGGCAGGTGAGGAGGCTGGAGAGCGGGGTCAGACAAACAATATGCTTATTAAAACAAGTTGTACAGCACCTGCCTCAAGCCTGAGCTGAAGCTGAAAATTGGCACTTCAAAGCAGGAGGAAGCAGAGATGGAGGAAAGCCCTCCTTCCCTACCAGAATGAGTCCACCTCAGACAGCCAGACTTTGGACCTCTGCCTTTGTTCCTAGATCTCTGTTGCTAGATGAAGGAAAGGGCCTCAGGGGATCCATCTTCAAATCAAGGGCTCCCTGGCTACCAAATTCTGTCTAGTAAAAATTATTCGAGCAGCGTGGGCCCGCCTGGCATCATTTTCTGCAGTTTCTCATTCTAATTAAGGCACTGATGATTTGCTGGTAAGGCACTGCTGAGGGCTTGAAGGGACCCAATCCCGGGTGCCTGGCCCCTCACTGCTTGCAAAGCAGCATCCTGGCCACTGGGGCAGTAGCCTGTTTAGCAGTGCTCACCACAGGCCCAGGTTCAAGCTCCTCCGCGAGCGCCAAGATGAGTTTTGGCACCCCTGATTTATTGATGAGTTAACAGAGCTTCGAGATGTTCATCCAGGGTAACCAACTAGTAGTCCTCGGCAGAGCTGAAGTCAAAGCTACCCTTTGAAAGCCCCGCCACCCTGGCTGCCTCTCCCTTCCTGAAGGCCAATTTCTTTTTTTTTACTAGCCGTCCCTCTGGTCTGTCCCTCTCGCCCTCCAGGAGATCTGGGGCCCCAACCACATCTTGTCGCGCCAGGGCTGGAAGAGAGTTTGGCACAGGGCATGGACTGTGTGAAGGAGCGCTGTGTTGGCCTGGAACCTTCCTGCGTCTGGTACCAGACCTTCAGCTGGGGGAAAGGTGGAAGGTGCCCTCCCTCCCGCAGGGCCTAAGGTCAACAGGAGGCCTCACGGGAGTTCCAGTGACTTCTACAGGTGCCTTGGAGAAGGTGCGTCCACCCTCCTCTTCTTCCACAGACGCTTTTCCTGGACCAGCTCCCTATCCATTGCCACACAAAAGCTACCAAGAGAGCACAAGCACTCCAGACCAGCAGCCCTGCCCGACCCCCGCCTCCCGCAGAAAGCCCACCCGTTCCTAGACACGTCCCACGGAAGCACAGGGCATAGCGCAAGGCCACAGTCCCACTACCCGCAAAGCGGCCGCTTCCACGGAACCGTCCCGAGGCCGGGCCTGGCCACCCTGCGCGCGAGTAAGCCGCGTGCCTGGCGCGCAGCGGCAGCGGCAGCGGAGGAAGCAGCGGCGCGCTCGTCCTCCCGGCCCGGCCCGCTCCTAGCAACGCGGGGCGTCCCCAACGACAAAGACCTGCGCCGGCGCGCGGGACTCTGCGTGAGGCGAGCGCCGGGGCTCCCGGAGCGGGTGAGGCGACCTCCGGGAGTGGGGACACCCAGCCCCGGTCTCCCTTATCGGGGCCCCCTCTGGCCGGCTGGGCCCGGGAGCCCCTCTAGCGTCCTCTGCCCACACCGGCCCGAAGCCCACGGGCGGCCATTGCCTGGGTTGCGTTTTCCGTGGCGGGGAAGCGCCGGTCCGTACCCACGGGAGACCCCACGCCCTCCACGCGAGGACGCCCCGCGCCTCCTCCCCACCACAGTCACTGTCTGCAAACCGTCTGGCCCGGGGCTGGGGATCCGAGTGAGGCGAGGGGAGGGACTGGGAAGAAGAGGGGGAAAGTGGGGCATCCGTAGGGCGTGGAGGAGAGCGGTCCCAAGCCCTGGGGCCCTAGGCTTCTCCGAAAGGCCGTCCGTTCCCATCACCCGAGGGCTGTAATCCCTCCCGCGGGTGCGGAAGCTTCCTCATCTCCCTACCTCCCACTGCACTGCCGGTTTCCCTGGGTTACCAAGGAGAAGCCAGCGCCTCTACACCCCAGGTAGGATGGGGGAGGGACTCCTGGCCTTTGGAGCTGAGCTTCTCTGCTGGGGTGTCTGAGCTGAAGGTAGGGAGGAGGGGTGGGAGACTCCAGAGCCGCTGGAGTCACTTTTGAGACAACAGACCTGAGTGGTCAGGAGTTGGGAGGAGGCCAGCCCAGGGGCTGTGGTAAGTGAACTGGCGGTTTCACCCAGCCCAAGTCCAAGCACACGGGCCGAGGCTCAGTTGGAGAAAGTTTTTTGCCCTTCCACAAGTGGAATTCCCAACTTGGGAGTGACTTACCCCAAAGTAAGACATGGTGGGCATGAAGGATATGGAGGTGGCTGTAGACAAAAGCCCAGAGCCCTGAGAACAGAGGAGGGCTCTCCTGAGGGGATCTGGGGTGGGAGCGGCTGAGAAGGCAGAGAAGGCAGTCAGAGCAGTGGGTGCAAAGCCAGCTCCTGGGGAAGTGTCCCGGGCACAGAGGCGCTGTCTGCCCAAAGAGGGCCGGGTGTCTCCACTTCTCCACTAAGAGGAAGGGAGGAGGGGACAGTTGAGGACCAGAACTGTGATGCACAAGAAGGTGAGAATGCAAACCTACAGCATCTTCCTCGTGTTCCCATTAGGGCAGGTGGAAGGAGCTCCTACCCAGAATGGTTAGATTTAGCTGGGGACCTGAGGAAGGATGGAGAAGACCTGAGACTTCCTGTGGAGGGAATATGCCAGGGGCAGGAGAGCACCACTCTGCAGCACTCTGTTGGGCTCCTTGCACCCTCCAAAGGATGCAGGCAGTGGTCCAGCCTTGCGGAAGTCTCCTATACCCAGCAGTGAACTGGAAGAGGGAGCCTGGACTATTTAGGTCAGCACCAAGGGTATAACCCTGGGCTCCATATTGGTGAACAAGAGAGCTCATGAGCTGGAGAAAGTGGGAGACCCACTGGAAAAGTGCTATGAATGACTGAGTTGGGAGCAATTTATAAGCAACCCCAGCATCTCATGGAAGTAAGAGCATTAGACAGACACAAACTAAAACCTCAGCTTCTCCACTTACTAGCTAGTGACATTTAGTAAGTTACTTAAGCTTTCTAAGTTTCAGTTTCCTCATTTGTGAAATGGGGACAATAGTGTTAAATAATAATCCTCAATAATTAATTTGAGATTTTAATAAAATTATGTAGTAAGGTATCTAGCATCTTCACTACAATATCTAACACACATCTTGAGTGCTGGCTCTGGGCCCAGCACTATATGAAATGTCTCACACACATTAGCTCCTTAATCTTCTGAGTAATCCTATGAAATAGATACTATTAAGTACTGTCCCCACGTTATAGATGAAGAAACTGAGGCAAGTGGGGACCTGCCCAAGGTTGCACAGATAGTGGGGGGCACCGTGGAGATTTGACTTGAGGCAGCAGCACAACTCCTGAGTACTTAGCCAGCTGCTGTCCTGCCTCCTGCTATGTACATGTTATTGAAGGCCTAGAGCTCTCAATAAATCATAGCTATATATAGCCAAGGGTATGGTTCCCAGAACACCTGTCCACCAGATTCAAGCCATCAGAAATGAGGACAACCCTGGCCAAACTGGAACATCTTGTCACTTTCTATTACCTGTGCTTGGGCATGGAAAGAGCAGTCCACACCCAATCCTTTGAGTTAATGTCCTGGTATAGACGTT
Organism: Homo sapiens; assembly: GCF_000001405.40. Lineage (NCBI taxonomy): Eukaryota > Metazoa > Chordata > Mammalia > Primates > Hominidae > Homo > Homo sapiens. The sequence goes on along the minus strand of NC_000006.12, from coordinate 44,295,491 downwards.
GTTCCCTGTGTGTGATTTCAGGACCCTGGACCCTGGTCCTGAGGATGCAGAGTAGGGGCCCAGGGGAGGAGGATTGGCCTTTCCCTGGGGACTGTGGTCCCAGGTTAGAGACACAACCATGTGAAGCCAAACAAGCTGGTGAGGCAGGCCCCAGAGAAGTGAAAGTCCACTGCACGTGTCCCCACTCTCCCACTTTCCCCCTCTGAGAGCGCAGCACATCCTTGGATGGAGACACCAGGTGGTGGCACAAGACGTACCCACTCCTGGTGGCCCTGACCTCTCTGGAATGTCAGGATTCCTGCCCTGCCCATGTTCAAGACTGGAGTCTTGAACATGCTCCTAGTCTTCAAACTCTGGCATTCTCTGACTGGCCCAACAGGTTCCCAGGGAAAGAAAGCTCCGGAGAGGAAGGTGACCCTTCAGCCACCTCCAGGACTGCCCTCTGTGGGTCCTTGGGGACTGTCCATGTGCCCGGGGCCCCCAGCTATTGGGTATCCACCCATCCCTGCAGGCTCCCAGGGAAGATAGTGCCACCTACTTGCACCCTCAGCTGCAGGCTGATGACTGCCAGGCCAGACTAAGACCAATCTGTGAAACAGGCAGAGCTCTCTCAGACTCCTGTCTTCTCCTTTACCCACTCCCCACCTCCTCTCCTTTCTGTGGTTATTCTCCTTGCCTCCTTTCTTTTTCTTTCTTTCTTTTTTTTTTTTTTTTTTTTTGAGACAGAGTTTTGCTCTCATTGCCCAGGCTGGAGTGTAGTGGCGCAATCTCAGCTCACTGCAACCTCTGCCTCCTGGGTTCAACCTTCATTTTTTTCCCCTAATTATCTTATAAACCACCTCTTTCAGCCTCTCAAGTAGCTGGGATTACAGGCATGTGCCACCATGCCTGGCTAATTTTTGTATTTTTAGTAGAGACGGGGTTTCACCATGTTGATCAGGCTGGTCTTGAACTCTTGACCTCAGGTAATCCACCCTCCTCGACCTCCCAAAGTGCTAAGACTACAGGCATGAGCCACCATATCCCGCCTCCCTTGCCCCTTTTCTAACTTTGCTTTTTGTATCTGAAACTCATTCACACTAAGGTGTGGAATACATATATCCTGATATCTTATATGTAGTCATGTGTATTATATATGTAATTTCTGCACACTTAAACTGTCAGAAACAATATATTACAACTTCTACTTTTTAAAAAGTTTGCTACATTAGGCTGGGTGCAGTGGCTCACGCCTGTAATCTCAGCGCTTTGGGAGGCCAAGGCGGGCAGATCACCTGAGGTCGAGAGTTCAAGACCAGCCTGACCAATATGGAGAAACCCCGTCTCTACTAAAAATACAAAATTAGCCAGCCGTGGTGGTGCATGCCTGTAATCCCAGCTATTCGGGAGGCTGAGACAGGAGAATCACTTGAACCCAGGATGCAGAGGTTGCGGTGAGCTGAGATTGCGCCATGGCACTCCAGCCTGGGCAACAAGAGCGAAACTCTGTCTCAAAAAAAAAAAAAGTTTGCTACATTAGTGTCAGTATACATTTTATGATTTACTATGCTTTTGTTTGACCTAAAATGATGAGATATGTTTTTAAAAAGCAGTTCAAGGTTAACATATGGATATAGGCATACAAGTATTGATATTAAATTTTGTTTCATTTAGGGGGAAAATGCATTTACCCTAACAGGGATGAAGACTGTACATTAGGGCCGTGAAATTCCCCTAGTGGAGTGCCAAAGGCCTGGGAGCGCACTTAGCCCGGGGAGGCCCTCCCCACTTCCCAAGGAGCAAGAATATGCTTTCTTCTTGCCTAGTGGAGGGCAGGAACAGTGAGGGGAGGGGGACATACTGAGTGACTGTGGAGGGGTAGTGTATTGTGGCTAGAGGTAGGAGACCTGCCCTCAGACGCTGGCCCCAGCTCTCATAGGTGTTTTAGGGCCAGTCATTTCCTGTTTCCTTGTTTCTTCATCTGTAAAATGGGGATAAGAAAGCCCATCCTAGCTCCATTATAGGGTGGTTGAAGAGTCACATGAGAAGATTTTTTTTATTTTTTAGAGACGGCATCTCACTATGTTGGCCAGGTTGGTCTTGAATTCTTAGCCTCAAGCAATCCTCCCACCTTGGCCTCCCAAAGTTCTAGGATTACAGGTGTGAGCCACCACACCCAGACTTTTTTTTTTTTTTTTTTTTTTTTGAGAGGATAGTTCTGAAAGGACCTTGAAAGGACCTTGTAACTGTTAAGTGCTGGACAGTTGTAAGGTGCTGATACTGTCCCAGCCCTGGAGAGATGGGATGTGAGACTAGAGGCTCAATGTAGTCAAGAGAGGAAGAGGCCACAGGAGTGAATCAGGTCCTGTGAGTAATAACCTGGGGGCCTTTGGCCATTCTCAGCTATCCCATTGAACTCTTTCATCTACTGATTGAGGATTTTTCCCATATTTTCACTCACCAAACTGTGAGCCTTTTGGTCAAAATGGGGCAGGACCTTTTGGTCAAAAGGAGTAGAAACCCAACTCTTAGCTTTGGCAAAGGGACTTATTAGAAGGCTGCCAAGTTAGCTCTCAGAGCTGAAGGCACTGCCAAAGAGCCAGACAGCTCTGGGAGCCTCCAGAACTAGGCATGGGGATTGAAGATACCAGGATGCTGTCTCTGTCTATCTATCGTTTCTGCTGGTCTCCCCCAGGCTTGATTCCCTCCCACCGCAAACAGACCTTGTACGTGTGGAGAGAAATGACTTCCAGCAGCAGGAGATCCAGATCCTTCAAGGACATATGTCCTTCTGTCTCCCTCCACTTGGACAAATCTCAAGAAGGACTCCGATTGGCTTATATCAGATAGCCACCCCCCAACAAGTTGCCCTGACCAATAGACACTCCTTTTGGCCAGAATCTATTATCAGAAGCCAGTGGAGCCGCCCCAAACACCAGCTACCTCGCCTAAAGCAGACCTACCACTGGGCTAGAAATTGGAGACAAAAATGAGGAGGAGACAGCCCCTACACCTCAAGAAGCTCACAGTCTAGTGTGGGTGTGGGGAACGGGTGGGCAGTCAGGTTACTGGAGTGATGCAGGTACTGGAAAGATGGGGTCTGACAACGGGAGGGGTTGTTTTGGGGTATCAGGGACAAAGAAGCACCTTGCCTTCAGAGAGGAAGTGGTGCTTGAGCTCAGACTCAGAAGACCAGTGATTGTCCCTTTCCCTGGCTGAGGTGGTGGGAAAGGCATTTCAGAGGGAACAACTTGAGCAAGGGCTGGGCAGCATGAACTGGGCTGCAATGTCCCAGATGCAAAGAGGAGCTTATTTCCAACAAGGTGTCCAGCCACGGAGGGCCTTACACACCAAGGTGAGGAGGCTGGATTTTACCCAGTGAGCAGTGGTGAGCTGCTAGAGGGCTTACATGGAGCCTGCCACAGCGGCTGTGTGAAGGCTAGATGTGAGAGAACCAGACTGGATGCCAGAGACCACATGCCTAACAGCTGAAGCTGTGATCCAGACAGACACTGGGGCCCTGAGCTAAGGCAGCAGCAGGAAAGGAGAGGCTGCCTGGGTGGGAGACAAAACTGAATCAGTAACTAGATGGTGGGGTGGGGCGGGAGGGCTGAAAGAGAGAGAGGTGACTCCCTGGTTTCTGGTGCCGGCATCTGGATGGATTGAGTTTGAGGGACCTAGGCAGCATCCCAGTGGACTTGAGTCTGGAATGCAGATGTAGGAGAGTCTGGCATTACACCACCACCCCCTAGCCTCACCATCCTGGTAACAGTACCCTCTGCTTCTCCTGGGATGTCACAGCTGGGAAACCCCACCTGGAAGAGGTGAAAGCTAGAACCCATCAGAAGGAATGAGTGGACGACCATGGCGGAATTCTGAGGGACCTTGGCACGTGAGAGATGGGCAGAGGGAGAGAAGTCTGTGGTGAAGACTTTTGGAAAAAGAATGGTCGGAAAGTAGGAGGAGAGCCAAGAGAGTGGCACGCCAAAGGGTGTCCCCCAAGGGCAGGGGTCAGAAGGCAACCTGCCAAGGGAGGAGCCATACTCCACATCCTCATAACAGTGACAGCGGGGCAGCAAGGAGTTAGTTTTGCTCGTTATCCTTTTAAATATACTTTGTTTTCTATGTTGTTAGTTTAAAAAGTAGATTTTTTTAAACACTTAGAACTAAAATCCTCCTTAGAAGAATCTTGTGTGTCTGGTAATAATTTGCCTGCCAAAATATTTTTGTGATATCCATTTTTAAAAAATCAAGAGATGATTAACTGAAAATTATCAACTCTGATCTTATGCAATTAATTTTTTCAACATTTGCCTTAAAATGACATCAGGCCTTATGGTATGGATGTTCCTATAAAGGCTGAAGGTAGTAGGGGCTCATTTTTATACCAGCCATGCACACGGCAGCCATGTGATATGGAGCGAGGCCCTGCCCCTTCCTTCTGAGAAGTTGGTTCAGGGCCCTGGAACATGCCCCGATGGGTCCTGCTGTGTCATGCCCAGAGGCAGGCTGCAGGCACAAAACAGCAGCAAGACCAATTAGGACCAGATCGTAGGAAGAACTCCAGGTCCTGAAAGTGAGGTGCTAGACGGTGGGACTAGAGTCACCTGATTGCAGAGGCATCCCACCTGGCCCCAGGTGGGGTTTCCCAGGTGTGGCTCCCCAGGAGAAGAAGGAGAAGGGACTGCCTGCCAGTATGGTGAAGCTGGATGGTGCTGTGAGGAATGACTAAAGAGTCAACTCCAGGGCAATGCACACCAGCAACCTGGGGCTCCCCCTGCCAAGCCTGGTCCTGCTCCCTGGGTGTGGCCCATGGGTGTCCAGGGACATATCTGGGACCAAGGGAAATTATAGAATGTTTTAGGCCAAAACCAAGCAGGAGTTGGGCTGGCCTGTTGCCTCTGACCTTCCTCCTTTGCCTCTGTCGTACTGTCTATGAGCCCCCAACACCACCCTGCCTCCTTGCCCTTCACATCACTCCTGGAAATAGGGAAGGGCCTCAGAAACTTTGCACTCACCCAAAGATACCATCTCAGGTCAGCACTCAAGAAGCAGGTCTCCTGGATGTGGTCTCTGCAGCCTCAGACCCCTGCCCCTCATAGTACCTTCACTCTCCACACACCCTGTATGCTTTACAATGATCAATATTAACCGACCATTATCTCAGGGGGATCTCCACTACAGCCCATGTAGGAAGATATTATTATCCAGTTTCTCAGATAAGGAAACTGAAGCTCAGATAGGTTAAGTAACTTGGCCAAGGTCACAAAGCACATAACTGACAAAGCCAGAAATGCAAAGTCAGCCGGTACCACTAAGCAGCAACCCCCTCCAGCCCTACACTCTGAGATGCCATTAGTCAAAAAGCACTATCTGGTTATTCCACAATTCTGGACACAATCTGTGTGTGAATTTGCATTTGATTTGCATAGGGGATGTCACAATACCTAGATATCTTTCCCGCACTATCTCTCTCCCTGCCACCCGCCTCTCAACCAGGCTTTTCCTCCTTGAGATGCCTGGCAGGCTGGGAAGCACCATCTGGTCCCTCCCTCTGCCAAGGACGCCTTTGCTGGTTCAGAGTGTTCCCTCCCACCGGCCACTACCCAGTGCACTGAGTCGTGAGGGTGCACATCTGATGGGAAACTGCCTGGAGGAGGAACTAGGTGCCAGCAGCCCCATTTGGGCTTTCCTCCAGCAGATCTCAGGGCAGGAGTGCAAGGGTGCAGGAATGGGCAAATGGGGGAGGGTCCCCGGACCAAGACACATCCTCTATCTTCTGTCTTCAGCCCCAGATTTAGCTGTCTTCTCGCCTCCCACGCTTGCCCACTGCTGTCTGGAATGCTGGGAGGCTGGGAGAGCTAGAGGAAGACTGGATGGGGAGATGGAAGGGAAGGGACCTGGAGTTTGAGCTCTCAGTGGGAAGGAGGAGAGAAGGGTGCTGGCACCTTGGGCAGGGCATGGGTCTTGTTCCCCTCTCCTTTCTCTCTCAACCTGCACTCTCTGAAACAGTAGCCACATTGAAACGGTAGGCTCAATGTGCCCATTGAGCCATCAAATTTTGAAGACCTCATATGAAAACATAGTATATAAAATGTCGCATTAATAATTTTATATTGATTATATGTTTAAATAACATTTTAGACATACTGGGCTAAATATAAAATTAATTTCATGGTCAGGCACAGTGGTTCACGCCTGTAATCCCAGCACTTTGGAAGGCTGAGGTGGGTGGATCACCTGAGGTCAGGAGTTCAAGACCAGCCTGGCCAACATGGTGAAACCCCGTCTCTACTAAAAATACAAAAATTAGCTGGGGGTGGTGGCAGGCGCCTGTAATCCCTGTAATCGGGAGGCTGAGACAGGAGAATCACTTGAACCCTGGAGGTGGAGGTTGCAGTGACCCAAAATCGCGCCATTGCACTCCAGCCTGGGCAACAAGAGCAAGACAAAAAAAAAAAAAAAAAAAAGCTAATTTCACCTGTTTTTCTTTTTTTTTTTTTTTTTTTTTTTTTTTTTGAGACAGAGTCTTGCTCTATCACCCAGGCTGGAGGGCAGTAGCACAGTCTTGGCTCACTGCAACCTCTGCATCCCAGGTTTAACTGATTGTCATGCCTCAGCCTTCCGAGTAGCTGGGACTACAGGTGCCTGCCACCCTGCCCAGCTAATCTGTGTATTTTTAGTAGAGACAGGATTTCACCATGTTGGCCAGGCTGGTCTCAAACTCCTGACCTCAAGGGACCCACCCACGTTGGCCTCCCAAAGTGCTGGGATTACAGGCATGAGCCACCACGCCCAGCCTTGTTTCTCTTTACTTTTTAAAATGTGGGCACTAAAGAAGTTAAAATAGCATATGTGGCTTGCATTTTGGCTTGCATTATATTTCTGTTGGCCAGAGCTGTTCTCAACCCCATCCTACGGATCAGGCAGTTGCTGTTCTATGAAATACTTAGTGCAGGGTCCTGTTATGAGCTGAATGGCTCTTTATTATATCTGTGTCTTTTGGCAATATACACCCCTCACCCTCAGAGGGCCGGTCCAATGTAGGGTTCAGAGCATGAATTTGACAGACTGAATTTAAACCCACCCGTGATACTTCTAAGCTGCATGACATTGGGCAAGTCAATTAGCCTCTCTGCTTCAGTTTCCCAGCAGAAAAATGGGAATAATACAAGCACCTATCTGAAAAAGCCTTTTCTGAAAAAGGCTTTTCTGAGGACACATGAATTAATAGGCATAAAGAACTAAAAAGATTGTCTGGCACAGAGCAATTACTGTAATTGCTGTAGAGCTATTATCTAAAATTTGGGGCTGCTCCTTGCTAGTTTCATGTGTCAGATACTATATTATGCCCTTTGGATGCATTATTTTATCCACTCCTCCAAATAATCCTACTGGAACTGCGACCTTCATTTCTCAGAGGCAACATCTGAAATTCAGAGAGGTTCAGTAACTTGCCCAAGGCCACACAGATAACTTGGATCTGCTTCACTCCAGGGACTGATCGTTAAGCACTATTCTGTACCACCTCTCTTAGTAAATGCCCACCAAGACCCACCAAAGTAACACCTCTACCCTCTTCCTTTTGCTCCAGATCCCTACCTGTTTCAAGGACCTGCCAGTCTGAGAAGCTTCTTGTCATAAGGCCATCCAGGGGCCACGCACCCCTACCTTGCCAGCCTCCAGCATGCAGGATACCGTAACGACATCAGCATTGTTGGACCCCAGCCACTCCTCAGTCTCCACCCAGGACAATTCCTCCACTGGAGGACACACTTCAAGCACAAGCCCACAGCTCTCAAAGCCTTCAATCACACCAGTCCCTGCAAAGTCCAGGAACCCACATCCCAGGGCCAATATCCGTCGGATGCGCCGGATCATTGCTGAGGATCCTGAGTGGTCACTGGCCATCGTGCCCCTCCTCACAGAGCTCTGCATTCAGCACATTATCAGGAACTTCCAGAGTGAGTCTGTCCCTGCTTTAGGTGGGCAGGAGAAGGCCAAGAGGGGGGCTAGGTGGGTGGGGACTGTCCGGAGCCAAGACTGCAGAAGCTGGGTCCTGGGGCAGCCCCTGCTCTCCCGTATGGCATCCTCATACCCACTCAACACTTCCCTTCCACCCAGGGCCAAGACAGTTTCTCCTTCTGTTCCCACTGGCAGGTCCCACCAGACTCCCACCCACACTGCACCCTCCATGCCTCTGCCCTCTCCTTGCCTTTTCTACTCTCTCCAGCAAAACCCAGCCTGAGCCATATCTACTTCCTCCTCCAGAAAGCCTTCCCAAGTGAACCGCCCTCTACTCTGATGGAGTCTTCCATGCCATGTAAGGGCTCTTGGTTTGTTCCATATTTTGTGCTCTGTAATATTGATCCTTTCCAAAGATGGACTGCCAGCCTCTCCTACCAGATGGGGCGCTGTCTGAGGACAGGGCCATTATTTCATCTACAGCAACTATCATCACCCAGTCTCACTCATTTTACTTGTTTATTGTCAGCCTCCCCTCACTGGAATGTAAACTCCAAAAGGGAGAGCCCTGTTTGCTTACTCTTCTATCTCCAGCACGTGGGACATAGTAGTCTCTCATAGTGCTACCTCCAGTGTCTGGCACATAGTAGGTGCTCAAAAAATTTCTTGTTTTGAAATGGATGAATCAAATAAGATTGGAAGCCTCTGACCTCAGGGATTGTATCCCCCATCAGACCAGGTGATAATTGAGAGTTGGACCTGAGAGTCTTCCTCAGTCTGGGAACTCCCTGAGAACAGATGCTGAGATGTCCACCTTCAGGCAGGGAACATCCCAAAGCTAAAGGCTGTGTCCCACCCTCTGCTTGAGCCCCCCTGAGAGCAGAGGCTGTCTATCCCCTAAGCAGGGAAGGGTCTCTCCTTTGCCTGGTGCTCCCAGGCAGGCCCAGCCTGAGGCATCATGTTGAGGTGTCCCCCAACACTGTGACCCCCTGCGCTCCTTCCTCTGTTCCCAAAGAAAACCCTATCCTGAAGCAGATGCTCCCGGAACACCAGCAGAAGGTCCTGAACCACCTGTCCCCTGACCTACCACTGGCTGTGACCGCCAACCTGATAGACAGTGAGAACTACTGGCTCCGCTGCTGCATGCATCGCTGGCCCGTGTGCCACGTGGCCCACCATGGCGGCAGCTGGAAACGCATGTTCTTCGAGCGGCACCTGGAGAACCTGCTAAAGCACTTTATCCCAGGCACCACAGACCCTGCGGTGATCCTCGACCTGCTGCCGCTCTGCCGGAATTACGTGCGCAGGGTCCACGTCGATCAGTTCCTTCCGCCGGTGCAGCTCCCGGCCCAGCTCCGGCCGGGCGACCAGTCCGACTCAGGCAGCGAGGGAGAGATGGAGGAGCCCACCGTTGACCACTACCAACTGGGCGATCTGGTAGCTGGCCTGAGCCACCTGGAGGAGCTGGACCTGGTGTACGATGTCAAGGACTGCGGCATGAATTTCGAGTGGAATCTCTTCCTCTTCACCTACCGTGACTGCCTCTCCTTGGCAGCCGCCATCAAGGCATGCCACACCCTCAAGGTACTGTCTGCTCCCAGCCTTCCCCCCACCCCTTCTCAGCATCTCTCAGATTCCCTCTCCCCTCCTCTTCCTCCTCTATTATTGCCTTCTTCCTATTTCCTTCTCTTTCATTGGCCAAGTGTTTTTTAATGCACCCTGCACCAAGATACACGGTTCTGGGGGTGTAGAGATGAACAAGGCGCTGCTCTCCCAGTTCACCAGTTGGTTTCATTGAACAAACAGCTGCGCTCCAGGCCCTGTCCTAGGTGCTGAAGATTCAAGGATGAGCAAGATTATCATTTGTGCCCTCTGTAGCTAACAGTCTGATGGGATAAAGGCACTAATCAGCAATCATATAAACATAAAATTGATACTAGAATAGGGTTGCCAGATGTAGCAAATAGAAATACAGGACATCCAGTTAAATGTGAATTTCAGGTCCAGGCACGCTTGTAGTCTTCCAGAGACTGAGGAGGCTGAGGTAGGAGAATCCCTTGAGCCTCGGAGTTCAAGCCTGCAGTGAGCTGCAATCACACCACTGCACTCCAGCCTGGGTTACAAAATGAGACCCTGTCTCCAAAAATTTTGAATTTCAGATAAACAGCAAAGAATTTTTATAAGTATGTCCCGAATATTCCATGGGGCGTTCTTATTTATCTGAAATTTATTTTTAACTGGGCATCCTGTACTTTTTTCTGGTACCCCTGAATTGGGATGAATGCTATAAAGAAGAGATACTCTTATGAGAGATTGTAAAGGAGCATTTGACCTTGCAAGGGAAGGCTTCCCTGAACAAATGTCACTTACATAGAGATTAGAAGGAGGAGGACGAGTTACAGTCTCAGAGGGAGGAGCGTTCCAGACAGAGGGAGCAGTGCATACAGGCTCTATGGGCAGAGTGAACATGGCCAGCTCAAAGAGAAAGAGAAGACTGTGTGGCTGGCGCAGAGTGTGAGGTGGTCAGCCTTGCTGGGTGAAGGAGGCTTTGTCCAGGAGGCTATCTTTATCCTTAGGAGCTCTGGGACACCATCCAAGGGTTTTAGGCAAAAAAGTAGGTACCATTACTGGATTTCACATGTGAAAATGTCACTCCGTCTGTGAGGGAGGATGGCCTGGGCAGGGCAGCAGTGGACATGCAGATTACCTAGGAGATCACTGCCAAATCCAGGTGAGGGTGAGGGTCATTTCAGCGAGGGTAGTGTCTGTGGAGACTCAAAGGAGTGGAGAGAGTCAACACATATTTAGGCAGACATGTGTCTGGCATGCACCTGGCCACACTGGCACAGGGAGGATCTGAAGGAGAAGGAAGGAGAAGGAGGTGAGGTGCAAGACCTCTGGCTTGTGAGGCTGGATGGCTGGAGGGACCATGTGCAGAGACAGGGAATGTGGGAAGAGGATCAGTTTTGAGGGGGAAGAGTGTAAGTTTCAGTTTGAGGCATCTCAAAGAAGGGGTCATTTCGTTAGTTGGGTAGAGGGTCCGAAGCTCAGATGAGAGGTCTGAATTGAATGTGGGAATGTGTGCCATCTTCATGAAGGTGGCAGTTGCAGCCCTGGGTTTGGATGGAGTCTCACAGGGGAGAGCCAAAAGCAAGACAACAAGAGGCCTGGCATGTGGTCTCAGTGGAAGAAGAAGAGCTTGCCAGGAAGCCAGAGGGAGGAGGAAATGGGGAAACATGGCATTGTGTCACAGAGCAAGGGAGGGGTATGTTTCAAGTAGAGGGAGTGAGCAACGGGGTGGAATAGAGCTGAGGACTGGATTTAGTGAACATGGAGGTCACTGAGGGGGAGCTATTTCAGTGGAGTGGCAGGAGCAGAGGCCAGATAGCAGTGGTTTCTGGGGAGAGTGGGAAGTGAGGAATGGGTGGCTGTGATCAGCTTTTTCAAGAACTTGGCTGCGAAGGGGAAAAGGTACAGCCATAACCGATGAGAGCTTTGGGTTCCTTCAGAATAACTCACATATGTTTAAAACCAGTGTAAGGCTCCATCCAGTTGCAAGAAAGGGGATGAATGTAGAAGAGAGGCACGGGTTCATAGACCAATAAGTCAGTGCTTGGTATCAGGAAAATGACAGGTTCCCATTCAATGACTGAGAAGGCAAGAGGAGAGTTCACCTGCTGAAAGAGGGGGCTCAGCAAGGAGGCCCCTGAATTCTGAGGAGGCTGCAAAAAGCTGAAATAGTTGTTGTAGATTATAAGAGGGTATTTTGGCCAGAGAAATATAGTTAGATTGGCATGCAGCGTTACAAGCCTATTGGTGTTTCCGGTGATAGCAACCAGTCCCATCAGCTGATGTTTTCTATTTTGTCAGTTGCTTGCGCACAGGCATGCAGAAAATAGAGAGTGGGGCTGATCCAGGGTTAGGGCTTTGCCAGAGAGACGCAATGAAAAGAGAAGAGACACAAAGGACTCAGCTGGGTAAGAGGGGTATAAAAAGGAGTGAACCGAAGGGTAGAGAGAGAGAGGCCAGACACTCAGAGGTCTCAAGGGAGAGAGAGGAGTGGGACAAGCCAGCGGGAAGGTGAGGGGGAGAGGTTCCCATGGACAATATTCATACTGCCAGCCCCATCCCCTTTCCTTCATTCCTTTATCTCATCCTTTTCCTGCTTCTCCACCTCCCCACTGTCTCCCTGGTTCTTGCCCTGGCAACCTCCTTCAAAGAGGTCCTCTCCTTGCCCTGGTGGATCTTGGCTGGGAGAGGAGGATGCAGTGAGGGGCTGAGGCCTCAGGCAGGCTTGGATTCCAAACCTGTCTCAACTGCTTCAATCACTGCATTACTCTGGGGAAATAATGTAAGCCTCCATTTTCTGTCTGTAAAATGGAGAGAACTTTCTCTTCTTCATCGAGATGCTGAAGGTTAGAGATAATGGTTGTGAAAGACCCAAGCGGCCGGGCGCGGTGGCTCACGCCTGTATTCCCAGCACTTTGGGAGGCTGAGGCGGGTGGATCACGAGGTCAGGAGATCAAGACCATCCTGGCTAACACGGTAAAACCCTGTCTCTACTAAAAATACAAAAAATTAGCAGGGCGTGGTGGCGGGCACTTGTAGTCTCAGCTACTCAGGAGGCTGAGGCAGGAGAATGGTGTGAATCCGGAAGGTGGACCTTGCAGTGAGCCAAGATCACGCCACTGCACTCCAGCCTGGGTGACAGAGCGAGACTCCGTCTCAAAAAAAAAAAAAAAAAAAAAGATAAAAAAGGAAGACCCAAGCAGCATACCCAGCATGTAGTAATTGCTCAATAAACAGTGATCTTTCCTCCCTGCTACCTGCCACCAATTCTACACTACTCTGCCATGCTGGTAGGCCTGGCCCCCTCCAAGACCCAGCCAGGTGGCCAACACTAGGTGAGCCAAGTTTGCCAAAGATCTAGGTGGGCAGGCTGATTATCCCTGGCTGGCAGTTGCTGTAGACCCTCTGCCTGCCCACAGATCTTCAAGCTGACCCGAAGCAAGGTGGATGATGACAAGGCACGCATCATAATTCGAAGCCTTCTGGACCACCCAGTCCTCGAGGAGCTGGACTTGTCACAAAACCTCATTGGAGACCGTGGTGCACGAGGTGCTGCCAAGCTGCTGAGCCACAGCCGCCTGCGTGTGCTCAACCTGGCTAACAACCAGGTGCGTGCACCCGGTGCCCAGTCCCTGGCTCACGCTCTGGCACACAACACCAACCTCATTTCCCTCAACCTACGTCTCAACTGCATCGAGGATGAGGGTGGCCAGGCTCTTGCCCATGCCTTGCAGACCAACAAGTGCCTCACCACGCTGCACCTCGGTGGCAATGAGCTGTCTGAGCCCACCGCCACACTCCTGTCACAGGTGCTCGCCATCAACACCACACTCACCAGCATCAACCTGTCCTGCAACCACATCGGGCTGGTGAGCCACCTATTCTGGGCTTGTGAGGGTGGGTGTGGAATCCAACTGCCAGGGGTACTTGTGGGATAATTGTGAAGATCACAGAGTTTACATACTACATACTGCATCAAGTATGCACACATACTGTGTATCCCAATGATTATTTTTCCTTTAATCCTTACAGTTACCTAAGTAACTGTATATTAACCCTAAGCATATTTAACCCTAAATATATTTAAGTATATAACTAAGTATATTTAACCCTACTTTCTAGATGGAAAACTAAGTTTCAGAGAGGATAGTGAGTTGCCCAAGGGCATCAAGTCAGTAGCAAGTGGCAAGGCTACGATTCAAACCCAAGATTGATTGAAAGCCTGAGTCCTTTCTAATAGACTGTGTCTCTAAAACTTTCTTAACCAAGTCTGAGAGTAAGAAATGCAATTTACGACCAGGCACAGTGGCTCACGCCTGTAATCCCAGCACTTTGGGAGGCTGAGGTGGGTAGATCACCTGAGGCCAGGAGTTCGAGACCAGTCTGGCCAACATGGTGAAACCCCATATCTACTAAAAATACAAAAATCAGCCCAATGTGGTGGCATGCACCTGTAACCCCAGCTACTTGGGAGCCTGAGGCAGGAGAATTGCTTGAACCCAGGAGGCGGAGATTGCAGTGAGCTGAGATCGTGCCCCTGCACTCCAGCCTGGGTGACAGTGCGAGACTCCGTCTCAAAAAAAAAATGCAATTTACATGAACACTGACATAAACATAATATTGAAATTTATGACGTGATATATGCTGATATTTTCCTTTACATTCCATTCTATTGTATTTTTTAAAATGCTTCTGTGACCCATTAAATTGACTTTGCAACACACTACTGGGTCACAACCACAGAATGGTAGCATTCTGCCTCCCAACGTGAAATTCTTTCACATTGGGGCTAGCCCACCCAGCCCAGCAGGGGTTGGAGCTGTGATGACCATTGAGCAGGGCCCTCCATTAGGTCACTGAACCCTCTACTAAACCTCCCCATGAGAACAGCCTTGCTCACCTACACAGGCACATACACGCACACACACGTGCATGCGCGCACACACACACACACACAGTTTCTAGAGGGGGTGCTGTTGACTGCAAGTAATAAAAAGCTTAATCAGAAATGGCTTAAGCAGGAGGAATATTCAGTGTCTCCCACAACCAGAATTAGAGGGTTGTAGGGTCGGTAAACCCCTGGGTTCAGTGCTACCCTCTGCTCTGCCCACCCCAGTCTCATGGCCAATGCCTCGCTAGTGCTTCTGTCAGTCCCAAGATGGCTGCCACAGTTCTGACATCTCATACAGGGACATGCCCAGAGGCAGAAACCGGGAGAACACCTGCTCCCTTTTCTTCTCTTTTTGGAATGAGGAGAAGCTTCCCAGAAGCCACCCTCTCTCAGCTTCCCCCTCACATCTCATTAGATTTGTCCCACATGCCCATGGCTGAACCAAAGGAATGGAATTATCTTCATTGCCAGAGATTCATGTTTTTCAAACTAGTAGGGTTGAGATGTCAATTTAGTGGGTATTGGCTACCATTTTTCAAATGGAAAAGAACAGAATATGTCATCATGCGTCACAAATAGGTTAAGTATTGTTTTGTGAAACTTTTGTTTTAGTCACATCTACCTGAAAATGTGTAGTATGTGTGTCAGATCCTGGGTAGTGATGTAAATGACCCCTTCCTTTGCACCCTTCTCCCAGGACGGTGGGAAGCAGCTCCTGGAAGGCATGTCAGACAACAAGACCCTCCTGGAATTTGACTTGCGCCTGTCAGATGTGGCCCAGGAAAGCGAGTACCTCATTGGCCAGGCCCTCTACGCAAACCGAGAAGCAGCCCGCCAGCGGGCCCTGAATCCCAGCCACTTCATGTCAACCATAACTGCCAATGGCCCTGAGAACTCTGTGGGATAAAATGACCTGACTTGGATCATGGCCCCAGCCCCATCCCTCATTTCATACCCCTGCCATGCCTGCTGCAGAGTATCACACTGGTTCAGAGGGAGCGGGGAGGGGGACTGTGAATAACCTTGGAGTGATCAAGGGTTGTATGGATGGAGACATGAGGCAGGGAAGGGAGCCTGGCATGGGGGAAGAAAGGGTATGCAGTAGGGACCCAGCCTTTGTGCCCAGGGAAAGGATATTACTGGACACCCACAAATGACCAACTTCTTTCAGGAACAGGGAAGTCAGAGAGGTGTCTGAGGGACTGTGCCTGCCAGATTCTCCCGTTGGGGCTGCCTGCCTCCCTGACTCCCCACCATTTTCTTCTCTACCAAACAGATCCTTGATCTTCAAACACACACACACACACACACACACACACACACACACACACACACACACCCTCTGGCTACAGCAGGGCTATGCCTGGCTCTCTCTGCCACCCTCATCCCTGTAGATGCATTTCCCTGTTGCTTGACTCTGCTTTAAGTGATCCAGTTCTACAGGCCACGCCATCCCCTAGTTCCCCAACTCCCAACCTGGGAAGGGGACAATGAGCTGACACCAGGGGCTCAGACCCAGTGGACTCCTCTGGGGAGGCAACTGTAGATGACAACTTCCAGGGAAGGATGACACAATCCCTGCCACCCACCCCAGAGAGCTTCCCTGGGAGGGAGGGAAAGAAGTGCCACACTGGGACAGGAAGTCAGTGAGTCATCCACGACTTTATTATCCACCAGTTTGATTTGTACAATCTTTGCGCTTAAATCCACGACAAAAAGGCCACAGTGTGATGCACCCAATTGACAGAGACCTGTCTTCTCCCCAGCCAGGCCCAGCCCACCCCACAAGCCCTTGTCCCCAGGACACATGGAGCCTTCCAGGTGCCCTACATGAGTCCCCCATCACTCTGTAGCTGTCCACCCTGGGGCCACACCTACAGGAATCACATCAGCCCCCAGGGCCACAAGAGACCTAGCTGACTGATTCAGGCTGAGCGCCATTGCCCATCCTCCTTGGGCTGATTCATTGGCCCAGAGCCTCCAGAACTGTGTCCCCAAAGGGCAGGTCATGGGCTACAACCCCAGTCCAGGAGTGCCTGCTCTCCAGGGACTCCTTCCGCTAAGCAGGCGCTGAGCAGAGCACCAAAGGGGGCTTGGGAGTGACTGCATGTGTGTGCCTGTCTAGGCAACCTAGAGTCTGTCTGTGCCTGACACCCTCTGACAGTTCCGGAGTGCAAACGTGTAGGTGTGAGGGTGTGTGTGTGTGTGTGTGTGTGTATAGCCACAGCTGCTAGCAGAAGTTCTAATTAGAGAAACAAGAACATTCAGTGTAAAGTTTAATTTTAGAGATTAATTAATTTTCTGGTTTTCATTTTCCCTGGCAATCAGTAAAGCTACCAAGAAAATAGACCAAAGAATTGGTTTCTCTCTAAGTCTGTGCATGTGTGGGAGATGAGGCTGTCTGAGACGACCTAGGCAGAAATGGTCAATACAGGCAAAAATAATAATAGAGGTCCCCCTTCCCCTCTTGTGAGACCAGGCTCTGTCTCAGGAACAGGCCTGAGGGAGGAGGAGCCACGTTCCTCCTTCCTTGGAGCCCTGAGGTGGCCAGGCTGTCCCCACACAAAGCATGACATCCAGGTGCCAGCTGGCTAAGAAATGGAGCCTGAGGCTGCAGCTCACCACCTGTACCTCACAGATGTCCATTCAGAGGAAAGAAGGGTGCTCCAAACGCCAGGCCCCCAAGGAGCACAGACTCAGGGTCCAGGCAGGTTCAGTGCTAGTAGGCAGGTGGGCACTGCTGTCCAGGAAAACCTGGTGGGCAGCTGTTTCCCCTGCCCAAGCCTCCCTCTCTCTAGCCTCTTCTCCCTCCTCACTCAGCCATCTCTACCTGAAAGTAAAGCTAAACCCTTTAGAAGCCATGGGCCATGGTATCCCCACAATTTGGGCCCCTCGCACTCCCCGCTAGGAAGAAGGGAAGGGGAGCCAGAGGCGATGTTGCATAGGTGGAGGCCACACAGTTGGTGGTGCAGGCCTGGCTGGGCTGAAGGAAGATGAGAGGGGCTGAAGGAGGGTAAGGAGGAGTTCTGATGGCTCAGGCGAAGTAAGAAGCATCAGGGGTGAGAGATGTGGGTGGCCCAAGGGTTATCCTCTCTAGCCTGAAATGTGAGCTCAATCCCTGGGTGCTAAATCTGCTGGGGAGACTTTAGCCAGGGGAGTTGGCAGGGCAGGAGGGCTGTTCACAGACATGCACACTGAAGCACATCAGGGTGGAGGTGGTGGGGGGAGCACACGGAGAGAAGGCGGTGTCAGAGCTTTAGGGGAACAGGACGTGGGGCCAGCGCCCTGGGGTGGTGGCAGGATGCCCCTTTGAAGACCCTGCGACACACAGCAGGGCTTCAGCTCATAGGATAGGGAAGGATGGAAGGGTTGGGCAAGATTTAGAGAATGCTTGCCTCTGACCCTGCCATTGGAATTATTTCTCCAGTTGGGGCTTGTGACAACGTCCTCAGTCCCCCAGAGATGTGTTTGAGCGACAAGCACACTCCACTCCTCCGCACAGGTTTAGGGAGGCAAAGGCCGCCCCCACAGACACCCCACCTCTGGAGGTCCTTTTCCTCTACCCTCCACTGCCCTCTCCTCTCTTACTCCCACCTGCTTCCAGAGGTCCCCGTTGCCACCCAGGTCTATGTCATGCTCTCTCCCCTTAGTCACTCGTGCTGGCCAGCTTTAACGAGTGCTGCCCGGGTGGCATCTCACTCTCTAAAAGGGGTATACACTCAGAACCCAGGTGAGGAGGCCCCTGTTGGGAGGCTGAGGAGTTTAGAGAGAGGACTGAGGTACACAGTCCTCCACATTTCACTCCCCTCCCCACTGCACCCTGGCAACAGCTCTGCAGGACTGGGGAGCGGAAGGTGAGTGATGTCTGTGCAGTGAGCACAGTCCCTCTGGACCTGGAGTGGGGGCCCAGTTAGATAAACAACAGTGGAGGGAGCGGCAGAAAGGAAACCCCAATCTTGGGGTCAGCGCCAAGAAGAGGGCAGCAACATTTCCACGGTGTTGGATGGAGGCCTAGGGCTGACACCTGGCCCCAGCCTCAGACCTGCTGAATGCATTAGCTAGTTGGAATCCAGCCTGCTGGTCACCAAACCATTGCCCCCTCCATAGAGAGAGGCCCCAGGGGAGTGAGGCCACGAAGGAAGGAAAGCCCCAAGTTCCCTTCTCCACAGCCTCTAAATCTCCCATCCGCATGCCAGGGCCTCTCCCTTCAGACAAGGCCCAACGCGGGGCCCACGGCACGGTTGTCATCTAACAGAAGATCTGTTGAAGGGCTGGACAGGAGGGAGGTGTCCCTTTAGGAACTCAGGGTTGGGGCTGGAAGAATGACTCTGCCAGGGGGATCTCGGGGAGCAGCCGACCCCCTCCCACCCATCGGTCTCTTTATGTACAGGGACAGCGGGGGTCTCGGCCCCATCCGGGCCTGTCTTGCGGCCCTCACCTCCCTTTCCCTGCCCCCCGCGCGGCCTCAGTCACCGTGGTGACTCGCCCTGCGTCGCAGAGGGAGCACAGTCCGGCGAGGGGCAGGCGGGAGGACGGCGCGGGCCACTCCGGGGCCGGAGGTCACAGTGAGGTCTCTACGCAGGAGCCGTGGCGGTGCAGCGGCCGGTGGCTGTGGCCCAGACACCCCTCCTGCCGGTGGACGATGAGGACCGGAAAGTAGAGGGCGTCGTGGTAGGGCGGCGGCGGCCCGGCCTCCTCCTCGTCGTCGTCCTCGTCGTCCCCCATGCTGGCCTGGCTGGACAGCCGCGTCTGCTCCGTGGGGCAGCTGGCCTCGTTGACGCTCCCGCTGCGGCTGCGCCACAGGCAGCTGCGCCGGGAGCCGTAGAGACGGCCCAGCGAGAAGCGGCTGCCCCCGCAGCCCGCGCCCCCACCGGGCCCCGGGCCGGCCCGCGGGCTGGCGCAGATGCTTAGGGCGCTGCGCGAGAAGATAGACGAGCTGCTGACGGCGCGCTGGCAGTGCTCGCAGCTGCGCCGGTAGGGAGCCACGCCCGCCGCGCCCGGGCCGCCTACCCCACCGTAGCGGCACGAGGGCGCGTAGCCGCCGCCTGCCCCGCCGCAGCGCGTCCCGAGCCCCGCCAGGTCCATGAGCACCGCCTCAGAGTAGCTGGGCACCAGCTGCTGGTTGGAGCGGATGTGCCACTCGAGCTCCGTGCTGTCTACTGTGTTGACCCGCGGCAGGCGGTGGGTGAGCGGGGGCAGCAGCTCATCGCTGGGGCTGAGGCCACCGCCTGCGCTGCTGGCCGAGCCCGGGCCCTCCAGGCCAAATAGCTTCTCCACGTGGTAGTGCGCGTAGGCCGTGCGGTACTCGGCCAGCACTCGCAGCGGCCACGACAGCGTGAGCAGCGCCGCGGCCCAGAAGGCCGACGAGCAGGCGTACCAGGGCGGCCGGGCCGGGTCCGGGAAGGCCACCATGAACTCACGGAAGTCCACGTTCTTGAGGTGCATGCCCTCGCGTGCCTCCATGTAGTCGTCTAGGCCCTCGTTCTCTGCGAAGAAGCGCGCGCGCTGGCACAGGTACGCGTTCTCGGCCTCCACGCTGGCGAAACTGAAGCACTTGGTGAAGCGCAGCCGCGTGGCCGGCGCGCCCTCCAGCCCCACCAGCGTCTTGGACACGTCGCGAACGCCGCAGCGCGCGTAGTCGAACTCAGCCTCCGCCACGTGCGTGTTGACGCGTTCGTGGTAGACCTGCGGCGCGGGGGGCAGGCGGCGGGGTCGCGGGGAGCCCGTCATTGGTGCCCGCTTCTGCCCACTCACCCTTTCCCGCCCCATCTGTGCTCTGGTTGCCTGGTCGGACCCTAAGTCTGTCTTGGTTTAGGTGCCGGCTGGAGCTGGTTAGGATCTTTCCGTCTGACTTACAGGGCAACTGACGCCCTCTGTGTAATCAGACGTGATGACCGGACTAGAACCAGCCCTACCTGTGCGCATTTAAATTTTTTTTCTTTTTCTTTTTCTTTTTTTTTTTTTTTTTTTGAGATGGAGTCTGGCTCTGTCGCCCAGGCTGGAGTGCAGTGGCGCCATCTCGGCTCACTGCAAGCTCCGCCTCCCGGGTTCATGCCATGCTCCCGCCTCAGCCTCCCGAGTAGCTGGGACTACAGGCGCCCACTACCACGCCAGGCTAATTTTTTGTGTTTTTAGTAGAGACGGGGTTTCACTATGTTGGCCAGAATGGTCTCGATCTCTTGACCTCGTGATCCACCCGCCTCGGCCTCCCAAAGTGCTGGGACTACAGGCATGAGCCACCGCCCCCGGCCGCGCATTTAAATTTTAACTAAGCCCTGCTTCCTCTAGGGGTCAGGCCCTGGCCATGAACTGCCCCTCTGGCCTGCCTGATCCATTTGCCACTGCCTCTGTTTTCCAAAGTGCCCCCACATCACCACAAACAGCCTCCTCTTCTTCTTTCTTCCCTTTTACAATTGTGTTTCCCAATGGGTTCCCCAGAAGCACTCCCTAAAGAACCCCTCTATCTCTAGTCTGCCTGTTCACGCTGTAGCTATCATCAGCCTCCTTCCTGCTTCTCACCCGCCCCAGGCTTCTGTCTATTGATCCTTATACTGAGACAGATGGCCTGCATCTGGGAACGTCTCCTCCAGGACCCCAATATGTCTCATCCTGGCGAGTCCACAAAGTGCTGATTGACCTGCCCACCCTCAGTGAGACTTCCTACGCCCACCTCCTCTTAGACCCTTGAACTTGACATCCAGGAAGCTGGGATTGAGCCTAGCACTACCACTTAAGAGCAGCAGACTTTGGACAAGTCACTGAGTTTAGGTGTCCATACCTGTGAAAGAACTCAGTAGCAGTCACCTCACTGAACAGGTAAGAGCATGCTATGATACTGGGCATGTGAAGCCATCTCCAGCCATTAAGCACTATTTTTATTTTTATTTTTTTTTTTGAGATGGGGTCTTGCACTGTGGCAATCACAGCTCACTACAGCCTCAACTGCCCAGGCTCAAGCGATTCTCCCACCTCAGTTTCCTGAGTAGCCGGGACTACAGGTGCATACCACCACACCAGCTACTTCTTTTTATTATTTATAGAGATGGGGTCTTACTATGTTGCTGCCGGGTGGGCTGGTCTCAAACTCCTGGCTCAAGAGATCCTTCTGCCTCACCAAAGTGCTGAGGTTACAGGCCTGAGCCACCACACTCTGCCATTAATCACTAAGTAGATCCATTAAGCACTAAACAGTATAGAGATCCTGGAGCCAGATTGATTGAGTTCAAGTCTCATCTCCACCACATACTGCCTATTTGACCTTAGACACATTACTTAAACTCTCCAGGCCTCAGTTTCCTCATCTGCAAAATGGGAATACCTGCCTACATCATAGGGTTGTTATGAGGGTTAAATAAATGATTTGATGTGTGTAAAATACTTAGAGCAGAGCCTGGCTCCTGGTCGGTTTTTGCTGTTATGATTATGGTTGTTGCTATTGCCCTGCTGTTGCAATGCTCATGGGAGCTCACTGCTGCCTTTTGCTCCTCCCACCTTCCCCCCAGGGAGGTGGGGAGGGAGTGAGGCAGCACGTAAGTGCCACCTCCCATGTTGAATGTCCTGCACTCCCCACCAGCTCCTCACCTGGGTGGTGGTATAGGCGTCTCCATTGCGGTATCTGGTGACCTGGCGGGTGCGGCGGACATAGTGGTAGCTGATGGCCTTCCACCAGATGCAGGGCGTGGCTTGCTGCATGCGGCCCACACGTTCCCGCACACTGCTCACATCAACACGGTGCTGCAGCTCATGGCGGGCTTGGCAGTGCCAACACTCCACCAGGTAGACGGCGTACAACATGAGCAGGAAGGCCAGGGGGATGTAGACATAGCCGTTGGAGCAGGGGCTGTCATGGTACATGAGGCTGTTGCCCTGGTAGGCGCTGCTGAAGGTGAGGCGCGTCACTGTGGTGACGTGGCACCAGGCCACTGCCCCCAGGCAGCCGTACATGAGCAGCGAGAGCAGGAGGCACTTCCAGTGGGACTCACGGCAGAGGGACTTGGTGAAAGAGGGCTGGATGGGACGCTGCTGCTCAGGTGGGCAGGGAGAGGGGCCAAGATGAGTGGGAAGTGAGAGCAGGCAGGACCCAGCACAGAGATGGATACGGGGATGGAGGGGCAGAGGCCAGCACCAGAGATAACAGGCAGAGAGAAACAGGGATATGGAGAGAAAAGGTGAGACCAAGATGGGAGCCAGGGGCCAGAGGTAGAAACAGAAGTGACACAGAGCAAGCCAGAGGACAGGAAAGGGGACCGGAATGCCAGTACAGGAGAGTGCAGAGAGAGACACCCCAAGAGGCAGAGAAGGATCAGAGCCAGAGATAGAGGCCCAGGCAGCAAACACAGATGGATAGGATGGTACCCAGAGAGCATCCGAAGACAAACACAAAAATGGCAATGAAACAGAAGATGTGGACAGGGAAGACAGGGGAGGACAGACAGACAGGCATCAGCGAAGGAAGGTCCCCAGCCCAGACCCCTTCCAGGTCCTCTAGAAAAGGGGGAGGGACCCACTGACATCACTTCCCCACTTAACAAGTGGGGCCCTCACTTCCAGATTTTTTTCAGTCCTAGGTTCTAGAGGAGCTACTCCCCTCTGACCCATCCACCTCCCTAACCCTCACAATTAGCCTAACACGTCCTTTGGATAAGGGCCTCCAGAGAACCCCAGGCCCAGTCTCATTCCCCATGTTCTGGACCCTGGTTCCCCTGTGAGTCTCCCTCCTGCACCCTGACATCCTTCCCTTTGTCCTAGGATGGGAGGGAGGGGGCTGGGGTCCCTGAGCGGCAGGCAGTCCAGGAGGAGGTATCCAGAAGGGCAGAGGCATGTGGCTGAGGAGAGGACAGGCATAGGGGATGTGGGACTGGGGTAGCGAGGACAACGTTTGAAGCCCAGCAATTTATCAAGAGAAAATTATTTTTGGTACTCTCCTGGAGCCTGTCTGTTAAAGCTCCTGGCACATTCTGTCCCAGGGTTGGCCCAGGAGTTGTTTACATGTCTGGCTCCCCACTACACTGGGTACTCCTGAGGGCCCATGCTTCATTCTCTTTGCATCCTAGGTGCCTACCATGGTGCTGGCCCCCAGCAGCCACATCCTAATTGAGTGTTGAGTTTAATTTCTTGTAGTGGCCTCTGTTTTCCCACCCCTCCTCTGTGCTGTCTAGCTTTAGGAACCCATCCCCCACCACACACACACACACACACACACACACAACCTCCTGCTGGGATCCTGACTTACCCCCTCAATTCCTCAGGCCTGACCTAGAGGCCAGCCAGGAAAGAGAGGAAAAGAGTGGAAAAGAAGGGTACAGTAATAGGCATCGGTCCCTGGATCTAGAAGTATGGATAGTTAGGCGAGCTAGGAAATAGCACACAGTACATGTGGACAAGGAGATTAGGGTACATGTGCCTTTCGGGGAGCCTTGTCCTTAGGAGGTATGAACATACGGGCCCCTTCGTGTGCCTACCTGGTTATGTGCTTGTCCCCATGTGGGTACCTCTGAAAGGGGCTTTACCTGCAGGCCCATCCCCGCTTGTGTGCCTCTGCCCTAGTACAGGGTGCATGCGTGTGCACAAGTGTGCATGGGAGGCTGGAGTGGGGGTGCTCCTGGTACTTTCCTCCGTCTCTTTGTCTTCAGGTTCAGAGGACTGAGTACTAGGGACCCCAACTAGGGATATGAGGAAGCAGCAGGAGCCTCGTGAGAGAGAGGTGCACACCCCCCCCCACACACACACACACACACTCCCAATGACCACAGGCGGGACCCCCCGTACACATCTGACCTCCTTAGGGTCCCAGATCAGGTACCACCACCACTTCCCCATGGTACCCTCCTCGTTCTGTAGCCCGTACAAGCCGCCCTTCCTGGCCTTCAAGGTAGCATCCTCCTCTGTGAGACAGGATCCCCGCCACCGTCCCCACCCCGGTAGAGCATAGCCCCCACTCTCATAAGCCCAGGATCCGCGAGGCTCCGCCCCTAGGCCCCTCCCCCTGCCCGGGACCCCTGAGCCCCGCCCCCGGCGCGGCCCCTTCCCCGGCACCGCGGACAGCTCCGGCCGCCGGGTGGGGGCGGCGGCGCGGACTGCGGCTGCAGCGGCCGGCTCGGGGTGCGGGGCGCCGGCCGCGCTGCGGCGGAACCAGCGGGGGACGCGTGCGATGGGGGATGGGGGGCCAGGCTGCGGCCGCGCCCGGGGAAGGGGCGCCCTAGACTCTCACCTCCTCTCGGGCGGGGCCCTCGTCCGCCGCCGCCGCTGCCGCCGCCGCCGTGAGCTCCTCCGAGACCCCGGGGCCGCCACCGCCGCCGCCGCCGCCGGCGGCGCTCTCTCCCGCGGCCGAGCCAGGGGGGGACATGGCGTAGAGGGGGCGCGTCGAGCTCAGGACCTCCCGGGGGGCTGCCAGGGGCCGGGGGCATCCTGCGCGGGCCCTGGGGAGAGGACGGGAGGGGGCGGGGCCCTCGCTGCTCCCCACCCCCCGCCGGGGGAGGGGGCCCGGAAAGGGCACCGGGAGTAAGGGGCTGGGGGCTGAGGGTGGGAGGCAGGCTGGGGGGCCGGGCCGGGGGGGGCCGGGGCCGGGGGCGGGTGTCACCTTGAGGCCCTCGCGGCGCCGCTCCGCCTCCCGCCCGCTCCCGCCGCCGCCTTTTGTCTGAGCCGAGCTGGAGCCAGCGCGCCCCCCCTTTCCTGCCAGCGCAGCCGAGCCCCGCCCCCAGCCCCCCAAACTCCGCCTTCCCAAGCCTACCTAATAACCACCCCCCGAAGGGGTAAAGCAACAGGGACTCCCCACACCTCTTCCCCGCTCCCAGCCCTGCTCACTGCACCTCCCTCCCGCGCTCCTATCCTGGGAGAATCTGTGCCGCAACCCCTCTCCATCTGTTCTCCGTGGACTCGGTGCCCGAGGTTCAACCAACAGCACCCCCCCACACACACACACATCTCTGGTTCCCCCAAGTTCCCAGGGCAGAGGAGTGGGGAGAGGAAATTGATTCTTGGAACCCTAGGGAAGATCCTTACTCCCAGTTTCGTGGTGAAGGGTTAAGGCAGAAGCTAGACTTCCAGAGGAATGGAATAGGGGGAAAGGGAAGAGATTGAAGCTAGATGTGGGAAAGGACTAACAGAGGGCAGAGGGGAGGGCATTGGAACCGGCCTTCACTGAACCATCTTTCTTCCCTAAAAGAACAGCTCCAGAGAAGCAGTGAAGTGTGTGCAATACCCTAGGCTGGAGGGCAGGAAACCTGAGTTCTAATTCTGAATTCTGTATCTGTCATTAAGGAGTTATGTGACCTTGGGCAAGTGCCTTCCTGTCTCTGAGCCTTAATTTCTTCATCTGTGCAGTGAGGAAGTTGACTGGACAATTTCTAAGGCTCTGACTTGTAGGTGTAGGAAGCAAGCCAGGCTGAGCCACTGCAGGCAGCCTATCCTTTCAGGCCATCCACCCCACACTGCTTTTCCCTGTATCCCCTGGCACAGCAGGAAGGACCCTGACATTTATTCATTCATTCATTTCTGGATGTCTCCATTCAGTAAACAGGTGTTGGGTACCTATTGTGTGCCCAGTACAGAAATGAAACACAGTTTCCTTCCTGCAAGGAGCACAAAGTCTAATGGGGAGAAAAGAACATGAAAAACAACCATTATGAAGAATATAATAAAAGCCATGCATGATCAATCTTGTGCATACACAGTCACTGTGGAATCCTACTATGTGTCATTAGAGTCTTTGACATACAGTAACTGTTCTCCCCAATTACTCACAGGGAACCAAGGCAGAGGGAGAGTGAATGGCTTACTCAAGGTCACCTGCTAGCACTCACAGAGCTAGTCCTAGAATTCAGATCTTTCCCACTCAAAATCTATGGGGAATATTTGTGGGTAGGAAGTTAGTTTGGGGCAAAGCCTCGATGTCTGATTTTGGGGGATAGGGTACAAACACACTGATCTGCCCAGGATGTTCCTTCCCCTTGTTGGGGACAGGAGAGCCACTGCTCCCACCCCTCTAGTCCCACTCCTGGCCCTGCCTTCATTTTACTACTCTTCCCTTTCCAGGTGAGGTGAAGGTGGCTCTCTGTCCACCTATTGCTTAGAGCTATCCAGCCTGCATGGTCCTCTCCAGGTTGATGGGTCCATTCTCCCTGCCCAGAGGAAGGCGGCTGTCCAGAAGAGGCGGGGGTCTGGTTCACTCCCTTGGCAGAGGCAGAATCTCACTTGGTGGTTCATTCCAGCATCTCCTGCCCATGCTTTTTGGGAAGCTGGCCTCACAGCTAACTCCAGCCCCTCTTGTTCCAGTTTCAACCCCTTCCCCCACAGAGAGCAGAGCCCCTAACCTTGGCCTTTCCAAACCCACAGAGGATCCTTTCGTGCTCCCCATTTAGGCACCATAATCTTCCTCTTGACACCCACCCCCACTGCCTTCCTGTCTCCACTTCAAAGGGCTTTGGAGGAGGGACAGTTTAGCTCTTTTTGGCCAATGCTAGAGCTCCCAAGAGACAAAAGGCTACCCCTGCCTTCTCCATTCACACACAGTACCCTTCCCTGGAAGCTACAAGAAAGGGGGGTGAAGGAGGGGGCGGTGGAAGGAGCCAGCTGACCGGCTGGTCACCATGGAAACCAGGCCTGTTTCCTGAAGATGAGCCTAGCTGGGGTGGGTGGAGGTGGGGAGTGGGGGCACAAAGGGAACCAGAAAACAACAGAGAGAAAGACGAGGGGCCCAGCCTCAGAGAAGACTGGAGCTGAGGAGGCGAGGTCAGGTCCCTAGCCATGCTGTGGCCTAAGTCAAAGTCCCCAGGTCACCCTTTCAGATAACACTGCAATGGTCCCCCTCCCCATTCCTGGAGTGTTGGAAAGGATTCCTGTCAAGAGTGCAAGCTCTGGTAGTGGGGCCAGTGGGTGACTCAATGCTGACCTCATGTGGCCATAAAAGGGACTGCCACACACCTGTTACGGCTCAGAGCCAAACACCTGGCTGGGTTAAGTGGGTTTTTCCTAAAATTCAGCCTCTGTATGAATAAAAAGGAGGTCCTTGCACACTCCTGAGTTCTTACATCCTTGCAGAGGGCTCAGACACTCCCACCCTATGTGGTTTACCTCTTGATAAAGAAAAGAAGGTTCCACTAAAAAATATGTAAAAGTTTTGGATTAGATGAGAAGCCATCTCTGCACTTTCTATTTTAACTTGAGCAAGTCAACTCACCTCTCTGGGCCTCAGTTTCCCAACATTAAAATGGGGATGATAGTGTCAGATTTCGTGTGGATTTTTTTGTTTTTGTTTTTGTTTTTAGACTGAGTCTCACTCTGTTGCCCAGGCTGGAGTGCAGTGGTGTGATCTCAGCTCACTGCAACCTCCACCCTCAAGTGATTCTCCTGCCTCAGCCTCCCAAGTAGCTGGGATTAATTACAGGCATGTGCCACCAGGCCCAGCTACTTTTTGTATTTTTAGTAGAGATGAGGTTTCGCCATGTTGGCCAGGCCAGTCTTGAACTCCTGACCTCAAATGATCCACCCACCTCAGCCTCTCAAAGTTTATAGGCGTGATTACAGGCGTGAGCCACCGCGCTCGGCCAAATTTTGAACCCAGTTGGTCTGGGTCTGGAGTTTATTACTATACTTTTGCTGCAGCCTTTGAGGACCGGAGAGGAACATGTCAGGGGAGGAGACTGAGAACATCTGAAATCATGCTGACTCAAGGGAAGGAGATGCTTCAATTTCCCAGGCCTTTCCCCTCGTGGCTCCTCACTGGGCTTCATGCTCATTACGTCTTTCCCACTCTGGTCCTACATGGGGTTGAAGAACAGTGGGCCATCTTCTCCCCTCAGCCCTCCCCCAACTCTTCTGCCTCCAATCGCCCCCCACAGACTAGGTCCTTCTCCTCTCCCTATCTCTCTTCCCTTCCCATTCTCAGTTCAAATGGAAGCTTCCTTGCCTCTCACCCCACTG
This sequence comes from Homo sapiens, assembly GCF_000001405.40. Taxonomy (NCBI): domain Eukaryota; kingdom Metazoa; phylum Chordata; class Mammalia; order Primates; family Hominidae; genus Homo; species Homo sapiens. The sequence goes on along the minus strand of NC_000006.12, from coordinate 44,267,167 downwards.
AGTAGCTGGCCCCACTGTGTGCCCCCACAACACCCTGTTCTCACTTCTGTCTTATCCCAACCACTCTGAGCTGTAATTGCCAAGGAGCTTTTTTAGGACCATGGGATTTTTTTGTTGGTCATGGGGGGTGGTTATTGGTTATTACTGTGATAGTCAGTTTTGCTTCCAGTAGAAAGAACAACGTCAGACATTACAGGAGACCTTCCATACATGTTTGTCAAGTAGGTGAATGATGGATGAATAAAATGAGGTTGCAGGGGAAGGGCTGTGGGAAAGCTGGCCTCCCCCCTGCAAAACGTTGCTGTCTACACTCATCCACCTTCCTTTCTCCAATGCTGGAGATGGAAAAGCTACATGTTCCCTTGCGGATAACCCTCTAAGGGCATTGCTGGCGTTAGGCTGATAGCACTTGGAATAGTGGGGAGGAATGAGGGAATAAATCATGGAGCATGGGCTTAGGGCTCACTTGTAGTAGGGTGCTCCCACGGCCTTCCTAGGCCCAGGGACAGTGAAAGAGGAAAGATGTTTTGGGACTAAGATTGGGGCTGTGTTGGGGACCTGAGCAGAGTGCAACCCAGCATGTCTGGGGCCTCCCCAACCTGACCCCACTTCCTTGACTGCTGGGGTTGACCAGAAACTGTAACTACCCAAGGCCAGGGTTTCACCCTTTGAGGAAGAAGAAACTCCACAACCACTTTACTTTTTAGACAACAGTTTCCCTGAGAAGACGCTCTTTCCAAAAAAACATTTTCATGCCCAATTCCATGTGATGTGGGACGTTGACACAGGAGACTGTCTTCCAGGACCCAGGAGAACTGCTCCTTTAAAGATAATGGGAGTCCCCTTTCCCTACCCGTACCCCTGGGCACTGATAGGGAAAGATGAGAAAGCAAGAGAAATTGAGATAAATGGGCAGGGGATAGGAAGCAGTGCTTCCCCATCCCATCGCCTACATGCCCTCCCCCAAAGATGCCAGCTTGTACGGACAATTAATAGATATTTCTTTTAAAACAAATGAATGATCCGGGACCGGTGGCTCACAGCCTGTAATCCCAGCACTTTGGTAGTCCGAGGCAGGCAGATCGCTTGAACCCAGGAGTTCGAGACCAGCCTGGGCAACGTAGCGAGACCCCCGTCTCTACTTGTAGTCCCAGCTACTCGAAAGGCTGAGGCAGGAGAATCGCTTGAACCCAGGAGGCGGAGGTTGCAGTGAGCAGAGATCAACCACTGCACTCCAGCCTGGGCAACAGAGCAAGACTTCGTCTCAAAAAAATAAAAAATAAAAATAAAACAAATGAATTAAGAAATAGAAGTGAAAGAAGGAAACAGTACATGCGTGGAACTAATGAATGGAGTGAAGGAGGAAGGGGGAAAGAGTGAATGAATGAATGAATGAATGAGTGAATGAATCAACGAAGGAGTGAGTCAAGGCCCGGGAACCACAGACTCCAAGCCTACGCAGAGCCCGGGAAGGGGGATTCCGGAGGGGCGGGGCCTCTTTCCGGAAGCGCCCGCCGGGGGCGGGGAGGGGGCGGGGCCATCCGCGTGAGGCGACCCTGTTGGTCCGGAGGGGCGGGGCGAGGAGGAGGACCCGCTTGGGCGGTTCGGCTGCCCACAGTAACCGCTGGGTGGACCTGGCCAGCGCTCCGAACCTTGTCCTCGCTGCGCGCCGGCCCCTCGGAGCCCCACAGCCCGGGAAGGAGGCCGCCGCGGGCCGGGCGCCCGCTCTGCCAAGCGGACCCGCAACCCGGAAAGGCGGCGCGGCGGAGCCTGGAGCCGGATCCTGCTCAGACCGGGCCCCGGCCGGCCAGAGCCGCGGGCATGTCGGAGGCGCGGAAGGGGCCGGACGAGGCGGAGGAGAGCCAGTACGACTCTGGCATTGAGTCTCTGCGCTCTCTGCGCTCCCTACCCGAGTCCACCTCGGCTCCAGCCTCCGGGCCCTCGGACGGCAGCCCCCAGCCCTGCACCCATCCTCCGGGACCCGTCAAGGAACCACAGGAGAAGGAAGACGCGGATGGGGAGCGGGCTGATTCCACCTATGGCTCCTCCTCGCTCACCTACACCCTGTCCTTGCTGGGGGGCCCCGAGGCTGAGGACCCGGCCCCACGCCTGCCACTCCCCCACGTGGGGGCGCTGAGCCCTCAGCAGCTGGAAGCACTCACTTACATCTCCGAGGACGGAGACACGTGAGTATGGGGGCTAGGCTGAATCGGGATGCTAACTCTGGGCCTGCCCAAGAGCCGCAACAGGTCGGGCACCCCCACTCCCCCGTGAAGATCCTTCAAGTCCCCATTCGCTCTTCCAAACTCCAGACTTAACTCTCAGCCCACTTTTGAGGTCCAGCTAGGCCATGGAATCATCTCTGTCCTCCCATTTCGGGGTGGGCAGAGCTGGCAGGACCCTTAACCCAGCCAGCATCTTGGAAATCTACCAATAATCCACCCTTAGGAAGAGAAAATTCCCCTGACCAAGTCCAGTTTTTTTGTTTCTTCTTGCTGGGGAAGGGGACATCCTTATTTGCTCAATATCTGGGATTCCCAGTTCCTGACCTCAGAATGCTCTGTCTCAAGGAACAACAGGTGCCAGTTACAGGTTGCCAGTCGGGGCCAGGAAGCTAGGCATGGGGGGTGCCACCAGGGTGTAGGTTTGGGACTGGTCCTCAGGAGGATGGGGTGAGCCAGGCTGGGGCACTCTTGCCCCAGCAGACAGACAGGCGGCTGGCTGCCCCAGCTTACTTCCTCCTCTGCTAAGAAAGGGGAAGTGAGGGCTAGAGTCAGCGTCCCTGACATCCTCTACCTCCAGAGCCCCCAGTCCCACTAACTGTCGTGTCTCACTCCCTCACTTAACCCTTCCTCCTCCAGACCCAGATGGAGTTTGGTGGGAGTGGGCCAGAGGGCAGTTGAAGTAAAAGGCAGTTGTGTGGGATGGGTTGGCCAGTTGAGGATTTAGCCCCCCAGGAAGAAGAAAACATTGACAGAGGAGGGAAAGGTTGGGAACTGGGGATGAGAAATAGAGTTGGGGAGGGCTGGAATCCCTGGTCAAGGGTGCTCATATAAATAGGAGTAGGGGAGGCAGGAGGTGGCTGTCCTAACCTGCTTTTTGGAGATGCAGGGTCCTAATCCTGGGTGGCCATTGATAAAGACAGCTGGTGGACCCAGTGGGTGGGAGAGGAGTGACCCAGTCCTTTCTGTACTCTGCCTGGATCACCAGCCCTCAGGCCCAGAACCCCAAGGTTTTGGGGGCTGCACGCAAGATACCTCTGATGACCTTTGATCCAAGGAGAGGGGACTTTTGACATTGCCGTCTTTTGTTAGCCTCTCAGCCCCAGCCTTTTCCATCTCTAGTTAGAAGCAGGTGTTGTGTCCAGATTGGGTGTGTGTGTGGAGGGGAGAAATGTCCGGGCTCCCCAGCGAGTCCCCAGAGAGCAGGGGGCACTTTCCTCCCTCTGTTGGAGGTGTCTGGGCTGTGGGAGGTATGGAAGTGGGAAGAGGAAGTGGGAGGAGGGGATACTGGGGGAGAGAGGGAGGTGGCTGCAAGAATGTGACCCAGAGAGCAGGCCCTGGCCTAGGGGATTTCCAGAGCAGTTCCTCCCTCCCTCCGTCACTCTCCTGGGCCTCTCCTGCTGCCTGCTGCTAAAGCCTGCCACCCTCCTGCCCAAGCAGCCCCCTCCCCAGCCCAGACGGGCCTTTTAGCCAATCTACCCCCCTCACTAATGCCCCAAGGCAGCTGTCCCGGCCTAGACCCTCCATCACTGGCTTTCGTTTTCCCCACCTGACGTGGGGAAACCCCAAGACTGGAACTTCCCCTCCCAACTGCCCCCATTACCCCTAGATTAAGGTTCTTGGCCCCCTCAACAAATACATTTTCTGCACTACAAAGACCTCCTCTTGGAGGTGCACACAGGAATGGAGGGCCTCTGTTAGGCCCGACCTGGTCTGTGCTATCTGAGAGGTGCCTCTTGACTCCCAGGGAAGGGCAGCAGGACAGGATGCTGCACTGTCTCCTTGCTCCTCTTCCAAGAGTTTCTGTGTCTCTCCCTTGGAATGTGTAACACTGAGTTGCTTGGGGGTACGGGGTGACCCTGCAACTGTCTCCTTCTTTCCTGTGTGCTGGGGTGGTGGGGTGCTTAGCCCTGGAAACCCCCTCTGGACTACTTCGGCAGCTTTCAATTTGGCTTTGAGCTGCAGCTGGCTCGGCAGAGCCCTGAGGGCAAAGAGGAGTGGGTGTGGGCAGGCTGGACAGGAAGGCTGTTGTCCTGTCAGCACCCTGCCCACATGCCCACCCAGCCAAGGCCCTCCTGAAGGCCAGCAGTGGGAACTTGGAGCTCCAACCCTAGGATCCTGGCTTCCCACACCAACCCTCACTTCCTGGCCCACACTCTCACTTCCTGGACCTACCCTATGGGTAGCTAGTTAAAGTTTGATGTGTTCCTTCTAACTCCAAGACCCCAACCCACTCCCTCTGGCCTGGGCCCTTAACTCTAAGCCCCGCCTCTGCTCCCCTAGGCTGGTCCACCTGGCAGTGATTCATGAGGCCCCAGCGGTGCTGCTCTGTTGCCTGGCTTTGCTGCCCCAGGAGGTCCTGGACATTCAAAATAACCTTTACCAGGTTGGTGGCGAGAGAATGTTATGCCCAGATACCTGTTTGTGCCCTGGCAGCCATTCCCAGCAGCCATACCAGTCCAAAGGCTGCTCACTTAGGAAACCATATGCCAGACACTGAGCTAGAAACTGAGGAGACAGACCCAAGTAAGACATGGCCTCTGTCCTGAGGTGCTTGCATCCTGGGCTGGGGGACTTGTATCAACAGCTAAATACACAGCCTGGTGACAAGAGTTGTGATAGAGACACATACCAGCTGCTATAGGGTCCAGTGTCTGTGTGCAGCAGCCAGGGAAGGCTTACAGAGGAGATGCCATCTGAATGGAGCCTAACAGAGAGTTTTGCCAGGGAGAGACTGCCCGGTGCCTCTATCTTTCCTCCTGCAGCCTAACCCCTGGGGGTAACAGAGGTCTCCTCACAGGGTGAGGGGCTAGACTCTCCTCCTACATGTCCTTTCTCCAGGGCCTAAGGTGACTTACAAGAAAAGCAGAGAGCTACTTTCTTCACCTTGCTTCCAGAATTGGGATCCCAAGAGCTTGGTGGGGGAGGGGTGTGACAGGGGAAGGGCTCGGTAGTATTTCCTTGGAAGAACAGGTTATGGCCTTTATAAGCTGCTTTCAAAGAAGATGCTGGCAGCTGGTGATTCTTGAGCCCAAGCATGTTCCCAGAGGTGGGAGCATGCTGCAGTGGCCCCATGACCCTCTATTTGTGCCTCCAGACAGCACTCCATCTGGCTGTACATCTGGACCAACCGGGCGCAGTTCGGGCACTGGTGCTGAAGGGGGCCAGCCGGGCACTACAGGACCGGCATGGTGACACAGCCCTTCATGTGGCCTGCCAGCGCCAGCACTTGGCCTGTGCCCGCTGCCTGCTGGAAGGGCGGCCAGAGCCAGGCAGAGGAACATCTCACTCTCTGGACCTCCAGCTGCAAAACTGGCAAGGTGTGGACAGTCTTTAAGACTGCCCTTAGGGCCTGTGGGATGAGGAGGGCATAGGAGATAGGGACCTCACTCTTGGGGAAGGGAGGGTCCCAGCTTGTCCATTGGTGCCCCTCCCACTGTAAGCACATAGATATTCAGTACATCTTTGCCAAATGAATGAATGGATGATTTGATTTCGAATTTAACCAGTACCTACTGCCTGCTGAGAAGAAAACTAAATCTTGCCCTTAAGATACTTAGTTTAATAGAGATTAGATGACCTGATTCATTCATTCAACAGAAATGTACTGAGGGTTTTCTATGTGCCAGACGTTATCCTAGGAGCTACACTTGCATCTGTGTGCAAAATAGAGAAAGATTGAGATGAGCAATAAATGTAAGAAGTGAACTATGTAATATGTTAAAAGGAAGTAAGTGCTGTAGTAAAAAGCAGAGCAGAGTGAGAGGAAGGAATGTGGGGAGTAGGAGAGTTGATATGATTGTTAAATAGGGTGGTCCGGGAAGGCCTCATGGAGCCAGTGACATCTGAATAGCGCCCTGAGGAAGGTGAAGAATGTAAATTTGAATCGAAATCTCTATTACTAAGCAAGGGTCGGGAGTGTCCAGACTAGAAAGGAGAGCAAAAAGGCCAGGGGAGCACAGAAGGAAGCGGCCCCTGAGAAAGGGCTGGGGGCATGAGGATCTTAGGTGGCTTTTCAGAAAAGGTGGCTTTCAGACTGGGCTTGAAGGCAGGTTGTGTGTGTGTGTGTGTGTGTGTGTGTGTGTCTGTATGTGTGTGTGTGTGTGTGTGTGTGTGTGTTGTAGTTTGTGTATAGGAGGAGGGTGTTCTTTGGGGGTGTCACTCAGCAGCCTGACCCCTGAAGCATGAAAGTTTCAATAACATGACTCTGAAAAGGTGGAAACTTTGAGTTCCTTTCCCCTTAGACTTTTGAGGGGGTTTTGGGGTTTGCATTTTAACAGTCTTGTGATTAGAGACATTGAGTGGGCTGTGAGTCCCTTGGGGCTGAGTGGTAGGGAGGTCCCAGAAGAGAGGGAGTTGGTGGATGCAGATCAGCAGCCCTCACCCTCACTCTCACCCCATCCCAGGTCTGGCTTGTCTCCACATTGCCACCCTTCAGAAGAACCAACCACTCATGGAATTGCTGCTTCGGAATGGAGCTGACATTGATGTGCAGGTGAGACAGCCAGCAAAGCACTGCCCGGCCCAGGGCCTGCCCCCACCTGACACATCCCCAAGTCCCCTGCCCAGCAGTCAGAAGTGGTGGCATTCACTTCCTTATCCAGAGCCCAGGCCCAGCACACTGCCTCTGAGGGCCTTGGCTGACATCCTTATTCCTCCCCAGGAGGGCACCAGTGGTAAGACAGCGCTGCACCTGGCTGTGGAAACCCAAGAGCGGGGCCTGGTACAGTTCCTGCTCCAGGCTGGTGCCCAGGTAGATGCCCGCATGCTGAACGGGTGCACACCCCTGCACCTGGCAGCTGGCCGGGGTCTCATGGGCATCTCATCCACTCTGTGCAAGGCGGGTGCTGACTCCCTGCTGCGGAATGTGGAGGATGAGACGCCCCAGGACCTGACTGAGGAAGTAAGTGGCATATGCTTTGCTCTCCAGGGCCTTGCACACCCATAGCAGAGAGAGGTTCTGTCATTAGCTGAAAGGGCCAGGGAGCCAGGAGTCCTGGGGTATAACCAGGACTCTGCCACTGACCAACTGTGGGAACTTGAGCCTGTTTCCTTAGTTGGTCCAAGGAGCCAAATTTGGACTCTTACAGGGACCCTGCAGTTAAAGTGAATCAGTGAAGTTGGCCAGATATGAGACCATGGTGTGGTGAGGCCTATAAGAACCCAGAGAGCCATCCCTGAGGGTCTCTGTACTCAGCTTCAGCAAAGGCTTACAAAGCAGGAGTGTAGGCCCAGTTTTTCCTGGTCTTGGACTTTCTTGAGAGGTGAAACTCAGATTTTCTGTACAGTCTTTCCTATTTTTAAATGTTCAGTGTAAAAAAGAAACCTAAATGTTCTGCGAGTACCCAGCAGCCCCCCCACCCCATCCCCCAACAACAACAAACAACTCCAGGTCCATGGGCTGGATCACCTCTAAGGGTCCCTCCTAACTCGGATATTCTGGCATTATCTTAGAAAAGGAAGGCTTGTCTAAGTCCTCAGGGCTCTGCCAAGCCCAGAGGGGCCACTATTTTGAGGATTCGTGTGAAGATTTGTTCCCTGATGGTCTTCAACTGTCATTTGGTGGGGAGGGAGTGGCCCAACAGGTTTCCCTGGGTCCCCTTTCCCAAGTCACCTTTTCCCATGTCCTCTGATCTTGCTTCTCTCCATTCTCCTTCTCAGTCCCTTGTCCTTTTGCCCTTTGATGACCTGAAGATCTCAGGGAAACTGCTGCTGTGTACCGACTGAAGCCAGGCAGGGTCTGGGATCCTCAGGGCTCCACCTCTCCATCTGGAAGCCGGAGCCATAACTGCTGCAGTTTGGGCCCAGGCTATGTGCTCTTCTGGTGCCCTAGGGACTGCTGTGGCCAGAGCCTGGGGCCAGCCAGTACAGTCCTGAGCCGAGGAGGAGGGACTGCAAGTGGAAGAGAGCCAGTCTGGAAGGAAGAGCTTTCCAGGTGGACAGGGCTTCTTGGAAGACCCCCAAAGCCCCAGGTATCCTGGGTGAAGCCTGTTTGCCTCTCTTGAAAATGGCAGGTGCTCTTGTTTTACCCATGTTGGGTCAGCCTGAAACTGCCAACCAGTAGGAAGCATGGACTCTCCTGAGTGAGAAGAGACTGAAATAGGAGCAAGCAGAACCCTGAGAGGTGTCCCATCTTATTGCTGTTGAGGACCCTGAAACACCGTTGTTTAAAGACTTCACACAGAAGGCTCTGAACTGAGCCACTGGGGAAGGGAAGTTTCAGTAACATGACACTAAAATGGCAGAGACGTTAAAAAAAGTTTTTCCCTTCTAGAGCTGTTTTGCGCGCATGCATGTCTGTGTGCATTGGGGCTTTTTAGACAGGCCTGCCCTGTGACTTTGTGGTAGAGGCAGAGAGAAGGAAATTGTCCCCTGAGCACGGTAGGGCCTTGCTGGGTGGGGTCAGAGGCCAGTAGTTCCAGGCCTTTCTCTGTGTCCAGCACAGACCCTTGTCCTTGCTGTGGAAATGATGAGGGATGGAGGGACAAGAGGAAGAATGAGAGGACACACGCCCTGGAGCCCTCACCACTGCCCTGGGGGTTGCCATCTGGAGGAGCCTGGGGATAAGGGTAACCCAGGGAGGCTGGGCACGAGGGAGCTGACTCCACGTTTTTCCCCCCGTTCCTCACCTTCGAGGGCCCTGCTAGGTCACCCCTATGCTGGCATGAAGAGCATGGGGCAATAAACCAGCACAGTCTCTGACCACTTGGAGCGTCTCATCCAGTGAGAGAGACAGCCGTTAAAAGCATAAACATCCAAATAAAGATGCCTTTCCAAGTTGCAGTGGGTGCTATGAAGGGAAAAGAATAGTGGGAAGGAAAAGGATGGAGTCGGTAGAGGGTCATACTTTGGGTGGTCCGGGAACCCTCGCCTGAGGAGTATCATCTCAACTGGGATGTAAGGATGAGTAAAGGGATGGGGGCAGAGCATTAGGGGGAAAGCCTGTGAATTAGAGGAACTGAGAGCAAGCCAGTGGGGCTTCACAGCGGGCGAGTGAGTGGGCGAGGAACGCGGGCGAGGCCATGTAGAGCCTCGAAGATCATGGGAAGTGGGACAGAATTACTACCCAGCCAACAAAGCAAGGAGACACCTTCATCCTGTCAGAAAACGGGGAAACTAACACAGAGGAGCGGCTTGGGATGCAGAGCCTCAATGTCCTGTCCACAAGATGGCAATGGTCACCATGACCTCTGGGACGCTTATGAAGGGCGATGACGAAGCACAGGGGACACGCCGGGCGGGCGCCTCTTCAGGGCTGGGGCTCCCCGCGCCCAGGGGCAGCCCAGGTCCCCGGAACCCAAGCCGCGTCTGCCTCCGGGCCGCGCGGGGGCGCTGTGGTCCGGCGGCGGCCCGGGGCGCTGCGTGGTCGCGGCAGGGGCGGAGGGGGCCGCGGGGAGGGAGGCGGGAAGAGCGCGGCACTTCCGCTGGCCGCTGGCTCGCTGGCCGCTCCTGGAGGCGGCGGCGGGAGCGCAGGGGGCGCGCGGCCCGGGGACTCGCATTCCCCGGTTCCCCCTCCACCCCACGCGGCCTGGACCATGGACGCCAGGTGGGGGCTAGGGCAGCAGCGAGCTCACGTGACCGAGCCCCCGGGCCACGTGACTGCCGCGCCTCAGCACGGGGGCCGGGTGGGGTCCCGGCTGCTCGGCCGTCGGCCAGCATATCGCTGCCCGGAGCCAGCGGGGATGGGAGCTGCGGCTTGGTTTTGTGCTCCTTGGGGAGCTTCGGGCGGAGGGGCTGGGGACCCTGACGTCCCGGATCGTGGAGGGGAGTGTGGGGGAAGGGGCGCTTCCTCTGACCTGAGCAGCCGGCTAGCGTTGGAGGGAACAGAGGAGACCTGTGTGGCCAGAGGGGCGGATCCGCCCCCGGGGAGGGAGGAAGCTCTGCCTGGCCAGCGCCGGCGCACCCCCTCCCCGAGAGAGAGAGAGAGAGAGAGGCTCTTTGTCCGGGCCGGAGCTGCAGCGGAGGGGGCGGGGAGGAGACTCCGGGCACTACTCCAGTGTGGTCCCCTCTGGAGGGCGGAGGGGATGAGGAGCTGCGCCCTAATCCTTATGTCCGCTTTCCTTACAGATGGTGGGCAGTGGTGGTGCTGGCTGCGTTCCCCTCCCTAGGGGCAGGTGGGGAGACTCCCGAAGCCCCTCCGGAGTCATGGACCCAGCTATGGTTCTTCCGATTTGTGGTGAATGCTGCTGGCTATGCCAGCTTTATGGTACCTGGCTACCTCCTGGTGCAGTACTTCAGGCGGAAGAACTACCTGGAGACCGGTGTGTGAAGAAAGGGCGGGGAAGTGAGCTAGGTCGGGAAAGAGGGTATTTGGCCAGCAGTCCAAACGGGATATGACTTGGAGAGGGCGGGAGGTCGGTAGGCCGGACAGCAGGGCAGGCTGGCTGCTCTGGGGAAGATGAAGTGCTATGGAGAAGATTTGGGGCTTGACTTTGTGTGCTTTCTTCAGGTAGGGGCCTCTGCTTTCCCCTGGTGAAAGCTTGTGTGTTTGGCAATGAGCCCAAGGCCTCTGATGAGGTTCCCCTGGCGCCCCGAACAGAGGCGGCAGAGACCACCCCGATGTGGCAGGCCCTGAAGCTGCTCTTCTGTGCCACAGGGCTCCAGGTGGGTAGGTGGGCTCAGCCTCTCTTCCTGGGTTGGATGCCGGTGGGCAGGGATTCTGTGAAGGTTTCCATTTTACCAGTCCCAGAGCTTTGCTGGCTGGTGTGTTTCGTGTCCTCCTCCCAGGGGCACACTGCACCTCCATCTTTGAGGTGTTTGGGGGAAATGCCCTTTTGTTTCTTCCTTTTCTCCTCTCCAGCACTGGTACTGAAAGTTCATGCTGTTATTTCAAGATGTCTAGTGCAGAAGAGAGGACTCCTCTTGCCCTATTCTCTGTGATTTCTACTGTGCCGTTATTATACTTCCTTCCTGCACTGGTGTCTCACATACTGTAAACCCACTGATAAAATTGTGGGGGAGCCATTCAGCCTTCCCCCAGTACTGCATGTGAGAGAGTGCTAACATGCTGACCCCATGGCATTTTGCAGTGGGTACTAGTTCCACCTTGAATATCATGTTGAACTACAGATACCCAATTCTGAGAGTTCTTGCCTCCCTGAATAGGTTTTTCACACACAGTTGATTCCCTACAAGGTGAATCCAGACTTAGGAGGGGAGAAGAAACTTCTACAGAGGAACCAAAAAGTGTATATTTTCCTTTGAATCACTTAGGCATAATCCTGAAGAGAGAGAGGTCAATTTTTGTCTACCTTTTCATTATCTTGCTTATTGTCTCCTTTGTCTCTACCTTCCCCAACAGGTGTCTTATCTGACTTGGGGTGTGCTGCAGGAAAGAGTGATGACCCGCAGCTATGGGGCCACAGCCACATCACCGGGTGAGCGCTTTACGGACTCGCAGTTCCTGGTGCTAATGAACCGAGTGCTGGCACTGATTGTGGCTGGCCTCTCCTGTGTTCTCTGCAAGCAGCCCCGGCATGGGGCACCCATGTACCGGTACTCCTTTGCCAGCCTGTCCAATGTGCTTAGCAGCTGGTGCCAATACGAAGCTCTTAAGTTCGTCAGCTTCCCCACCCAGGTGCTGGCCAAGGCCTCTAAGGTGATCCCTGTCATGCTGATGGGAAAGCTTGTGTCTCGGCGCAGCTACGAACACTGGGAGTACCTGACAGCCACCCTCATCTCCATTGGGGTCAGCATGTTTCTGCTATCCAGCGGACCAGAGCCCCGCAGCTCCCCAGCCACCACACTCTCAGGCCTCATCTTACTGGCAGGTTATATTGCTTTTGACAGCTTCACCTCAAACTGGCAGGATGCCCTGTTTGCCTATAAGATGTCATCGGTGCAGATGATGTTTGGGGTCAATTTCTTCTCCTGCCTCTTCACAGTGGGCTCACTGCTAGAACAGGGGGCCCTACTGGAGGGAACCCGCTTCATGGGGCGACACAGTGAGTTTGCTGCCCATGCCCTGCTACTCTCCATCTGCTCCGCATGTGGCCAGCTCTTCATCTTTTACACCATTGGGCAGTTTGGGGCTGCCGTCTTCACCATCATCATGACCCTCCGCCAGGCCTTTGCCATCCTTCTTTCCTGCCTTCTCTATGGCCACACTGTCACTGTGGTGGGAGGGCTGGGGGTGGCTGTGGTCTTTGCTGCCCTCCTGCTCAGAGTCTACGCGCGGGGCCGTCTAAAGCAACGGGGAAAGAAGGCTGTGCCTGTTGAGTCTCCTGTGCAGAAGGTTTGAGGGTGGAAAGGGCCTGAGGGGTGAAGTGAAATAGGACCCTCCCACCATCCCCTTCTGCTGTAACCTCTGAGGGAGCTGGCTGAAAGGGCAAAATGCAGGTGTTTTCTCAGTATCACAGACCAGCTCTGCAGCAGGGGATTGGGGAGCCCAGGAGGCAGCCTTCCCTTTTGCCTTAAGTCACCCATCTTCCAGTAAGCAGTTTATTCTGAGCCCCGGGGGTAGACAGTCCTCAGTGAGGGGTTTTGGGGAGTTTGGGGTCAAGAGAGCATAGGTAGGTTCCAGTTACTCTTCCCACAAGTTCCCTTAAGTCTTGCCCTAGCTGTGCTCTGCCACCTTCCAGACTCACTCCCCTCTGCAAATACCTGCATTTCTTACCCTGGTGAGAAAAGCACAAGCGGTGTAGGCTCCAATGCTGCTTTCCCAGGAGGGTGAAGATGGTGCTGTGCTGAGGAAAGGGGATGCAGAGCCCTGCCCAGCACCACCACCTCCTATGCTCCTGGATCCCTAGGCTCTGTTCCATGAGCCTGTTGCAGGTTTTGGTACTTTAGAAATGTAACTTTTTGCTCTTATAATTTTATTTTATTAAATTAAATTACTGCAGTGGACTTGGTCCTGTGTTTTGGTTGACTGAAAGGGCATTATTATATGGTAGTTTTTCCAAACTGCCTTTAGCTTCAGTGTGTGAACTCTTAAGACTCACTGGTATTCTGTTATTTTCACTACAAAACCAGCTCAACTTGCTGTGCTCATGAAAACAGCAAGAGCTGGAGGGATGAAGAAGCTAGGGAAGGATAACATCCACTTCACAAGGGAAAGCAGAACTGTATAAAAACGGCATATTCTTTATTTTGCATACTTTAATTTCAGAACAAAATGAAGAAAATAAAATAAACCACAATACACAACATCCAATCCTGCTGTCAAGAGTAGAGAGGGAATGGGGCTTGACACCCTTAGTTTACTGCCTTCAACACAAGGACAGGAGAGGGAAAAAAACACTAGACACCAGCAGGGGGAGCCAGGTGGGACAGGGGCACTCGAGGCTGCAGTGGGAGCCCATGGGGACACTATACAAGGGCACAAGTTTTCCAACTATGAACTCCTAACCTAATCGACTTCTTCCATGCGAGACGCATCCTCATCGCCCTCGAGAGGGGGGATCTCATCAGGAACTGCAGCATTGGGTTCCTCTGCTGCCACTTCATCTTCATCAATACCTGAAGTAAAATTAAGCCATGTGAGACTTGACCAAATAGCATTAAGTCAAATCCATAGAGGAGACGAGTTGCACAAACTCCTTGCCACACCAAGTACCAAAGCTACTTACCTAGACCTAGCTTGATCATGCGATAGATGCGGTTGGAGTGGGTCTGGGGATCCTCAAGGGAAAAGCCAGAAGATAGCAGGGCGGTTTCAAACAGCAGCACCACCAGGTCCTTAACTGCCTTATCATTCTTGTCGGCCTCAGCCTTCTGCCGCAGCGTCTCCACAATGGGGTGGTCAGGGTTGATCTCCAGGTGCTTTTTGGCCATCATATAGCCCATGGTGGAGTTGTCCCGAAGTGCCTGGGCTTTCATGATCCGCTCCATATTGGCTGTCCAGCCGTAGGTGCTGGTCACAATGCAGCAAGGTGAAGACACAAGTCTATTGGAGATTGTCACCTGTGGACGATCACAAAAGCCTTAGATTGACATTACCACTTTGAAAGAGAAAACAGGCATTGTCAAGCCTAATTCCAGCAGGGGGAGGAGGTGGACAGACCACTTGAGTTTGAGACCATGCTGGCCAACATGGCAAAACCCTGTCTACAAAAAATTAACCGGGTGTGGTAGCACACATCTGTAATCCCAGCCACTCAGGAGACTTGAGTTTGCAGTGAGCGAGATCCAGTCCAAAAAAAAAAAAAATCGGCCAGGCATGGTGGCTTGCGCCTGTTAATCCCAGCACTTTGGGAGGCCGAGGTGGGCGAATCACAAGGTCAGGAGATGGAGACCATCCTGGCTAACGCGATGAAACCCCATCTCTACTAAAAATACAAAAAATTAGCCGGGGTGTGGTGGCGGGCGCCTGTAGTGGCAGCTACTCAGGAGGCTAAGGCAGGAGAATGGCGTGAACCCAGGAGGCGGAGCTTGCAATGAGCAGAGATCGTGCCACTGCACTCCAGCCTGGGTGACAGAGCGAGACCCCATCTCAAAAAAAGAAAAAAAAAAGAAAATGATGGTATTTTATCTACTCTCAGAAGTTAACTGAAGCAATGCCTAATCTGTGCCAAATTTTATTAAAATAGCCTTAAACCTGACTAGAGAAGAGAACAAGAGGCAAGAAGGCATGAAACAGTAAATAGGCTGCCTCAAACCACTAATTGTATAGAAACATGCTTGTGAGGGAGCCCACCTCGAAGATGTTACAAAATATATCCTAGCCCCAGAATGGCTTACCTTCTCAACCTTCTTATCTAAGATTTCTTTCATGAGCTTGCAGAGGTTCTCAAACTTTGCCTTGCTCTCTTCCATCTTCTTCTTCTCCTCCTCATCCTCAGGCAGCTCCAGACCCTCCTTGGTAACTGAGACCAGGCTCTTCCCATCAAATTCCTTGAGCTGCTGCACACAGTACTCGTCAATGGGCTCGGTCATATATACCACCTCGAAGCCCCGTTTCCGCACTCGCTCCACAAAAGCTGAGTTGGCCACCTGCTCTTTGCTCTCACCTGTAGGGTAATTAAATGAACTCAGTGACTAAAATGCCTCATACTGCCAGTTCCCAGGAAGCCCTAATTGTGCTCCCCACTCCTCCAAAAAGGCTTCAATCAGAGTCAACGCACCAGTGATGTAATAGATGGACTTCTGTGTCTCCTTCATGCGAGAAACATACTCTGACAGAGATGTCATCTCATCTCCAGACTGGGAGGTATGATAGCGCAGCAGCTCAGACAGGCGGCGGCGGTTAGTGGAGTCTTCGTGGATTCCAAGCTTGAAGGGTGGGAAGAGGAAAAACAATCCAGCTTAACTACAATAACTTCACTTTCAATGTGAATGGAATAATTTATTGTTATTACTAAGAAAGTGGTAAAGGGAATAAGCATTATTTGCCTTTTTACCTTGAGATTTTTAGAGAATGCCTCATAGAATTTCTTGTAATTCTCCTTGTCTTCTGCCAGCTCAGAGAAGAGCTCAAGGCACTTCTTAACAATGTTTTTGCGAATGACTTTCAAGATTTTGCTCTGCTGGAGCATTTCTCGGGAGATGTTCAGGGGCAGATCCTCAGAGTCAACCACACCACGGATAAAATCTGCCATCAACCAGGGTGAGAAAGCTCAGTAAAAAACAGCTAGACCAGACCTGGTCCCCAGATTCAAACAGAAGGCTCTAATAGCCTCCTGAACCCTTACACCTACTATGTATTGCAGAAAACTGTTACCTTAGAATATCCTAGCAGAATGCCTAAAACCTCCCAAGACTTCACCCAACTAAATTAGGCCAAGGAGATACTCACTGAGATACTCTGGTATCAACTCATCACAGCTGTCCATGATGAACACACGGCGGACATAGAGTTTGATGTTGTTCTTTTTCTTCTTGTTCTCAAAAAGGTCAAAGGGAGCCCGACGAGGAATAAATAGCAATGCCCTGAATTCCAACTGACCTTCTACAGAAAAGTGCTGAAAGAAACCAAAAATAAGTGGTACATTTCAAAAGAGGACCTTTTAGCCCCAACACCAAATTATCTAAAAGTGGAACAATGATCCTCCCTAAGCCTAAGGGATAGAGCACACACAACAAGCAGCTCCTGAGAAAACTGAGCCTTAATGCCCTCCACGATCTAGATGGGTACTAGCTGTATGTAGAAAACAGTCCCCTCTGATCAGAACCCTGGATGTGTAAGGCTGCCAATAGACATTACCCAGATTTCCATAAGAAGAGAAAGTGAGGTCATTAGAAATGATGGCACTTCACTATGACAGGGTAATCAGTAAGTGAAATCACATGGCTATCACATTTCTGTTATCAGTTGGACAAGTTCCGTGTGTCTATTACCCAACACTCTTCCACCTAACTCATTCCTCTCCATATGTGCATGTTGAGCCAACATGCAAAGGCTTCTCACACCTTGACTGCCAAGTGGTCTTCCCAGTCATTAGTGAGGCTCTTGTAGAATTCTCCATACTCCTCTTGGGTGATGTCATCAGGGTTTCTGGTCCAAATAGGCTTGGTCTTGTTTAGTTCTTCCTGATCAATGTATTTCTCTTTGATCTTCTTAGTTTTCTTCTTCTTATCCTTACCGCTGTCATCCTCCTCATCTGAACCCACATCTTCGATCTTGGGTTTTTCTTCATCATCTTTATCTTCCTCTTCTTTCTCACCTTTCTCTTCCTCTGCCTCATCATCACTAATTTCCTTCTCTCGTTCCTTCTCCAACTAAGTAACAAAAACAGAAGTTAGCCTTGGAGTACAAAACACTACCAGGGAAAGCAAAAGCCAGGGACAATGAGATTCTCCAGAACAGGAAACATCCTGCACGTTAAGTGTAAAAGATTTAAAAGTCCATACTCACATAAAGGGTGATGGGATAGCCTATGAACTGAGAATGCTTCTTCACTACTTCTTTGACCCGCCTCTCTTCTAGGTACTCTGTCTGATCTTCTTTAAGATGGAGGATCACTTTGGTACCCCTGCCAATGGGCTCACCTAGAAGAGTCAATTACAAGCGTGTAACAGGGTAAAAAGTATATGCAGTTGAGACCAGCAATTAGTAAGTATCAGCAGAACTGCTGTGAAGAACTGCTTTACAGACAGGATGCCCAAAATTTCTGCTACTGGTGTGAGCCCAGAAAATCCTAACCCAACTACCTTGTAACAGAAAAGCTAACTTACCATGGTCAGCACGCACAGTGAAGGAACCTCCAGCAGAAGACTCCCAAGCATACTGTTCATCATCGTTGTGCTTTGTGATCACAACCACTTTCTCTGCCACCAAGTAGGCAGAATAAAAGCCAACACCAAACTGCCCAATCATGGAGATGTCTGCACCAGCCTGCCAACAAGTTTAAAGTCAATCACAAGTTTTAAAGAAGCAAAAAACCAAAGAACACAGATAAGTATGAATGCCTACAGAACTGCAATACCTGAAGAGCCTCCATGAATGCTTTAGTACCAGACTTGGCAATGGTTCCCAAATTATTTATGAGATCAGCTTTGGTCATGCCAATGCCTGTGTCTACCAAAGTCAGGGTACGTTCCTGAGGGTTGGGGATGATGTCAATTTTCAGCTCTTTACCACTGTCCAACTTCGAAGGGTCTGTCAGGCTCTCATAGCGAATCTTGTCCAAGGCCTGGAAATACAAACAGCAACTTACTTTTGCTCTTTCCAAGACAGACTCTTGCTCTGTTGCCCAAGCTACAGTGCAGTGGCAAGGATGACAGCTCACTGCAGCCTTGACCTCCCAGGTTCGAGCCATCCTCCCAACCCCAGCTTCCCAAGTAGCTGGGACTACAGGCACATGCCACCGTGCCCAACTAATATTTAATTTTTTGCAGAGACAAGGTCTCGCGGTTGCCCAGGCTGCCCTCGAAATCCTAGGCTCAAGTGATCCTCCTGCCTTGGCATTACAGGTGTGAGCCAACACGCTCAGCCACTTTTGCTTTCTTAAAGCCCGTATCTTCAAAGAAAATCTTGGTTTACCTCTCTCAGCCTCAAATCTGATTGCCCCCTATCTTGAGGCTTTAGAACCAGTTAGTTCCATGAGCCCACTTATTCTGGACATAGTCCCTTCCAAGTTCAAGATGGCCAGAGTAAAACCCATCTTTTTGGAATAGCTGCAAGTTTACCCCCTTCAATAGTAGTCCCCAACAAAGGCCAAACCACTCCTTTCCCCTCCTTCTAGAGTATCAAAAAAAAAAACCATGCCAAATGTGGAAACCAGAGCACCTACATCAGAAGCATTAGAGATCAACTCCCGAAGGAAAATCTCCTTGTTGGAATAGAAGGTATTGATGATGAGGGACATGAGTTGGGCAATTTCTGCCTGAAAGGCAAAAGTCTCCACCTCCTCCTCTCCATGGTGCACTTCCTCAGGCATCTAAAATAAAAATCTCATTAATTACAAAAGAACACTAAGGCCCCATGTTTAAAAATCCTAAAGGTCATATCATTTGTTAGGACCTTAGACAGTGAGTTCAGACTGGTTTAACCGGAGTACTATCCCTTCCCAAGACTAAAAATGCATTCTCTTAAAGATCTCAGACTACACACTAAGTGGGAGGCCTGAAAATTCAGAAGGAAAAAGAAAATAAGCTAAATATTCTTCAACCAAATGTCACAGAACCCACCTACTTAAAGAATGGTGACCAGCAGCCTCAGCATCATCTGGTAGTATGGCAGAAAAATCATAATGTTGGTCCAACCCAGGTATCTAGAGATCCCAAGTAATCCTTACACAAATTTAAATGTGAAAATCACTACCTACAGTTCTTTATTTGGGGGAGATCAAAGTGACTAGTTTAAGATAAAAATGGCACTAACTTTAAACTGCTCCCCCTGAGGTGTCAGTTCCTAAGACCAGTCCAAGGGCGGGACACTCCTGCCCCATAGGGCAGGGAGGAATAACCTGGGATCCATACGATACCCACCGGAGGAGCAATTAAATCCGGACAAAGAATTCTTAAGCCAAAAGCTCCACCACGACCCTTTCACAGCACAAAATTACAGAACAGGACCAAACCCAAGAAAGATGGTGGCCGTAGCCACCAGGCCGACACTCGTCACTGCCGGACATGCGTCGGCCAGGACCACGCGAGGAGGGGGCGCCGCAGTGCACCCTCCCTCGCCCCAGCATCCGGGCACTGGGGCGGGGCGCCAGAATCCAGAAGCTTCCAGAACAATCTCAGCTCTCGAGGAAGGGCGGAGGAAGGAGCCCATGAATCTTCCAGAACCTGCTCCCCTCCCCGCCCCTCCTCCACCGGGACTGCAAGAAAGATCTGGAAGGAGGGAGTATCGGGTGCTGGAGACCGAAAGCTCTCTTCCCACACCGTCAACCCTCCCTCACAGAAACAAAGCACCCAAGAAGGCTTTAACAACGCGTCCGATAAGAGAGGTGACAAAGCCAGTCCCACAAGGCCGTGCTGAGTCACCCGAGCGGGCACCCCCGCCACCCTGCGGTCCCCCTCCGACGCCCCGTAGCCGCGTCCGGAAGTGGAGGGGCAAAAATGGCAGCGTCCCGGGCCGCGCGGCCACCACGTGCAGCTGCCAGCCGCCCACTGCCCCAACCCCACAGCCCACCTCGCTACGGCCAGCAGGCGCCGAGAGAAAGCCCCACCCCCCAAACACACTAGAGAAAACCGAGGAGGACTCAAAAAACCTCACCCACCACTACCCTCACCCTATAAAAATCCAGAGCGTTATCCACAAGCCACCCCGACATCTAGACTAAGGCTCCCTAAAGGACAGAAAAAAACAAAAACAACACGAATACAGCACTAAAGGGAAAGAAGCCTAGCGGAGATCTCAGCCTTACCTTGAAAAGAAAAGGATTATACGTAATAGTGAGCAACGTAGGCTTGCTTTCCGATACCCAGACAGTCCCAACACTGCGCCGGAGTGACTCGAGAGAGCTACTGCGTGCCCCAAGTCGCCCTATATAAGGCGAAGCACAGTACAGCCGCCCTCCTGTAGATCCCTCCGCCTTAAAGGAGTATGATTGTCAACCCCGCACCTGCCGCCACCAGCCCACCTTGACGTCATGGTCCGAAAAAAAGAGGGGGCGGGGAAGAACCCAAGCAACGGATCCGCCCACACATTTGCTTGTGATCACAGCCCCATAGTTTCACGTCTAGGACATGACTCCATCAAGAGCGGGGATGAGGAGTGCTCATTTGGCATAAACGGTGTCTCTACGGGCGAGGAACCCACTGACCTCCCTAAACACTTGTGGGGCAGGCGTCCCCACACCCAAGGGCGGGACTGGGGGGGACACCGAAAAAGAGCGGAGGCAGCTAACCACGCGGACCACCGCTCCCAGACCCAATCTTCTTCCTAGCATCTGCCCTACACATCTCGCGTCCCGACAGAGGGACTGGCATTCGGGACCCAACCTTGGGTAGCCCCAGATCCCGACTCTCGCAGGAGTAGAGGAAGGGCGGAGGGTTCGCGCTGAGGGGCAGCTCAGCGTAGGGGGAGGGCGCCGGCCGGGGCTGGCGGGGACTCTTTGCCGACATGCGGCGGAAGGCGCGGCGGCGGCACTGCGGCATTTCCAGCAGTTTCCAGGCCTGTCTCGGCGGTCCCGCCCCCTCCCCGCGAGGCTCCGCCTCTCCGGCTGCGGCCGGGGCAGGGTTTTTGCAGCGACCCCACCCGGCGACCCGCTCTGACCTGTCCGAGAGACGCGGGTACCAGCCCAATCCTCAGGGATGGGATGGAGGGTTGGGGAGGGATCGGCTGACCCCTCCTTCCCCGCGTCAATCACACAACACCCAGGCACCTGGGGCGGCTCTGCGGGCGTACACTTTTGCAGACTGAGAGTGGAGTACCTGCGGGGGGGACCCCCCTCTAGCCCCTGCGGCCGCCACGTACACGGAGCACGGGGACATGCGCCCTCCCTACGCAGGCACGTCAAGCCCTTTCTCAAGCTGGTTCGCTTTTTTTCCGCCCACTTCGCTCCTGCAGCCATTTGGACCTGGGAAGGAGGGAGTCTCTGGGAACCAGTGCAGGGCAGCCGGAGCTCTTGGAGGCCGCGTGACGATGCCGGCCACAGAGCGGCTGGCCAAGTTGTTCCCCTTCAGCCTTGGCACCAGAGCCCCTAGGCCATGCCCCTGGCCAGTGAGCTGCCGTGTCTGGCCTGGCTCAGCCGTTTTGCCTGCCCTCCAGTTGGCAAGCTGTCCTTGCCTTTCCAAGGCCTCATCCGAAAGCCTGCTGGACCCACAACCCCTCCAGGAGAGAATAGCCACTCCCTGCTCTGTGCCCTGTAGATGTCCATCTGCTCCCCTTCCTGGCCCACCCCTGGGATGCTTGGGAAGAGTTTCCCCACAGCCACCCACATCGTCCTCCCTCACCAGCCCTGTTGTTACCCAGTCTACGATTCGTTAACAAGTTTTGTTCATGTGTTGAATACCAAAGAACAAAGGGTGTCCCTTGCTTTCCTCTTCTTTGTCCCTGTCCACTTCGCCATGCCTGCCATCACCATCCCGATTGGATATCCTTTCTCCCTTTCATTATGGTCTGCAAAAAGCCTATGGCTGGGAGAAGTCTATAAGAAGGGGCGTTGGGTGCTCTATTCCTGACCAAAACCGCAAACCAGTGGGAGCGTGATCCCTTAACGTGTCCTCTCCTTCTAAGCAGAGCTCATTAAAAATCTGCTCCCCAGTTCACAGAGAGCATTCACAAACTCTCACTCTCCTGTGAGCGGATGAAAGTCAGTGTGCACATTCTGTCAACAGGGAAGTGGCTTCAGTGACTCCCAAGGCCCGTCTACTCAGAGTCCTTGCTGCACTAGCTCCCTTTCTGCTCCAGAAATGGAGCAGGGATGTGATCTCACCCCTAGGACCTAAATCCAAAGCAGGAATCACTCCTGTGGATGGGCTTCCCCTGAGCTGGATCCTTTCTGTGTCAAGACTCGACGGCTTCCTGAAGACTTTCTAAATGGGAAAATCTCAAATGTTACACCAGCATAGAAATTCCACTTTCTCTGCTGGGCACAGTGGCTCATACCTGTAATCCCAGCACTTTGGAAGGCCGAGGTGGGTGGATCACCCGAGGTCAGTAGTTCACAACCAGCCTGGCCAACATGGTGAAAAACCTCGTCTCTACTAAAAATTAGCTGGGCGTGGTGGCACATGCCTGTAATCCCAGCTACTTGGGAGGCTGAGGCAGGAAGATTGCTTGAACTCTGGAGGCAGAGGCTGCAGTGAGCTGAGACCATGCCATTGCACTCCAGCCTGGGCAACAAAAGAGAAACTCCGTCTCAAAAAAAAAAAAAAAAAAAAAAGGGGGCTGGGCGCGGTGGCTCATGCCTGTAATTCCAGCACTTTGGGAGGCCGAGTCCAGCGGATCACCAGGTCAGGAGTTCAAGACCAGCCTGGCCACTCTGGTGAAACCTTGTCTCTACTAAAAATACAAAAATTAGCCGGGCGTGGTAGCGCGCCTATAGTCCCCGCTACTTGGGAGGCTGAAGCAGGAGAATCACTTGAACCCGGGCGGCAGAGGTTGCCGTGAGCCGAGATCACGCCACTGCACTCCAGCCTGAGCGACACAGTGAGACTCTGTCTCAAAAAAGAAAAAAAAAAAAGAAATTCCACTTTCTCTTCCAGGAAGCCTTTCAGGAGACCGCCTACCTGTGTCCACAAGCTCCATCGTTTTCCACTCATTGACACTCACTAAGCCTCCACTGTGTGGAGATCCTGGGGATGCAGAGATGCATACACAGGACTGGGAGCCCTTAACCCACTGGAGGCTGCAGCAGCCAAGTGTGAACCATAGGAGGATGGGAGAAGCCGCAGAGGCCCTCAGCTCAGCTTGGGAAAGGGAGCAGTCTTAGGACCATGCCTAGCCAGGCCATGACATGGAAAGCATGGAAAGGAACAGAGCCCCATTAGAGGAACCATAGCTCAGGAACCCCAAAGGGAAGCACAAGGAGTTGAAAGTAGCCCTGCAGATGGGGGTTAGGTCGCAGAGGGCTGCAAATGCCACTGGTAAGAAGTCCTGATCTTAAGAGTGAGAGAAGTGAAGGTTATAAAAGACAGGCTTAAAACTATGTCTTCCAGACTGGGCACGGGTGGCTCACGCCTGTAATCCCAGACCTTTGGGAGGCCAAGGCGGGCGGATCACCTGAGGTCAGGAGTTTTGAGACCAGCCTGACCAACATGGAGAAACCCCGTCTCTACTAAAAATACAAAATTAGCTGGGTGTGGTGGCACATGCCTGTAATTCCAGCTACTCAGGAGGCTGAGGCAGGAGAATCGCTTGAACCCAGGAGGTGGAGGTTGCGGTGAGCCATGATCGCGCTATTGCACTCCAGCCTGGGCAATAAGAGCAAGATTCCGTCTCAGAAAACAAAAACAAAACAAAAAAAAACTACACCGTCCGAAGCCTTATTCCCAGCCTTGGAACCACTGATGTTCCCCAGATCCCTTTTATTCCTCCATGAAACCTCCTAGGCCCAGCCCAACCTTCTGCTGTCGGAGGGTGGCCAGCTAAAGCAGGGATTAACAACCCAAGGTCTGCAGCTGGTGGGCCTGCTGCTTGTTTTTTGAATGGCCTGTGGGCTAAGAAGGGTTTTTACACTTCATAATGGTTGAAAAAAAAATCAAAAGAAAGATATTATTTTGACATGGGAAAATTATATGAAATTTGAATTTCTGTTTTCATGAAGTTTTTTTTTTTTTTTTTTAGACGGAGTCTCACTCGTCTCCCAGGCTGGGGTGCAATGGCAGAATCTCAGCATACTGCGACCTCCACTTCCCGGGTTCAAGCGATTTTCCTGCCTGAGCATCCCAGGTAGCTGGGATTACAGGCGCCCGCCACCACGCCCGGCTAATTTTTGTATTTTTGGTAGAGACCGGGTTTCACCATGTCGGCCAGGCTGGTTTCGAACTCCTGACTTCAGGTGATCTGCCCGCCTCAGACTCCCAAAGTGCTGAGATTACAGTCGTGAGCCACTGCGCCTGGCCAATTTTAATGAAGTTTTGTTGAAACGTAGCCCTTGTCTTTGACTGCTTCTGTAACATAAAGTCAAAATCGATAGGTGTGACAGAGACCATAACGCTTGCAAACCCTAAGACATTTACTCTCTTGCCTTTTACAGAAAACGTTTGCAGACCCCTAAGCTACATAAAGCTCAGCAAAGTCTTGCAGGGAGCACAGAGACTCAGCCTGGACAGAGTCTCTAGGGTTCACAGAGGCCACGGAGGGGAGTTAAATAAAGCTCAGTGAACGAATAAAACAACTGAGGGTAACAGGACATCAGAGATATGAGCATGGAGAGTAGCTGTGGACCCTGAACCCCTAGAACAAGCAGCCTCTTAAGCTCAGTGCCTGCCAGGTGTGTCCCGTTACTTTCTGGGCCTTCCCAGTTCCACGAGCCTTAGCTCTCTGAATTCCTGAGGGAATACCCTGAACTGACACCCTCCAATACTAGTGAGCCTGACATTCAGATGCATTGGACAATTGGGCAGGTCTGCACAGCCAGCATGGACTCCATCTCTTTGCCTCCATTTTCACATTCCACTAGAACACAAGGGAAGTCTCTTGCATAATTTTTGCTCACTGTATTGTTAGTATTGTTATTTTTTTGATGCCATAGAAAATGGAAATTTTTGTTCATTTTCGGTTTCCCAGAGTTCAAAAAGCAATTGAGCAATTGAATTTTTGTTTATTGATTGAGCAAGTTGGTAAGCTAGCTTATTAATTCTTAATTTGACTATAAAAGTTTTGGTGTTTTATAGGTACAACCATATCATCTGAAAACAATGACAGTTTGGTTTCTCCTCTTCTGATTCTTGTATCTCTTATTTCTTGTTTTAATGCACCAGCTAGGACCTGCAGAACAATGATGAGTGGAAATAATGATTCTGGGCATCCCTGTCTGATTCCTAATCAGAAAATGAAAGCTTCTAACATTTCACCATTGAACTTTTTGTTTGTTTGTTTGTTTTTTGAGACAGGGTCCAGGGTCTTGTTCTGTTGCGGGGGCTGAAGTACAGTAATACATAGCTCACTACAGCCTCAACCTCCCAGACTCAGGCGATCCTCCCAGTTCAACCCCCGAAGTAACTGGGACCACCATGCCTGGCTAATTTTTTTATTTTGTAGAGACAGGGTCTCCCTATGTTGCCCAGGCTGGTCTCATCCCAAACTCCTGGGCTCAAGTGATCCTCCCACCTTGGCCTCCCAAAGTGCTGGGAATACAGGCATGAGCCACCCGCACCCAGCTGAACATATTTACTCTTTTTATTCCTAACTTGCTATAAATTAAAAAAAAAAAACAAACACCACCATGTCCAGCTAATTTTTATAATTATCTGTAGAGACAGAGTCTTGTGCTGTTGCCCAGGCTGGTCTCAAACTCCTGGGCTCAAGCAGTCCTTCTGCCTTGGGTTCCCAAAGTGCTGGAATTATAGGCGTGAGGCACCATGCCCAGACTCTTACGATCTTTTCAATTTCTCTTCTATCTAAAGTACGTCTTCTGCCAGGCAAGGTGGCTCACACCTGTAATCCCAGAACTTTGAGAGGCCAAGGTGGGCGGAGGCCAGGAGTTTGAGACCAGCCTGGCCAAAATGGTGAAACCCCTTCTCTACTAAAAATACAAAAATTAGCCAGGCGTGGTGGCAGGCACCTGTAATCCCAGCTACTAGAGAGGCTGAGGCAGGAGGACCCTTGAACCCAGGAGGCGGAGGTTGCAGTGAGCCAAGATCACACCACTGCACTCCAGCCTGGGTGACAGAGTGAGACTCTGTCTCAAATAAATAAATAAATAACATTAAAAAATAAAGTATGTCTTCATTTCTAAAATTGTTTTTCATGTCTTATCTCTTTTTTCTTGTACAATTTCACCAAAGGTTTGCTTATCTTATATTTATATATTTGTTTTTGACTTCTTTAATTTCTGTTTATTTTATTTTATTTTTTTTTGAGACAGAGTCTCGCTCTGTCACCCAGGCTGGAGTGCAGTGATGCGATCTTGGCTCACTGCAACCTCCACCTCCTGGGTTCAAGTGATTCTCCTGCCTCAGCCTCCCTAGTAGCTGGGACAACAGGTGCGTGTGCACGCCACCACACCCTGCTAATTTTTTTGTATTTTTAGTAGAGACAGGGTTTCACCATGTTGGCCAGGGTGGTCTGGAACTCCTGACCTCAAGTGATCCGCCTGCCTCAGCCTCCCAAAGTGCTGGGATTATAAGTGTAAGCCACCGTGCCTTGCCTAGTTCTGTTGTTATTGTTCTATTTTCTTAACTTTAGTACTTAACACATTAGTTTCAGCCTTTCTGTTTTTCCAACATAAAGATTTAAGGCTACAAATTTCTCCTTGTGTACTATGTTTACTATATTCCACAAATTTCCATAGATTACAAATTTCAAATAATATTCAATATTTTATTACAATTCAATTTTAAGGATTTTCTGATTTCTTATGGTATCTTCTTTGACCAATTTAAAAGTGTTTTACATTTTCAATTATTTTTTATATACCCTTTAATTATGTTGTAGACATACAATGTGGTGTGTATGTTACTGGCTCTTTTGTATTTGAGACTTTTTTTTCTCTTTTTTTTTGAGACAGAGTCTCACTCTGTCGCCCAGGCTGGAGTGCAGTGGCATGCTGATGGCCCACTGCAGCCTCAACCTCCTGGGCTCAAGCGATCCTCCCACCTCAGTCTCCCAAGCAGCTGGAACTACAGGCATGTGCCACTAGGCCTGACTGATTTTTAAATTTTTTTTGTAGAGATGGGGTTTTGCCATGTTACCCAGACTGGTCTCAAATGCCTGGGCTCAAGTGATCTGCCAGCGTCGGCCTCCCAAAGTGCTGTGATGACAGGCATGAGCCACTGTGCCAGGCCTGTATTTGAGACTTCGTTTGAAACTTTAGAAGGTGGTTAATATCTCTAAAGGCTCCATATGTGCTTGAGGAAAAAAAAAAAAACCTAGTCGTTCGGTTAAATTTTTTTTTTTTTTTGAGACAGAGTTTCACTCTTGTTGCCCAGGCTGGAGTGCAATGGTGCAATCTCGGCTCACCGCAACCTCCACCTCCCGGGTTCAAATGATTCTCCTGCTTCAGCCTCCCAAGTAGCTGGGATTACAGGCATGTGCCACCACACCCAACTAATTTTGTATTTTTAGTAGAGACGGGGTTTCTCCATGTTGGTCAGGCTGGTCTCAAACTCCCGACCTCAGGTGATCTGTCCGCCTCGGCCTCCCAAAGTGCTGGGATTACAGGCGTGAGCCACTGTGCCCAGCCAGGTTAAATCTATTAAATCAAACCTGTTAATTGTGTTGTTCAAAACAAACACACAAAAAACTACTTGCATGCTTTTGTATTTGAGACTTTTTTCTCTCTTTTTTTGAGACAGTGTCTCACTCTGTCGCCCAGGCTGGAGTGCAGCCCTTTTTTCAAGAAAAATATAACCTACTTGAAGGCTGCACAGGACATAGCTTGGAGAAGAGAGAGGCTGAAGGCAGAGAGACCAGTCAGGGGTGGGGAAGAGGAGTATAAGCCTTATCTGAGGAAGAATGCTAGAACGTAGGGGCTTAAGGGGAAAGCAGGGATGGAGGACCACTCTAGGTTGGAGGTCAGCTTTAAGCATGTTGTAGGGCACCAAGGAAAGATATCTAGTAGGCAGAGGGGTATGTAGGAGAGGCCTGGGTTGCAGTCTTAGATCTACGCATGATGCTGATGGCTGAAGTCATGTGCAAGGACAAAAATCACTAGAGTGCAGTGAGAAAAGGGCCAGAAATTGTGGTCTGAGACACTCCTGAATTGTAAATCAGACATTCAGTAACCTGCTCTATTAATACACATATGACTATGTCTCACCTTTTTAAGGATTTATCAGTGGCCTAAGGGGTATGACTAAGTTCTACCTCGCGACCATTGTCAGCCTAGTCCAAAACGTCTATCCTCCTTCTGTCATCATGCCCACCAGGCATCCCTTTTTCTCTTGGGCATTGTTCAGTGTTCCAGGCCCCTTTTGACTAAGAAGGTAAAACTTAACCCCAACTCAGTTCATCCCAGAGCAGATTATAGCCAGTGGAAAGTGCAGGGGGCAGGTGGCACTACAAACAACCCTGATCTACTTGACTGTTTTGCCTGCCACCTGGCCTGTCCCAGGATGAAGTCATTCCTTTTCAGCATGCAGGTTTCAATGGGCTGGATTTCTGGGCCATTCACTGGCCTCACTTCCACCCCACGCAGATGATGGAACGGTAGGACTGTGATAGTGCTGCTGGGTGGAGAGGAGATCACACCCAGGAGGGGCCGAGGTTAGACATCAGGAAGGACTTTGCTGGTTTCACCTGGGCAAGATTATATGAGAGGTCAATGTCCCAGGAGGCTTGGGATCCCTGAGGATGTGAAAAGAGAAGACAAGAGTTGTGTCCAAAATAGGGGAGGAAGGTGGAACACATTTGCATTATGGTGCCACACCACATGATGCCTTGTATTTTTCCGTTCCCTTCACTGACTGGGAACTCTCATAGGGAGCGGAGGGAGAGAGAGAAGAGAGAGAAATATAATTATATTTACCTAGTGCTTTGCAGCTTACAGAATGTTTTTCCATCCTTTAACCTTTCAGATTCAATTTTGTGGAGTAAAATGAGCATAGCAATAGTCATCACTTTACAGGGTTATTGGGAAATCAGATAAGGCCATGTAAGACACTGAGTACAGGGGTGGCTGGACCAAGTAGCGTTGTTATTCACTATCTCAGTGAATAACAAGTTTCACGACCCACGCGGTTGTCAGGGCAAGTGTGACTATCCCTGCCTTACAGATGAGTGGCGCCGCGACGGAACAAGCCTGGCTCAAGGTCACCCGGACACGGGGCAGTGGCGTGGGTCTGTCTGACACGCAGTCTGGTCACCCACCCGCCAGGACGCAGAAGCGCAGAGCAGTGGGGCCTGACGCCCGCCAGGGGGCGCGCGGGCCGGGTGACATCACCCCCTCCGCTCCTCGCGGCGGGATGGGGCAGGGGCCTGGTCCCCGTCGCACCTCTCGCCGCCCCCAGCCCCACGGTTCTCGGCTGTCCGCGAGGCTTAGGGACCCGCGTGGTGGTTCACGCTGGAAATATCTGGAGTAGGGGAAGTGAGGCTTTGGTCTCGAAGCTTCCGGGGACTGGAGAGGCGGGGGAGGGGAATGAACGCAGGTGGGAAGGAGCCTGGAATAGGCTAGGTGGGGGAACGTGGGGTGCGGGGAGGGCCATCCTGAGGCTCATCCTGGTAACTGATAGCGCCACGTAGCTCTGGGGACCTCACCTCCTGCATCCATGCTCTCCCGCACTTAATTTCCTTAAGTCAACACATATGTCATCCCCTGGTAAGGACGAGGAGGCGGGCCTAGGGGAGGAGTGACTAATCCGGGATCACAGCTGGTACAGGGCAAGCCCAGGAGAGAGGACGGAGGCCTTCGTGGGGCCCTGCTGACTCACATTTAGCGGTCACCCTGCAGTCTGTTGCCAGAATGCCAACTTGCTCACTTCCAGCGAGCACCAGGACTGCCAAGGCTGCAGAGGGCTCCGAGTGGGCACGTCCTCTCCCCGAGAGCATCTACACAGGAAGCCAGGTCATACCGAGATGGGCTGGAGGGGTCCAGCCCGGACATAAGGCCATTGATGAGGTTGGGGCCAGAGGGAGTTGGGCGCTGCCCATTTCCACCCTCAGTGCCAACCTGCCCCAGGAAACAGTTGGTCCCCAAGGGTTTGGGGGGACACTGCCAACCTGACCTCTGAGTCAGATCTGCTGGCTGACCTGGGGACTGCCACTCTTCCTGTGTGTGAAGACTTGGCTTCCAGGCAGGGCTTGCTGGACAAACAGGCTATTTCCTTAAGGTGGCTGCATTTTTCTGTTTACAACCATTTTGAATCACTGTCATAGTTTAACTCTAGTTAAACTTTAATTGGCGGCCAGGCGCGGTCATGCCTGTAATCTCAGCACTTTGGGAGGCAGAGGCGGGCGGATCATGAGGTCAGGAGTTCGAGACCAGCCTGGCCAACGTGGTGAAACCCCGTCTGTATTAAAAATACAAAAAATAGTCAGGTGTGGTGGTGCACGTCTGTAATCCCAGCTACTCAGGAGGTGGAGGCTGCAGTAGATCTTGGTGGGGCCAAAAAAAAAAAAACTTTGGCCAGGCATGATGTCTCACGCCTGTAATCCCAGCACTTTCGGAGGCCAAGGCAGGAGGATCACCTGAGGTCGGCAGTTTGAGACAAGCCTGACCAACATGGTAAAACCCCATCTCTACTAAAAATACAAAATTAGCCGGGCATGGTGACGCATGCCTGTAATCCCAGCTACTTGGGAGGCTGAGGCAGGAGAATTGCTTGAACCCAGGAGGCAGAGGTTGTGGTGAGCTGAGATCGTGCCATTGCACTCCAGTCTGGGCAACAAGAGCGAAACTCCGTCCCACCCCCAACCGCCAAAAAAAAAAAAAAAAAAAAACTTTTGGGTTCTCCTATCACACGCTCTCTGAGCCCTGGCTTTATATTGCCTCCACCATGGTCTTTCCATATTCATCTCAAAGAATAGATATACAGATACATTCTGACTCAAAGATTATACCTGAGGCTTCATTTCTATTTTCCAGGATGGCTAATTTACTACGGCTCTTAGCTTTTCAACTCTTTAAAGCCCCAACATTTCATCATAAAACATTAAACAAGAGGGACATTCCTGTGTTGCAATGGCAGCCACTCCAGGGACAGCAGCTGAATATTGACTGTTTTGAGCAGAAATGTGACACGGAAGGTGATGACCAGCAGCAAGTGAGGGCAGCCAGGGATACCTGGAGGATTTTCATGCTCAGACCTCTCTACCTTACAGGCAGCAAGGTGCTAGCAGGAAAGTGGAGGATCCAGAGGAGGCCCCTGCTCCCCAAAGGGCAGGGGCCTGCGAGCGCCCACTTGGGGTCGGGAGCCATCCCTGCAGCTGGGTGGGCAGGAGACCTTAGGAGCTGCTTTTCCTAACCTCCTCACCCCTTCCAGGTTTACCTGTGAAAACACTGAGGTCAGGAGAATGAAGAGACTGACATTTTTTAGCATTTGTGTTTTAAAATTTTGGGGAGAAAATATTCTAGTAATTTCCTTCAACATCAATTTAAGTACAGGAAGGGAGAAAGGAACGGTATCCTTAATAGTTTTTCCTCTCAAATTAGTGCTGGGGTTGAGAGGAACCTACTTAACATCCCCATCTCTATCCCAGGGTCACAAGCAAGGCGTGCTACCACACGGCTGGAGTGGGGCATGTGAAGACTGTAGAGATGAATTCCGCCTTGGGATAAGCATGTGCTGTCAAGCCAATATTTTCCAAGTACCTCTGGGAGGCAGGTATGACATAGCTTGAAAAGCCAAAACAGGAGTAAAAAGTACACCTTAACCTAAAAAACATGACAGCGTGGTAGCTGGAGTAAGATAAGAACATGATAGAAAAGTCACAAAATTATGAAAGCTCTGAGGTGCAAAGAAATTGCACAAACTGGCTGTTGGTGGTGGAGGATCAGAAAACGCTCAGGACACAGGCGCATGCTCCAGAGAACAAGCAGCGCCTGCTAGATTCACTTTCAGATTATTCTTGTGGCCATGTGTGGGATGGACTGGAAGAGACCTGGAAGCCCCAGTGGGCCAGGCAGGAGGTGGTAAAGCAACCTCAGGAAGAAATACAGAATCCTGAGGCACTGCTGGTGCTGAGGAAGGAAACCAATAGGGTTCTTTGGGGTTGGGTACAACGGAGGACTGAGGACGAGAAAGAGCTCAGGTTTGTATGTTCAGCTTGACTCACTGCCAAACAGCACTGCAGACTGGGGGAAGGATACTCAGGGAACCCCTCAGCTTTTGAGCCTGATCCAAAAGGAATACCTTGTTTTCCAGCACCGCAGATAAATACTCTGGTCTGACAAATGATTAATAGCACATGAACTTCAGTTCCCAGTGCCCTGGTATACTTAGCTACCCCATTAGGGCTTCAGAGCTCATCAAAGAGCCTTAAAAATGCGCTAACAGCCCTTAATGAGGCCTGAAGTTCTCAATTAAATTAAACTCCAGTGAGAAAGGAAGCGCTGACAAAGGTGCCAACTCTGTAGCCATCTGCTGGCCAGGGCTGAGTGAGCAGCCTGCGCTGAGAATTCAGGAATGTCTTCTGCTTTCTGGGAGGAGTCTGAGACTTGTGGGAGGGTAAGGAATGCAGATTGCAGGGGTGCTGCACTGTGGCCAGAGCTCTGGTCTCACTTCCAGTCAGGTCATTCTTGAGATGGGGGTCCCAGTGGTAGGGCCTTCTCCACTGAGACACTCATAGTTCCATAACAACCCACCCCTCCCTAGGCCAGAGTTTGTGTTGAGAAGGGAAGGGTTGGTTTCACTGTGCAGACACACAGGGCCCTTGTTCCCCAGGAAGTCTGGCAGGCTGAGCTTTGGTGTTAAGGCTGGGTGCCAGGTAGGGGAGAACCCTCAGGCCTCGGCCTCTTCCTGCCTGGTGGTATGGGAGTATGGCCAGGAGCTGGCCAGTTTTGCAGAGTTCATTGCTGGGGCTGGGGACAGAGTGGAGGGGCTGGCAGTGAAGACAAAGGAAAGATGGGGAGCTATCTCCATCCTCTGTCCTATGAAAGAAAGAATGAAGCAGCAAAGAAAAACCCGTTCTTAGTCTTGGCTAACAGTCTTGGTGTTCTGGTTCCAGGCCTGTCCCTCCCCTGTGGCCCCAGCAGGGGGCATTGCAGCCCCTCTGAGGCCAAGAGGACTACTCCCCCCTCCTCCCCCTTGGACCCAGGTCCAGTCCTGGCCAGGGCCCAGCTGGGTCATGCTCATCTCCCAGACTCAGGCTGCCAGCCCTCTACCCACTCCAGGGCATGAAGCCACGGCTGGAGGACACAGGGAGCCATGGAGAAAAAAACAAGAAAGGTTTATTTAAATCAGAGAGCCTCTGAAGGCACCTGGTTTCTGTCAAATATATTTTTAAAAAAGGCAGTAACGTGGCAACTGTACAGGGTGCATGATGGGTAAGAACTGGGCATGGGGAGTTGGGAGGGGGACATGGAGAGAACACAGAGGAGGAGGCGCAGGGGAGAATGGAGTATATCAGGTCAAACCATACAACGGTCAGACCCAGCTCCTAGCCACCCCAGGACAGGCAGACAGTCTGACAGACACGGACGCAGACACACAGACACATACACAGAGACACACGTGTTCTCCAAGCCCAAGAGCCTCCACTGGCCTGCACAAGCAGGGATCAGTCAGAGCCAAGAGTGGAGAAACTCAAGCAAATGCCGAGGCTACACCCCGTCCCTCGACTCTGAGCCCCAAACCCACAATGTCCCCACTGTCCGTCCAGAGGCTCCCTCCCCAGGGCCTGGAGATCCGGGCCCAGCACACGCCGTGGAAAGCAGAAGTCAGTTAGAAGAAAAAACCGCCAGACCACTCAGGATCACCCCTGGCAGAAGGAAGGGGCAGGAGGCAGACAGGGAGGGAGGCAGGCAGTCCTTCTGTCCATCCTTTGTCACACAATTGCCCGGAACAGGAAGGAGAAAACAGCCCCCAGTGCCAGACCCAGACACAGGAAGAAGGCCATGATGGCTCCTGCGGTCTCTGCCTCAGCTGGCTTCACTTTCCTAAGCGGGGAAGGAAGGGCAAGGCTACCTCAGAATGGCTGTACCCCAGCCCAGAGCCTCTGGGTGGAAGGAGGGGTGGGGTGGAGCAACTTGACTGTCGAACCTCATTCTGTTGATCAACCCATCCTGGCTGCCTAACCCCAACCTGGCTTCTCCTCCTTGAGGGAACGTGTATGGTGGGGTTGTCTTTCACTCCTTCCTGCAAACCTGTCTCCACCTCCACCCAAGTAAGCTTGGCGCCCCCCTCCACTACAGTCACTATCCCCTCAGCCTGGGAGCCCCTCCTGAGCCATCTCTCCTCTCAGCTCTGGGAGCAGGGACTCTCCTTTTGCCCTCCCTCTACTGAGTGTCCCCCACTGGAACTCTAGATCCTGTCTGATGCCACCAAGTTCCCTGCCAGCCCTACTCACTTGGGCCCGAAGCACATGCAGAGGCTGGCGAGGTAGCCGTTGGAGAAGGCAAAGGCAGCCATGAAGAAGATGAACCAGGCATCGTGCTCGAAGACCACAGTCAGGTAGCGGCGGGGCTTAATGTTGCACAGCAGCAGCAGTGGCACAAACACCAGCCGGGCCAGCACCAGGCTTGGCAGCCAGCGGCTGTCCTTCCCAGGCTGTGGGCACCAGGCAGGGCCTCAGCCCAGGCCGCCACCCCAGGGCACAGCCAGGCCCCCAAGGATCCATCTGGGGCCCCTCAGGATCTGAACTGAAACCTCAAAGCCTGGTTCTCCTTAGGGGGTTACTCTTGAAAGGGGCATGGTGGAGCCTTCTGGAGTGCTGGAAATATTCTACATCTCGATCTGGGCAGGTATGTGTATATACATATATTCATTAAGTTGTACACTTAAGACTTGTACTTAACTATACATAAATTATGCCTCGACTTTAAAACAAATGGTCCCCTTACTACCATACTTTCTTGGGTTCCCTCTCTGGGTCCAGGCTGGACTCTTACTTCCCACAGGGGCCTGGGGCCCTCTTCCTCCACTTACCCACATGAATACAGCTGTGAGGCTCCGGCCCAACCAGTCAAAGATATTGAAAGTCAAGAAACAGGACACAGGAATGAAGTAACGTTCTGGAAGAGGAGATGAACGGGTGGTTATCAGGCTCACAGAGGCAGGTATAGCAAGCCTAACCTTCACTGGGCCTCAGCTTCCCCAACAGTAAAATGGAGAAGATGCTTCCAGCCCAGGGAAGGGCAAATGGACCCAGGAAACGGGGAGAAGGTGACCCAGGCTCCCTCCCTTCCCCACTTCCAGCCCAACTCAAGATCCTGTCTGTTCCCATCCTGGAAACCTGTGGCATCCTCACCCCAGGTGCTGCTGCCTGCGATGCTGGACTTGACCTCAACAGTCACGGCTGGAAACATCCCAATGGTGATAGTGAAGATGAAGCAGACAGAGAAAGCCAGGACTGAGATCTAGATAGAAGGGGTAGAGTCACCCAAATGCCTGTGTCTTCATGGTGGCTGTGCATTAAAGAACCACGAATCCAGGCCAGGCGTGGTGGCTCACGCCTGTAATCTCAGCACTTTGGGAGGCCGAGGTGGGTGGATCACCTGAGGTCAGGAGTTTGAGACCAGCTTGACCTGGTGAAACCCCATCTCTACTAAATACAAAAAATTAGCCGGGCATGGTGGCATATGCCTGTAATCTCAGCTACTTGGGAGGCTGAGGCAGGAGAATCACTTGAACCCAGGAGATGGAGGTTGCAGCGAGTGGAGATTGCACCATTGCACTCCAGCCTGGGCAACAAGTGTGAAACTCTGTCTCAAAAAAAAGGAACCACGAATCCCCACCCCCGGCACGCACGCATGGGCACGCACGCACACACAAAAGAATCCAGGAGTGACCACTCTCAGGTCAGAAAGGGAGGAGATGGGTGGCAGGGGGAGGGAGCAAAAGGAGGAGAGAAAGAGGACAAGGGGTAGAAGATAGGATAACCTCCCCTACGTACATTTTTCAGGATGGCTTTGATAGAGTGGCTTTCATTGGTGGGCTGAGAGTTGGAGACTGAAACTCCAGATTCCTCTTTGCCTGCTCTTGGCTCCTCTCCTGCGGGATGGAAGAAATCTCCAAGTTGTGGGGAAGACAGAGCAACAGAAGACAACATAAACATTCCCCAAAACGGCTGGGATTACTTGAAAGTAGACGCCTCCTTAACCAGTCCCAGCCGTACTCTAACCCTAACCCAGACCTCGCCTCCAAATCCCTACAACTCAAGACCCGGGGGCCTGGCCTCTCCCAGGAGCCTCAGGTCATGTTACTCCTCACTCAAGAATCTGAAATTGCTTCCCACTGCCTTTAGTCCAAACACCTCAGGCATTCAAGGTCATCCAGGATCTGCCCCCATTTTATCATTGCCGGCCCTTATTTCCTATTGTCCCCCTCTCCCTGCTGTAGTCCTTCAGTCCTCCTCTGGCTCAGGGCTGCTAGCTAACACAGGGCACTCATCTTTGTTCTCTTTGCTCATGCTATCCCCCGCCTGGTATACCATCCTCCACCCCAGCTTCCTCAGGCTCTTCGGACCTTTGCTAATGAGGTCCAACTTGGTCTCCTGCTCCCCGGGTCCTTCAAGCTTGAGCTGCTGGTAGTAGCGGTAGAATTCCTATCAAGTAAGGGAGACGGGGGAGGTGGATTTAGAGGCAGAATCTCCAGAATCCCGGCCTCCTTCAGGTTTTGTCCTCAGAACACCCGTGGTCTGGAACCCCAGACCCCTATACCCCAAACCCCAGCTCCCTCCATTTACTCACCAGGCGGGGCAGGCCCAGGTAACAGATGATGGTCAAAATGATAACAGCACAGGCTGTGATAAAGTAGCCGAAGGCACTTTCTGATAGCTCCGAGCCACCTGGGGTGGTGTCAGTGATCAGAGACAGGCCCCATCCCCTCTCCCCACCACACCAGGGCACTGGGCAGGTAGATAGCCGGACTTACTGGCAATAGCGCAGATCATGGCCACGGAGGCAAAGAAGCCTGCTAGGCCCTGGCCACTCATGATGGGGGCCGTGTAGCTGGCAGGCAGAAGGCCAGCCAGACCAAACAGGCTGCCCTGCAGGATGGCACCAAATGCTGGGGAAACAGGGCGGGCATGAGCAGGGGAGCTAGGGCTGGTGGTTGGGGGTGCCCAAGAAGACAGATCCCTGTCATTCCTACTTTACTCTTGGTGAGCCTTGAGGCTGAGCTGCCCTTCTCTCTGCCCCCTCCCAGCCCTGGTCCAGGCCCACTCAGGCCTCTGAATCCCAGCTGCTCACAGCATCCACTCCCTCCAGGCGGAGGCTGGGCTTCTCTCTGGCTAACGCTGGGTCTGAAAAAAGAGTGGGGGTAGTTGGGCATGCCTCCTCCCATAGGCCCCCTCCTGGCCCAGCTTACAATTAATGAGCACGATCTTGATCATGGTGATGACAAAGAAGGGCAGAGCATCCAGCTGCACCTTCACCAGGATGGCAGTGATCAGAAACACCAGCAGGATGGCCACCAGGCTGCCCAGGATCCGTACGGACTGGGGGATCCTGCCGGGAGAGGCCAAGGGTGGCAGAGACAAGTGGGCAAAGCTGGGGCTCAGCCAAGGGGGTGCAGGACACAGTGAGGGTCAGGCTGGGGGCTGGGGAGGGGGTGGGCACTCACCTCTGATGCAGGAAGGAGTTGAGGTAGGTGAATAACAGCAGGGGCAGCATGGCACATAGGGTCATGACATTGTTGAAGATGGCACTGAGAGAGTTCCGCTCAGGCAAGGGTGCTGCAGGGGCGGCTGACGCCTGGGCGTCCTTGCTCAGTTCAGCAGTGACCAAGGACACATTCTGGGACATGTCCAGGCGGTTTGTGAAATACTGCAGGGGTTGCAGAGAGGAGTGTTGAAATCTCTTTCCCTGTGCCTACCAGCACAGAGTCAGATCCTGCAAGCACAGTGGGCACTGCCCCATGGAGCCCAGTCCCTCCAGCCTCACCTGAGTGGCCGTCATGAAAAAATTCCACGGGAGCAGCGTTCCCAGACCCAGCATGAAGAAGATAAGCCAGACAGCTTTGTATCTGCAATGGAGGAGGAAAGATGGGCCAAATGACGCACCATCCTGCCCCACTCCACAATGAGCCCCAGGAAAGCCCCTGTCCGTTGTCAGTCTCTCTAGGTCCCAGGGCACAGGGCGTCTGTGTTTGTGTCCGTTTGCATGTGTCCTCTTATGGGTGTGGGGGGAGAAAAGGGTACATTGCTCGTTGGAATTTGGGGTGGGGATGGGGTCAGGGTCATAGGACTGAATGGCATGGCTGACAGGACCATGGTTATCAGCCCTGGAAGGCTCGGGGGACTCTGCAGGCTGGGAACCAGTGTGACCCACACATCCGGAGATGGTTTTGGAAATCCTGCCGAAGGGCAGGGGGTGGGTGGATGAGTGAGAAAGCAAGCAGCAAGTGTCTTCCACTCCCACCAGGCAGGCTGGAAGTAATTATGCTGTCTGGTCAGGGACTGTGTTACTCCCCAGAGAGGATTCTGAAGTTAAGAAACTCCCATACTATTCTGGACCTACAGGGCAGGTGGGCAGGGTGCCTCAGGGCCGCTGTGAAGAGAGGGCCTTAGAGCCATTTTCTTCCTGGCCAAATAGAACTTTGTAGTTCATACCACCCAGGGCAGGCCAGGAGGTATGGGGCCACTGGAGGCCATCTGGGCCTCAGGGTGTAAATAAGGACTGTCCACCTTTGGCCAGGGCAATGCCCCAAGCCCTATACCTCAAGGCCCTTCCGGGTCACGCCAGCTTCTCCCAGATAGGCCTTGCCTGAAAGCTGAGTAACCCCAGCCCGGCCCATGTAGATCTCCAGTTGGGTTTGCACACCCTCCCCAGAGCCAACACCAGCTCTCTTCAGAGATGGCAGGGATAAAGCCCAAGGCAGTGAGAAGACAGGCCTGGCCAGAGTGCAGGAGCCTGGACCGCTGGCAGGCCTCATACAGGGATGGCGTGGTGAGCACACCACGTGAGCAGGTCCGAGTTAATGCAACTGCAGCCCCCCCAACCCCCTCACATACATGCTTCCCTTGGAGAAGCTAAAGGCTTGGTTCGGAGGCCCAGAGCAGAAGGAAAAACTCCCAAAGTCACATAGGACAGAGGATCGGGGTTGGGGGGAGTACGCTGGGAAATGACTGAGCTGTGCAATAAGGCAAATGGAGCCGGCGAGGCCTTCAGGGAACTGCCCACAGGAGAGCGGAGGTGGGGACAGAATGGGCAGGCAGCCTGGGAATGGAGCACAGGAGGCAGGGAAGCAACCTGGGGCCTGGACTTATTGCCATGCCTCCTTAAATTCCCTTACTTCTAGATCCACTTCCTGGGAAGTAGATACTTTTAGCTTATTTTACAGGTGGAAAAACAGTCCCAGAGAGATTAAGCTACATGCTCAAAGCCCCCACAGGCAAAAGTGGCCTAGTTTCATAGCCTTTGGCACAGGAGGGAGATGGGGTGGGTAGGGCAGACGTGATGGGTTTCTGGGGCCTGAGTTGGAGGGCAGGACAGAGCCTGACGCTTTGAAGGAGCTTTGGATCTCAGGGATCACTTCCTCAGCCTTCTTGGGTCCCAGATCCCTTTGAGAAATTGAATTAAGCTACAGCCTCTTCTTCCAAAATACATATTCACAGTCATAACTGCAAGTCTAACTTGACTGGGAGTTCACAGGCTCCAGAGGCAGGGAATTGAGAGGAAGATCAGATCAAGAACCAGGGTGGGCCAGGTCATCTAAGGCAGAGGCCCCAGGGCAGTTCTGCCAGATGTGCATTGGAAGGAGGGGTGCAGCCAAGTATCTCCCCACAGTGGTGGCGGGAGGAGCCGAAAGCCGCTAACTGGCTGGAGAGCAACAGTGGAAACACAGACAGGCCAGGGAAGGACTGCTGCCCACGCACCCTGCCCTTCCCGCAGACACCCCAGCCAGCACCCAGCCAAGGCACACGGGGTCCCCACCCCTGATGCAGACCTGACTCATAGCTACCTGGCTGGAAGGCCAGCCAGCAATGGCAACCCCCAATTCCAAAGGACACCACACCCAGCTCCCTGAAAACCCATTCCCTGGATCCACAGCCCAGCCCCTTACCCCTTACCTGTCCTGAGGCTG
This sequence comes from Homo sapiens, assembly GCF_000001405.40. Lineage (NCBI taxonomy): Eukaryota > Metazoa > Chordata > Mammalia > Primates > Hominidae > Homo > Homo sapiens. The sequence continues at coordinate 44,227,328 of NC_000006.12, read as the reverse complement.
GTGACTGGTTGTCATGGTGATGGTGTTCTCGGTTTTCCCTGGCTGACAGCTCCCTCCCTCAGGGGCCTGCTGGGGGCAGGAACAGTGTGAGGCCCTGTCTTGGCCCTGCCATAGGCCTCCTCAGGCTCTTAGGGGGAGAGGGGGCAGGGCTGACAGAACAGGCCAGTGGAGGAGTCCAGTAAGACCCCCTCTGCACCCTGCCCCTCAGGACGACTCAACTTGACCCCCACCCAGCCCCCTGGCCCAGCAGGCCAGTCCTGCGCGGCCCCCCTGCCTGCTCAGACTCTACCTGGCTCCCGGCCTGGCCGCTGCCACCGCTATTTTTATCCAGCAGCCGAAGCAGTTTATAAGCTGGGAAACAGGAGGGTGGAGAGCAGGAGGGAAGGAGGAGGAAAGATGATGGGAGGGAGGGAAAGACAGTCAAAGAAGGCAGGCAAGAGGACGAGAGGGGTCAGGGACAGTGATGACAAGGGAAGGAGGGAGACAAATGGAGGAGACACAGCAAAGAGGTCGGGGGAGGAGGAGGAAGGACACGGAACAGGCAGATCTGCAGCAGCTGCGACAACATCGATGATGACTGAGGTCAAACCAGAGGCTCCCCAGGCCCCTCTCTGCAAGTCTGGTCTCTCCACCCTCCCTGGGGAGCCCCTGGATTCATGGCTAGAGTGGGGCTGTCCTCTCCTGAAGGCAACCCAGATTCCAGTCTCTCTGCTGTTGGCACCTTAACCTTTCTTTCCAGCCACTGCCCAGGGGCTTCCTAGTTGCTGGCCGGTTTTCCAAGAAAATATTTCATAATGGATGTGGGGGCACAGCCCTTCCCCCTCCCCCCTCCCGACCCCAGGGTCACCTAGTCCTCCCTTAGTTCCTCTCTGTCACAGGCTCCTGTCCGCTTCCCCTTTCTAAGAGTGACCTTGAAAAGAAGATTGGAGGGGTGGATCCCAAAGCACCTATCCTTCTGCCTCAGCGTCCCTCTCCTGCTCCCCATTTGTGTAGGGGGAGACCCCCTGGCACCAGCAGATTAAACAGCTTTCCCATTGGGTGGCATGGGAAGCCAGGCAGATGTGCACTGACACATTCCCCACACTCAGGCCTAGCTGGGCCCAGGCCTTGCTGTTTGGGGTGAAAGGACAGCTTCCCTTCCCTCCCTTTCTGGGCACTCACCAGGTGCCCAGACTGGCCAGCAGAAGGGTCAGAGCAGAGCAAGCCTGGGCAGTCCCTAGGAGGTGCTCCTAGTTCAGGCTCAGGCAGTGGGCCTTGTCCACGGGCTCCTGGGTGCGGATCCAGAATGAAAAAGGTGGCACAGGGTGTTATCAGGAGAGAGTCCCTCAGGCTTCATGGGGCCCCATTCTGAGAAGCCTTGCAAGCAAAGAAGCAGAAGCACACCCAGGAGATAAAAAGCCACCCCTGTCGCTCGGGAGATAAGAGAACAGGGAGTCTCAGCAGGGGAGCTCTCGCAGGTGCAGCATTGCTTCTGGCCCCACTCAGACAAACAGAAGCAGCTGGGCACCATGAGACCTTCCACGGGCTCTCCCACCTCCCTGTAGTTCCTCTCAACCCTCCCCAGGGAAACTCCAAGCTCTCAGAGGTCCTCCTCAGCCCCTCAGCCCCACACCTCCAGATAGAGGCAGAAGGATTCCTCCATTCAGGCCTTCGACAAATATTTACTGAGGACCTGTGCATGCTAGCCAGGCACTGTCCTAGGCACGAGGGGTGAATAATCATATTTACATTTTCTAGAGAGATGAAGGCAAGAGGGCATTACTGGAGTGGGGGTGGGGGAAAGCCTCAGGTCTCAGATTTTTTCTTTTTTTTTTTTTTTTTGAGACGGAGTTTTTGCTCCTGTTGCCCAGGCTGGAGTGCAATGGCATGATCTCGGCTCACTGCAAATTCTGCCTCCCAGGTTCAAGTGATTCTCCTGCCTCAGCCTCCCAAGAAGCTGGGAATACAGGCTCCTGCCACCACCCCCGGCTGATTTCTGTATTTTTAGTAGAGACAGGGTTTCACCATGTTGACCAGGCTGGTTTCGAACTCCCGACCTCAGGTGACCCACCCACCTTGGCTTCCCAAAGTGCTGGGATTACAGGCATGAGCCACTGAGCCCTGCCTAGGTCTCAGGTTTTCTATTAGGTAGTAGGGACTCTTCCTCTAGGTTCTTACTTCATACCCGCATACCCCGTACTCCACCCCACAGGCAAGATTCCTGGCAGTTAAGAGCAGGTGTAGCTTCAAAGCAGATGGGGGCCTAGGGTGGGGAGAATAGCTCCTGTTCTCCTGGGTAAAACTGGCTTAGGCTTAGAGAAGAAGTATTTATTTCTTCCCTGGCCCCCTGCTACACCCCTGCTCTCTCTGTTCTCAGGAGTTCCCATACCAGTCTTGGGCACAATTCAACTCCAGCCCTCTCCTCCTGCCCATATCCTAACATTCAGCTGGCCAGCCTTCGTGTTTTGCTTTTGTCTGCCTTTGCCCAGCGGCAAACAGGGATCTGATACCAGCTCAGAGCATCTGGTGTCCCTCCAACTATGCCTTGGCCTGCTGAGGTGGGCCCCTGAAAGTAGCCACCAAATTGAGTACCTCCCTGCCTCCAGACTCCCAACACCTCTCCTGCAATTCTCCACTCCCAGGATTTCATATGGGGCTAGCCACTACCTGCAGATCTCTTGTCTTTTCTTCACAACCACCCATAAGCTAGTACTAGCACTGAATAGATGGGGCCAGCTGAGGTTCAGAGGGGTTGAGTCACTTGCCTGAAGTCACAGAGCTGGTGAGTGGAGGAGCTAGAATCCATATTAAATGTTCAAGCTCCTTTTGGAATGGAGAGAGGTATAAAAGCTGCTTCTCAGTTAGCCCTGTAGACTGGGAGGTGGGGGGAACTCTGATTCAACTAAAGGGAAAAATGAGGTGGAGACCAAGATCATTCCCAGCCTGACTTGAGTGTCAGGCAGCTCAGCCCCGCCCCATCACACACATCCTGGCATGGGGAGCTTACACAAGCAGGAGGAAAGTTGGAGGGTCTGGAGGCCACCGAGAGGAGTAGGCAAAGGGACTACCACAGGGCTGCAGAGAGACCCCTAGAGGTGTGAGGGCAGGGTTGGAGCCAGCCTTGACCTACGACTGCTCTCTCCTGGTAAGCAAAGCCGAGGACTGTTTGTCTTCACCCTCTCATATACCCTCACAGTAAATCAGTAAATGAAGACGTGCGCAGGAAGGAGACGCCAGGGATACGAGTTTAGCCAGTAAAAGACCGGGGTTAAAGAGACAGCCCCGCACCTCCGCTCGCGAGCCTGCACCTCCGCTCGCGAGCCTCCATCCCCATCCCCATCCCCATACCCCTCCGCCAGCGCAGTCAGCGGCACGGCCCCTCCCTGATACCGACCAGATCGATGGGGATCACCCGTCCACTCGCCTGCCCCTTGCGGAGGTCAACGTGACCGCAGCCTGTTTTAGGCCCGGGAGCCAGGCCGCCCCGCCCAGCTTGGGTCCCGGTCCCCGCAGGGTCCTCAGGCTCCCTGGCCCGTGCGCGCCACGTGCTGCGCGGCTCCGCACGCTCCGCACTGGGGCCCCACCCGGCGTCCCTTCTCCGGGCTGCGGAGCCGTCAGGCCCGCCCTCCCTGCCCTCCGTGGCAGGCGGGCAGCGGCGTCTTCCGCCCCGGCAGTCCCCAGTCCCCAGTCCCCGGCCCCGGGCAGCACCTGCCGCAGAAGCACTGCTCCCGCGCTGAGATCCGCGCGCTCTCGCTGCAGCTTCCCTCTCCCGCCGGGGCACATTCAAACCCGCCCTCCGCTGAGCTCGCCCCGCCCTGCGCCCACTGCCACCTCCCCGACGCCCGCGGCCCCGCCCCCGGCCCACCCCTGCCACCCCGCGGCGACTCCGCGCGCTCCGCCGCTCCCACCCCGAGCCCCTGCGCCCCCAGGGCCGCCTGGTCGTGTTATTGCGGTAGATAGGACCTCTTTGGGCCCTGCCACACCAAGGCTGTCTGTCCATCGTGTGGGGTACATGGGGCTGGAGGGTACAGCCACACATTAAGGACCTGCGCAGACTCCCATAAAATTCATCTCGGGACTGTTCCATTTACACACCCGCTGCTCAGACCGGCCCCGACGCTCCACGGCCCACTCCACCTCAGATATTCCGTTATCCCTTCCCAAGCCCTGCCCACGCCGCGCTTCCTCCACACTGCACCTTTTTCCTCCCAGCGCCCTCCCTTTCAGCGCCCCCTTCTTTCTTTCAGTCCCCCTCCTCTTCTTTTCCTTCAAAACTGCTTCTGTCCCCACCGCGCATTTTCTGTGACCAGCATGATGGGTTTTCCCATCCCTGACACATCCAGTCCCAGCCACAGACGCGCAAACACCACCCCACTCACAACTTTGACTTGGAGGGGGTATGTGCCTCTGCCTGTGCTTGCGTGTGCGCGCGGAGGGGGGTGGGGCAAAGCCCTCCAGCTCCCTCATAATTCACCCTTTCTAAATCCAGCACTTTGGAAAACTGAGGCACAGGTGGGAATGGGAAGAGAAAAAGCTAGGAACAGCCTTATATCCTCAGTGAATCCTATTGTCCCAGCCATCCTGACAGGCGGAAGCCTTGCTGAGTATGTCTTTCACTAGCTAAGGAGGAAGGTGTGGGCGTGCTGAGGGGTGGTCCAGCAAGTCCCTCCAAGGGAGGGGGAGGGAGGCCCTCTCTTTGGTCGGGCAATAAATGGGGTGGGGTGGGGGGCACTCCCTGCCCTTCCAGCAGTACTCAGTGCTAGAGGATGATCCTAAGGCTGGAAAGGTCCTGAGGAGAAAATCCAACCCACGCTGCCCACCCCATGCCCACTGACCCGAAGGGCTTGTCCCCTAGAGAAGCCACAGACACTGATTAACAACTGGCAGTACCTCACATCATAGGGATAAGGTAGTCCTACCCTGTCCCCAGAGAAACAGACAGGGCCCTAAGGAGAGAGGTGGCTTTTCTAATTAGGGTCAGTGGCTCTCCCCAAGCTACTCCAGAATGGGTGTCCCCAGCCTTCTGTTTCCATGCCCCACAGAGATGACACACATATTCCTTCCCAACCCTCCCCCACCCCACCCCCATCCCCCACATCCCCGCCAGCCCTAACCAGAGGGCAGGAAGATGGGTTTAGGTGGTATTTTTCCAGGCACAGCCCCATGACTTGAGAGTGGCTTCATGTCTGTCCACAACCCCCTAATTCCTGCCCTCATGTTTGTCCAGTCTCTCTCTCTTCCTCTCCTAGCCCTCCTCTGCCCTCTGCCTTGGCCCCCTTCCTCGCTCCCCACCCTCCTTTCCTGGTCTCTGGGTCTGTGGGGGTGGCAGGGCTAGTGGTCAGAAGATCTGCCAGGCATGGCAAGGCTGGTGGCCAGTGGCTGCAGTTGTGTACAGAGGGGGCTGGAGGTGGAAGAAAACTGGAGGGAAGTGGTGAGGGTCTCAGGCCAGACTGGGAAAGGCTGGTTCCTCTCCCCACCCAAACTGGGGCCCTGCCAGCTCGGTGGATGGCAACAGCCAGGGCTGTTATTGTTGGAGAGAAGTCCGTCTGGCATCCATCCTGCTGGGCCCCTAGCCAACACCCACACCCCTCTGTAGCCACCTCCCAAGCAGAGGTTGCTGGGTGCCAGGGCCCCCTGCTGGACAGCCTGGGAGCCCCAACTTACACAGGCCTTGCCTGGAGTTTTTCTAGCCAGGCCTTGCCAGCTCTCTTCAGTCTCTGCCTGGTCTTCTGGCTTCTCTCCCTCCCTGAGCTCCCTCAGGTCCCTGTCGAAGGGGTGGGGTGGGAAGGGTTGGTCCTGCTGCACCTCTACTCTACACCTTATTCACCACCCTATATGGGACCGTGGCTTGGCCCAGACTCCCTCCCCAACTTGGCAGGCCCCATGCATGCCTCACCACCTCACACACAGTCCTCTCTCTCCCCAGGCATGTGTCCTCTCAGCTGTCACCAACAAGTCATGTGTGTTTGCTGGAAGTGTGTTTGCTTGGCCTGGGGGTTGGTAACCAGCACATGTCTCATGACTGTCTGTGTTCTCAGTTGTGTTTGTGACTGTATCTCCATGGCCTTGTGACAGGGCTGGGACTAGGGAGAGGCCAGTGAGGCACTTGCCAGGGGTGTAAAATGTAAGGGGGAGCCAAAAAACTCATGAATCAAGATAAATTTTAGGCCAGGAGTGGTGGCTCATGCCTGAAATCTCAGCACTTTTGGAGGCCGAGGTGGGAGGATCACTTGAGCCCAGGAATTCAAGACTAGCCTGGGCAACACAGTGAGACCCCATCTCTACAAAAAAAATTAAAATAAATTAGCCAGGCATGGTGGCTCGAGCCTGTGGTTCCAGGTACTCCAGAGGCTGAGGCCGGAGGTTCACTAGAGCCCGGGAGGACAAGGCTTCAGTGAGCCATCATCCTGCCATTGCACTCCAGCCTGGGCAACAGAGCAAGACCTTGTCTGAAAACACAAACAAACAAACAAAGATACATTTTAATGTAATCAAAATAAGTTTGTTTTTTTTTTTCTTTTCTTTAAGATGGAGTCTCACTCTGTCACCCAGGCTGGAGTGCAGTGGCGTGATCTTGGCTCACTGCAACCTCCACCTCCTGGGTTCAAGCGAGTCTCCTGCCTTAGCCTCCTGAGTAGCTGGGATTACGGGCACGTGCCACCACGCCCAGCTAATTTTTGTATTTTTTTTTTTTTTTTTAGTAGAGACGGGGTTTCACCACGTTGGTCAGGCTGGTCTCGAACTCCTGACCTTGTGATCCGCCCGCCTTGGCCTCCCAAAGCACTGGGATGACAGGCGTGAGCCACCACACCCAGCCCTTACCAAAATAAGTTTTAATGCAATGTCTACAAATCAAGACTCCATGATGCCAAGTGCAGTGGCTCACATCTGTCATCCCAGCACTTTGGGAGGCCAAGGTAGAAGAATCACTTGAGCTTAGGAGTTCAAGACCAGCCTGGTCAACACAGGGAGACTCTGTCTCTTAAAAAAAAAAAAAAAAAAAAATTAGCTGAGCATGTTGACGCATGCCTGTGGTCCTGGCATTTTGGGAGGCTGAGGTGGGAGGATGGCTTGAGTCCATGAGGTCGAGGCTGCAGTAGGCTGTGATCGCACCACTGCCCTCCAGCCTGAACAACAGAGCGAGACTCGGTTTTTGTTTTTTTTTAAAGACTCCATGATGAATAAAACATCAAGATTTTTTAAGTAAAGACAGGTGTGTTCACAGTGTGGGTACTGGCTCGGGGTTCGAGAAGACTAAATTCTTTGTTCAGTTAGGTCTGGGCTGGTCTTCTAGGCTAATTTTCCAGACCTCTTCCCCCTACCCTATGTTCCTGGGACATCTGTAAGTGGCTGGGGAGTTTGGGGAGGCAGTCATCTAATAATGGCCTTCGAAGGCCCAGAAAAGTGGCCCCGCATCCAGAAACCAAAGATTCTGACTCCCCTGAGACACTGTAGCCCAGCGGGTCCCCCTACTGGCCCCCTGTCCCGCCCGGCAGCGTGAGAACGGCGCAGACCTCGCCCCCACCCCACCCCGCCCCGCCAGGCCCCCCGGCCCCGCCCCGCGCACCTGCTGAGACTTTGGAGTGAGCATCCGGACTTGGTGGGGGACGGAAATTCCCAGGCCTGCGGGCCCCTAGTTCTCTCCCTCCTCATCTCGGGGCTGGGGCCATAGCCACAGCTGGAGAGCGCAGCCCGCGCCGGGCCTGACCGGTGTGGGCCGCCGGGCGGAAGAGAGGCTGCAACAGGCGACCCCAGCGCCCGCCCAGAGCTCCGCAGCCAGCTGCGTCCAGTCCTCGCGGCTCAGGGGCGGGGAGACCAGAGCCGACTCAGTGGGAGGGGCCCTTCGGGCCTGGGACTGGCGGCCGGCGCCTTTGGGCACCCGAGGCTCCGGAAAGGGACGGGGTTAGGGGCCCAAGGGCTCGGACCCCCTTCTCTCTGCCCCTCCCCCTGGGTCGCCTCCCTGAGACCTGGGAGCACGTGCACTGGCTTTGAAGACTCCCGAAGGAAACCGATGGGGTAGTGAGCAGGGACGGCGTGTGGCAGGCAGAAAGCCCCGCAGGGCTGGGGGTGGGGCGGATAGCTTGGGGCTCACTTCTTTCCCAACCAAGCCTTCTGACGGGTGTGGGGAGGGGACTGGAATCCCAATTGGATCCTGTACTCCTCACTGTCCTCGTCTGAACCTAGATAGAGCCCAAGAGTCACCCAGAGAGAGAGGATTATTGCCTGGGAACAATAAGCAAATTATCCGGAGGCTGGGATGCAAATGTGTCTAACTCTTTTTTTTTTTTTTTTTAAGACGGAGTTTCGCTCTTGTTGTCCAGGCTGGAGAGCAATGGCGCGATCTCGGCTCACTGCAACCTCCGCCTCCCGGATTCAAGCGATTCTCCTGCCTCAGCCTCCGTAGGAGCTGGGATTACAGGCATACGCCACCACGCCCGGCTAATTTTGTATTTTTAGTAGAGACGGGGTTTCTCCATGTTGGTCAGGCTGGTCTCCCGACCTCAGGTGATCCTCCTGCCTCTGCCTCCCAAAGTGCTGAGATTACAGGCGTGAGCCACCGCGCCCTGCCCAGACTGCACTTTCTAACTGTGTTTCCTTAAGCATGTTGACTCTTCTGAGGCTCTTATTTGACCCCTGAGGGGCCTCCCACTAGGGAGGAGGAAATGATGAAGTCAGTTCTTAAGGCAACTCACCCAACCCTAGTCTCTTCTAGGGTGGGATGACCCTCAAGGGGATGCATTTCTGCACTGCCTCCCTGGGTGGCCTCCCACCCAGTCTCTTAGCAAACGTATCACCCCTCTTCCCACCACCACTAGCTGAGAAGTCCTCAAACTCGCTGGAGGATATTTTCCTCCCTACTGTGAGCTAGCCAGGCAAACTTCCTCCTAGATGGACTCAAGCCATTTCTGGGTCACAGTGTGACATACTGACCGAAACTTAGCAGGGGGAAACAACTTCCAGGCTGTGAGGACTGAAACCACGATGGAATAGGTAGCAAAATAAACCCTTGTACAATTGTCCATCTCTCCTCTCCCCCACCCCCACCAACTGCCAGGCCAGGTTAAACTGTTTTGCAGAGCAGCAGTCTGGGTGATTAGACTTTCAAAGCCATGGAAAGAATTCAAATCAAATATTTATTGAGCACTTGCTGAGTGCTGGGCTTTGCAGGCAGGTCTGCCTCCATAAGCAACTCAGATATTATTTTAAGGTAGGTCCTGAGTCTGGAAGACAGTCTGGATTCAAATCTTGCCTCTCTGCTAAATTGTCACTTGTCCCTCAGTTAAGCACTGGGAACCTTGATGTTCCCATTTGCAGGGAGGGCAGGGGTGGGTGGGTGTTAGTTCCCCTCCCGCCTGAGGCCAGAGGTGATTAGGAGTGGTCTTTGGGAGGAACTGCTGGAGGACAGAGGGGCAATAATCAGTTTTGTGCTAGATGCAAGGCATTCTTCCAGAAAGACATTTCTGTTGGGAGTGGAGAGGCATGTCTGTGGCAGATCCCTCTCATGCACAACCCTCACTATATCTTCTGTCCACTGGGCAGGCTTCGGTCAGTGCTGGTGCCAGGATTATCCTACTCCAAAAGAAAGCATTTTGTGGATACAGCTGCTGCCAGGACTTGTGGCCTCACTTTTGGGGGCCTAACCTCTCCCTCCTCTCCAGGCGGTCCACTCTTGAGGCCTCCCCAGCGTCTGGCGAGTGTCGCTGGCTGAGAATGAACAGCAGACAGCCCAGCAAAGCCTCTCGCATGTCCTGGGAGCCCAGGCGGCGGGCCAATCGGCGCAGCAGGGGCAGGAGGTATTGGCGGGCCAGGCGGGCAGCAGGCAGCAGCAGGCAGGACAGCAGCAATCGAAGCAGCAGCGGGAGCAGTGGCGTGGGCATGGCAGGGCCAGTGAGTCAGTGCCTGGGAAGACAACACAGACTTTAGGCTTGCATGTCCTGGTTCTGCCTCACCTGGCAAGGACATGGGGTGGGCAGGAGTTCCCCCTCCCTTCAGTTTACACCTTCCTGCTCCTGACCTCAATTTGTAGGTCATTTTTGCTTTCATGAAGCCCTTTCTCTTGGCAAGGCAGCTGAGGCAGGAAGGTTCTCACCATAGCACAGATGGGGAGACTGAACCAAGGCAAGAGTAAACCAAGACCTACAGCTTGCCGTTCCCAGCTCCAGGCATTCCTACTGCTCCCTGGCCCCTCCCTTCCTCTAGTCACCCCCTCCTCTTGCACAGCCTCAATGCCCCTGGAGTTCCCTAACCCTTCTCCCTCAGTCTAGCAGGAGTTCTTCTCCAGGCAATTCTCAATTTTTCTTTTGGGGCTCCTGATCCACCCTGACCTGACACTCCCTGACCTCTCAGTCCCCTACCCCCACCAATCCACGGCAGCTCTCACCGGGCAGAACTGCTGCTCAGAATCAGTCTCTGGCTGGATTTGCCTGGAGTGGAGATAGCCCCACTGGATTCAGCACAGGGGTAGCCCCGCCCTGCTCTGCCCCACCAATTACAGTCCGCCTGGGTTGGGGAACAATGAAGAAACAGCTGTGTTCTGGCACCTGGTATATTGAGGGGAGCGGGCAGCTGGGCTGGCCCCCACTTCCCAGTCTAGGGGGAGGAGAGGGAAGGGAACATATGCAGGATTTCCCTCGAGTTGGAACCCAGACTGCACTTTCTCTTTTCTTTCTCTTCTTCTTTTTTTTTTTTTTTTTTTTGAGACAGAGTTTTGCTCTTTTTGCCCAGGCTAGAGTGCAATGGCAGGATCTCGGCTCATTGCAACCTCTGCCTCCTGGGTTCAAGCGATTCTCCTACCTCAGCCTCCCAAGTAGCTGGGATTATAGGAGTGTGCCATCATGCCAGGCTAATTTTTTTGTATTTGTAGTAGAGACAGGGTTTCACCATGTTGGTCAGGCTGGTCTCAAACTCCTGAGCTCAAGTGATCCACCCGCCTCGACCTCTCAAAGTGCTGAGATTATAGGCCTGAGCCACCGTGCCCAGCCCAGACTGCACTTTCTAATTGTGTTTCCTTAAGAACGTTGACTCTTCTGGGCTCCAGTCCTCTCCGCTGTAGCCTCAGTAAGTGGGAGTAACTGGAAGGAGTAACTGGAACAGGACAATATATGAGACCCACTTGCCTAAACCTCAGAAGCAGTGAGTCTGCAGACTGCACACACACCTGAGCACCAGGCATGCTCAGTGGCTGGGACAGGGAGACTAGGACCCAAGCAGGCCCCTGTGGGCCCTCTCCTGGGGGAAGAAAAGTAGAGGCACAGTCTATCTCCTAGCTGGGCACAGCTGGACACAGCTGGGTGGCATTCCCCCTTGGATGCTTACTTCAAGACCCTCTCCTCCACCTGCTTTCCTCCCTCAGATTAAATGAAATTCTATGAGATAGCTGGGTATATCTCTTTGGGTTTATAGCCTGGGTTTTATGTTGTTTTTAATTTTTATTTATTTATTATTATTATTATTTGAGACGGAGTCTCACTCTGTCACCCAGGCTGGAGTGCAGTGGCATGATCTTGGCTCACTGCAACCTCTGCCTCCCAGGTTCAAGCGATTCTCCTGCCTCAGCCTCCTGAATAGCTGGGATTACAGGCACCCGCCACGATGCCCGGCTAATTTTTGTATTTTTAGTAGAGGTGGGGTTTCACCATGTTGGCCAGGCTGGTCTCGAACTCCTGACCTCAGGTGCTCCACCCGTCTTGGCCTCCCAAAGTGTTGGGATTACAGGCGTGAGCCACAACGCCCAGCCTGTTTTTTATTTTTATTTATTTTATTTATATTATTTTTTTGAGGCAAGGTCTCACTCTGTCACCCAGGCTGGAGTGCCATGGCATGATCATGTCTCACTGCAGCCTCAACCTCACAGGATCAAGTGATCCACCTTAGTCTCCCGAGTTGCTGGGACCACAGGCAGGCGCCACCACACCCGGTTACTTTTTAAAATTTATTTTGTAGAGACAGGGGTCTCACTGTGTTGCCCAAGCTGGTCTCTAACTCCTGGGCTCAAGAGATCCTCCCACCTTTGCCTCCCAAAGTGTTGGGATTACAGGCGTGAGCCACTGCACTCAACCTATTTGGTTTTATAAATACTTCATTCTTCTACTTCATAAAATAAGTATAATTCCTGCCTTGCTGGATCAGATGAGATACTGTCCATGAAGTGTTTTGTAAACCTCAAGGCCTTGGGAATATGAGCATTTGTCATCATCCCCACCAGCCGCCACTAGCATCATCATCTCCATCAGCATGTAAGACCCTAAAGAAAGAAAACTTACCAGGTCAAAAAGGCCTGTCCCACTTCTACCTAAAGGAAGCAGAAGAGAGGAGCTAGAGAGTATAGACTCACAGGCAGAGTCTTCCTCTCCTTCCAGTTGCTTCCGGAGAAGGTATGATGACCATGTGCTATTGTAGGGTTGTGGGTGACAGGTGCATTGGGTACACACATATGCCAAGCTTCTGAGTTCAGGATCTCGCTCAGTTCTCACCACTAGCCAGACATGGTGGCTCATACCTGTAATCCCAGCATTTTGGGAGGCTAAGGTGAGTGGATCATTTGAGGTCAGGAGTTCAAGACCAGCCTGGCCAACACGGTGAAACCCCATCTCTACTAAAAATACAAAAATTAACCAGGGGTGCTGGCATGCGCCTATAGTCCCAGCTACTCAGGAGACTGAGGCAGAAGAATTGCTTGAACCCGGGAGACAGAGGTGGCCGTGAGCCGAGATCATGCCACTGCACTCTAGTCTGGGCAACGGAGTGAGACTCCATCTCAAAAAGCAAACAAACAAAATTCTCACCACCACCCTGCAGGGGAGCAATTATTATAACCATTGTACAAACGAAGAAACTGGGGATCAGGATGGTTAAGCAACTCACCTAAAGCCTCACAGCGGATAAACATCCTGATCTTCCTCTACACCTGCTCCTTCTCCTTCCCTAGGCTTTCCCATCTCTAAGTGGCAATTTATATCTTTCTAGTTACCCTGGCCAAAATCTTAGAAGTTATTCTTGACTCCTCTCTTCCTATTATAGATCACTACCCACATTAGCCAATCCTGGTGGCTCTACTTTCAAAATCTTCAGAATCTCACCACTTGTCAGATACTAGTATGATTTCCCTCATCGGAACATCCATCATCTCTTGCCAGAATCATTGAAGTATCCACCTAACTGATGTTCCTGTTTCTCTTTTCCACACAGTGGCCTGAATGATGCTTATAAAACATGAGCTGAATCTGATCCTTTCCCTGCTCAAATTATCCAATGGCTCACATCTCACTCAGAGTTAAAGCCAAAGGTTCTGACTTTTCAGCCCAGGATTTCAAGACCAGCCAGGGCAACATAGTGAGACTCTGTCTCTACAAAAAAATAAAAAATAAAAAAATTAGCTGAGCATGGCAATGCACACCCGTAGTCCCAGCTACTCAGGAGGCTAGGGTGGGAAGATTGCTTGAGCCCAGGAGTTCAAGGTTGCAGTGAGCTATGTTCATGCCACTGCACAGCAGCCTGGGTGACAGAGTAAGACCCTGTCTCAAAAAAGAAATAAAAATTTATTTAGAATTTTGGGAAGTTGTAAAAAATGTCAAAATCTTTAAAACTCTTGATTAAATAGGATCACTTGTCATTATGAAACAATACTAGAGACCGGGTGCAGTGGCTCACGCCTGTAATCCCAGCACTCTGGGAGGCCAAGGCGGGCAGATCACCTGAGGTCAGAAGTTCGAGCAGCCTGACCAATATGATGAAACCCTGTCTCTACTAAAAATACAAAAATTAGCTGGGCGTGGTGGCACGTGCCTGTAATCCCAGCTACTCGGGAAGCTGAGACAGGAGAATTGCTTGAGCCCGGGAGGCGGAGGTTGCAGTGAGTGGAGATCGCGCCATTGCACTCCAGCCTGGGTGACAGAGCGAGACTCCGTCTGAAAAAAAAAAGGTAAAGAAAAACGTTTTGCAATCTCTTTTATTTTATTTTATTCTTTTCTTTTCTTTTTTTTGTTGCCCACGCTGGAGTGCAATGGCGTGATCTCAGCTCACTACAACCTCTGCTTCCCGCGTTCAAGCGATTCTCCTGCCTCAGCCTCCCGAGTAGCTGGGACTACAGGCATGCGCCACCACGCCCAGCTAATTTTTGTATTGTTTTTAAGTAGAGGGGGTTTCATCATGTTGGCCAGAATGGTCTTAATCTCTTGACCTCGTGATCCACCCACCTCCACCTCCCAAAGTGCTGGGATTACAGGCGTGAGCCACGGCGCACAGCCAGCAATCTCTTTTCAAGAGCTGACAAAAGCTCCTAGAAAACCTTGTCATTTATTGATTTATTCATTTATTTTTATTTTTATTTAGAAACAGGGTCTTACCCTGTTTCCTAGGCTAGAGTACAATCACAGCTCACTGCAGCCTCGACCTTCTGGGCCCAAGCCATCCTCCCACCTCAGTCTCCACAGTAGCTGGAACTACAGGTGCATGCGTGCCCAGTCAAGTTTTGTTTTTTTTTTTTTTTTGGAGAGACAAGTTCTCACTATGTTGCTCAGGCTGGTCTTGAACTCCTGGCCTCAGGTGATCCTCCTGCCTCAGCTTCCCAAATGGATGAGATTACGGGCATGAGACACCAAGCCCAAATTCTAGCTTTGCATAAGTGTATTTTTTTATATTAAGGCTAATTTGTAAAACCTTTTAAATAAATTCATTAAATTTTAGTCAGTTTGACTATACAAAATTCTTTCTCCCAATGTTCTATATCCATTCAGGTTTTTTTGTTTCATTTTATTTTAATTGATAAATAATTGTTTATATTTATGGGATACAAAGTGATATTTCAATACATGTATACATTATGGAATAATCAGATCAGAATAATCGGCTTATATATCACCTCAAATATTTATTATTTCTTCGTGGTGACAGTATTTTATTTTTTAAAATTTTTATTTATTTATTTATTTATTTATTTATTTTTTGAGACAGGGTCTTACTCTGTCACCCAGGCTGGAGCACAGTGGCATGATCATGGATCACTACAGCCTCAGCCTCCTGGGTTCAGCTGAGCCTTCCACCTCAGCCTTCCCAGTAGCCGGGACTACAGGCACATGCTACCACGCCCAGCTAATTTTTGTATTTTTAGTAGAGACATGTTTGGCCATGTTGCCCAGGCTGGTCTTGAACCCCTGAGCTCAAGTGACCCTCCCGCCTCAGCCCAAGTGACCCTCCCGCCTCAGCCTCTCAAAGTGCTGGAATTACAGGCATGATCCACCATACCCAGTAGACAACATTTTAAATCCTCTCTTTTAGCCAGGCATAGTGCTACATGCCTATAGTCTCAGCTACTTGGGAAACCGAGGCAGGAGGATTGCCTAAACCCAGGTGTTCAAATCTAGCCCAGCCAACATAGCAAAATCCTGTCTCTAAAAAGAAATTCTAGATTAGGCACAATGGCTCTCACGGGTAATCCCAGTACTTTGGGGGGAGGAGGTGGCAGATCACTTGAGGTCAGGAGTTCGAGACCAGCCTGGCCAACATGGCAAAACCCTTTCTCTACTAAACACACACACACACACACACACACACACACACACAAAACCTAGCTGGACATGGTGGCGTGTGCCTGTAATCCCAGCTACGCAGGAGGCTCAGACACAAAAATCGCTTGAACCTGGGAGGCAGAAGTTGCAGTAAGCAGAGATCACACCACTGCACTCTAGCCTGGGCGACACAGTGAGACTTCGTGTCCAAAAAAAAAAAAAAAGAAAAGAAAAGAAATAATGTATTTTAGTTATCTCAAAATATATAATACATTGTATTAACTATAGTCACCTTGCTGTGCAGTAGAACACCAGAATTATTTCTCCTATCTAGCTATAGCTTTGCTCTCATTGAGCAATGCCTTCCCTTTCCCCATGCACCTCCCCATTTCCTTCTTTCATTCTGAAGCAACCTTAAATAACCTCCAAACTAGACAAAATTAATATTTTCCTTTACCCCCCAAAAATTCTTATACCTTATAAGTTTCCTAACCGAAAGTATGCATTAGTTTTCTTGTATATTTTGCATACAAACTTGTTTCCCTTATTATTTCTAGTTTTAACTACACATATTAATTAAAATTCTTAACCCTTAGTAACCTTAATTTCTAGCGAAAACTAGGAAGTAAGCAGTTACAAACTGTTACAGCAGCATTCATAGAATGACAAATCTATAAATACATCATTTTATAATTTCTAGAAGTATGTGCTTTTATTTACTTGTTTGTTTATTTATTTATTTAGACAGAGTCTTGCTGTATTGCCCAGTGGAGCCATCATAGCTCACTGCAACCTCAAACTCCTGGGCCCAAGTGATCCTCCCACCTTGACCTCATGAGTAACTAGTACTACTACGGGGTCTTGCTCTGTCGCCCAGGCTGGAATGCAGTGACATGATTATAGCTTACTGGAGCCTCAAACTCCTGGCCTCACGTGATCTTCCTGCTTCAGCCTCCCAAAGTGCTGGGATTACAGGCGTGAGCCACTGTACCCAGCCCCATAGTACAATTTTGAAGTGGCAAAGGACATATTTACTAACAGACCCAACTATCTCTAGTTCCTTTATAATAAGAAGACAAAAGTAGATAAACTTATGTTCAGCAATTAATATTTCAGTATTTTATCTTGTTGGGAAATGATCTAGATATACAATGAATAGCCATCACTTAATTTAACCTAGTATAACTTAAAGAGAGTAAGTTACCGAAGAGATTTGGGAAATTATTTTTAAACAGACATATTATAAAACATAATTATTGGCCAGGCATGGTGGCTCACCTGTAATTCCAGCATTTTGGGAGGCTGAGGTAGGAAGATCGCTTGAGGCCCCCAGGCCTTGGAGACCACCCTGGGCAACATAGGGAGACCCTGTCTCTACAAAAATAAAAATAAAACCATCAGCCAGGAGTGGTGGTGCACATCTGCTACTCAGGAGGCTGAGACAGGAGGATCACTTCAGCCTAGAAGTTCGAGACTGCAGTGAGCTATTATCAAGCCACAGCACTCCAGCCTGGGTGATAGAGGAGATCCTGTCTCCAAAATGACGAAAACAAAACAAAACAAAACAAAACATGATTACTGTTAAAAGGTATATATATTGGCCGGGCCCGGTGGCTCACGCCTGTAATCCCAGCACTTTGGGAGGCCAAGGTGGGCAGATCACAAGGTCAGGAGATGGAGACCATCCCTGCTAACACGGTGAAACCCCGTCTCTACTAAAAATACAAAAAATTAGCTGGGCGTGGTGGCAGGTGCCTGTAGTCCCAGCTACTCGGGAGGCTGAGGCAGGAGAATGGCGTGAACCAGGAGGCGGAGGTTCCAGTGAGCCGAGATCGCGCCACTGCACTCCAGCCTGGGTGACAGAGCAACACTCCTTCTCAAATAAATAAATAAATAATAAAATATATATATATATATACTTTTTTTGTTTTTGACACAGAGTCTTGCTCTGTCGCCCAGGCTGGAGTGCAATGGCGCGATCTCGGCTCACTGCAACCTCCACCTCCCAGGTTCAAGCGATTCTCCTGCCTCAGCCTCCTGAGTAGCTGGGATTACAGGCACCTGCCACCACGCCCAGCTAATTTTTGTATTTTTAGTAGAGACAGGGTTGCACCATGTTGGCCAGGATGGTCTCAATTTCTTGACCTTGTGATCCCCCTGCCTTGGCCTCCCAAAGTGATGGGATTACAGGCACAAGCCACCGCAGCCTGCCAAAAGGTATATTTTAAAACTTTTATCCTACTTACATATATTTAAGTCACTTGTTCTTAACAATTATGCTTGGGCAACAATTATGCATGAAAATCTTATGAAACATTAGACAAAGCTAGCCATCATCAAGTTATTTCCCTGATAACTGTTTTACAGCACGTGAATGTTGAGCAAATATCATGAAAGCAAAAACCTACAAGTTAAATACATGGGATTTTGGCCGGGCGTGGTGCCTGCAATCCCAGCACTTTGGGAGGCTGAGGCTGGTGAATCAATAGCTATCCATGGCTCCGAGAATGAATTTGGGGACTATTTGCCTGTTATCAGAGATCAATCTTTTGGGGGTCCCTGAGTCCTTTAAGAGCACGAAGCCAGGTACGGTGGCTCACACCTGTAATCCCAGCACTTTGGGAGGCTGAGGCAGGAAGATGGCTTGAGCTTAGGAGTTCAAGATCAGCCTGGGCAACATAACCAAACCCTCTCTCTACCAAAAATACAAAAATTAGCTGGGTGTGGCAGCATGCGCCTGTAGTCCCAGCTACTCAGGAGGCTGAGGCAGGAGGATCACCTGAGCCCTGGAGACGGAGGTTGCAGTGAGCTGAGATCATGCCACTGCACTCCTGCCTGGGCGACAGAGCAAGACCCTGTCTCAAAAAAAGAGAGTGAGAGAGAGCAGGAGAGCCTAAAGTTTAGTGACTGAGTGGGAAGAGGGATTAGTTCATAGGGCCTATTCCTAGGTGATCTGCCACTGTGTAGAAGAGGTGCTGTGTCTTCTGAACTTGTGAAAGGGCAGACACAGCATGGGGAGCATAAAGGTGAGTGGGGAGTCCCCTGAAGTGGGCAGAGCTTGACTGCAGAGTTCTGGCAATGGGAGCCTTAAGGAACAGCAAAGTGATCCTTGCCACTCACCCTAGGTGCTTCTGCCAAAGTAACTCAACCTATATGTCCCAGGCCTGGAGACCAGTGCTCTCTGTAATTCTTTCAGGGAAAGGGAAGTTAAAACAGGCATCTAGTGTTTAAGGAATTTTCTGGGGAAGCTGGAGGAGCTTGGGGAGTTTAAGGAATTTGCTGAGGAAGTGAGGCCAGATTTTGAGGAGGGCAGTTTAGGGGGTCTAGAGATCCGAGAGATCTTCTGGAGGGCCAGGGCCAGGGAGTTGGGGGTAAACAGGAGTATAAGAAGGTGGAGAAGGGGATTTATGGTGGATTTGGATTTCAACTTAGTTCTAACTGATTTCTGTGTTCTTGTTTTTTGATCGCATTAAGGGAGTTCCCAAGGTTAGCCTTTATACCTCTTTTCAATTTGATCTTCCCATGGGTATTAATAAGACAGTTGTTTAGGAGGAGAGCTGTAAATGTTTTTTTCTTTCTTTCTTTTTTTTTTTTTTTGAGACAAGATCTCACTCTGTTGCCCAAGCTGGCATGCAGTGGTGTGATCAAAGCTCACTGCACCCTTGACCTCCTGGGCTCCAGCGATCCTCCCAGGCTTAAGCGATCCTCCTGCTTCCGCCTCCAAAGTAGCTGTGACCACAGGCATACGCCACCATGCCTGGATAATTTTTGTATTTTTTGTAGAGACGAGGTTTTGCCATGTTGCCCAGGCTGGTCTTGAATTCCTGGGCTCAAGCAATCCACCTGTCTCGCCCTCCCAAAGTGCTGGGATTACAGGTGTAAGCCACTGCACTTGATCAATTTTTTTTTCTCAAATAGTACCAATTTGTTTATTCCAGAAGTGACTCGAACCAATAAGCTTTTTCATTTAAAGCCCCAGAGGAAACGTTCCAGGCTTAGAATAAATCTTTACTGACCGGGCACAGTGGCTCATGCCTGTAATCCCAACACTTTGGGAGGCTGAAGTGGGCGGATCACCTGAGGTAGGGAGTTCGAGACCAGCCTGACCAACATGGAGAAACCTCGCTCTACTAAAAATACAAAATTAGCTGGGCGTGGTGGTGCATGCCTGTAATCCCAGCTACTCAGGGGGCTGAGGCAGGAGAATCGCTTGAACCCGGGAGGTGGAGGTTACAGTTAACCGAGACCATGCCATTGCACTCCAGCCTGGGCAACAAGAGTGAAACTCCTAAAAAAAAAAAAATCTTTCCTGTGGGTACAAATAGCATTCCCGATGTGGATGCAGAAGTTGCAGCCCTATGATCCAAAAAGTTCAGTCCCAGAGACAGCCAAAGAAAGCAAAGACCACCAGGCACGGTGGCTCATGCCTGTAATCCCAGCATTTTGGGAGGCCAAGGCGGGTGGATCACGAGGTCAGGAGATCGAGACCATCCTGGCTAACACGGTGAAACCCCATCTCTACTAAAAATACAAAAAAATTAGCCAGGCGTGGTGGTGGGTGTGAGGCTGAGGCAGGAGAATGGCGTGAACCTGGGAGGCGGAGCTTGCAGTGAGCGGAGATCGCACCACTGCACTCCAGCCTGGGAGACCGCGAGACTCCGTCTCAAAAAAAAAAAGTAAAGACCTTCCCTGTCACAGGCAGTTAAGGATAGTGTTTGTGAAAATGAAATCTTGGTTTGCCAAGGAATGTGGGATGACTGTAGTCATTAACCTGCTAATCTGCTCATCTTTGACAGCAGTTGTCCTCTCTCTGGGCAGGCATTAATTGGAGGGGACTTTCCCAGCACTAACCAAGCAATGGAGGTTGAGAAGTCATAGGCCCCTTATAGACTGGGACCTCTTATTAAGACAAACACCTCGAGAGCTGACAAGGCCACACGGAGAGAATACTCCTGTCACTTCATGTCTCGGGCTCCCAGCCTGTTAGACTGGCTGCCTGATGCAAGCCAACACTTGCACCCCTGGCTGGCAGAGACCACAGAGAATACCCTCACTGGTCACAAAGCCAAGCCATCAAGACATAAAACAAGACAAAAGGAGACCCTCATTCCATGATTCTCCTCCTTATGACAAAGGACACAAAAGATAGAGGCAAAAAACAAACAAACAAAAATGACTATCCCCAGGAGGCAAGGGATCAGAAACAAGTACTAGACCAAAAAATAAAAGAAAAATCCCCAAACCCTAGTGTGCTACACAAGAACACACAAATGTTTTATCTTGTTAATCTAAATTCAGAAAGGGGAAAAACAGGCCAGGTGCAGTGGCTCACGCCTGTAGCCCCAACACTTTGGGAGGCCGAGGCAGGTGGATCATTTGAGGCCAGGAGTTTTAGACCAGCCTGGCCAACACAGCAAAACCCCGTCTCTACTAAAAAAATACAAAAATTAGCTGGACGTTGTGGCGGGCGCCTGTAATCCCAGCTACCCGAGGCTGAGACACAAGAATCACCTGAACCCAGGAGGCGGCAGTTGCAGTGAGCCAAGACTGAGCCACTGCACTCTAGCCTGGGCGACAGAGTGAGACTCTATCTCAAAAAATAAAATAAAATAAAAAATAAGTAAATAAAGAGAAGAAACAAAACCAAAGACACATTTACCAATCTCACTTTGACCATACCCTGCAGGCAGAGATCTAGGAGCCTAATATGGTAAGAATCTTACCTGGAATCCTGCATTGTGGCAGTACTGGAGCTAGCAGGTCCCAGACAGTAAGGTCCCTTTGTAACAGAGCCTATATTACTAAAAAAGAAACAACAACAACAACAAAAATGAGGTTTTTTTTTGTTTTGTTTTTTTTTTTTTGAGAAAGGGTCTGGCTCTGTCTCTCAGACTGGAGTGCAGTGGTGTGATCTTAGCTCATTGCAACCTCTGCCTCCCAGGCTCAAGTGATCCTCCCACCTCAGCCTCCCAAGTAGCTGAGACTACAGGCATGCACCAGTACGCCTGGCTAAATTTTTTCTTTTCTTTTTTTTTGAGAAGAAGTCTTGCTCTGTTGCCCTGGCTGGAGTGAAGTGGAGCGATCTCAGCTCACTGCAACCTCCACCTCCTGGGTTTAAGCAATTCTCCTGCCTCAGCCTCCCAAGTAGCTGGGATTACAGGCGCCCGCCACCATGCCTGGCTAATTTCTGTATTTTTAGTAGAGATGGGGTTTCACCATGTTGGTCAGGCTGGTCTTGAACTCCTGACCTCGTGATCCACCCACCTTGGCCTCTCAAAGTGCTGGGATTACAGGCATGAGCCACCGCCCCCAGCCGCTAATTTTTGTATTTATTTATTTATTTATTTGGTAGAGATAGGGTTTTTCCATGTTGCCCAGGCTGGTCTCAAACTCTTAGGTTCAAGCGATCCACCATCCTCAGCCTCCCAAAGTGCTGGGATTATAGATGTGAACCACTGCTATTTTCCTTTTTCTTTGTCCTTTTCCTCTTCCAATGGATAATTGCTTATACATAGTGATTTTGGTAGAGGTTAGTCACTAATAATTGATTAACTTCATACCCTGACCCTGGGGGGTTGCCCGCAAGACTAATGAATTTTTTTTTTTTCAAAGAACGATGATCTCTAGGTCATGCAGACCTCCTTGAAGGCATCCAGAAAGTTTGATCAACCTGGGGCTGTTAGCAGCTTTGATCACCGGGGAATATCACCTCCCACAACCTACCTTACTCATAAAAGCCCCCAGTTATGTTCAAAGGCAGGTCAGATTTGAAAGTGTGTCTCTCCCATGCTCACCCGTTGGCCAAATCAAATAAACCATTCTCTCTTCTGAAGCACTGATGTGTCACTGTTTGGCTTCCTGCACATCAGGTACTCAAACTGAGTTTTGGGGTTCTACAACTATAGAAGAGAAAAAAATATTGCTTCTTGGTACCCTTCTAAGTTCTTTGGCAGGTCTATGAATTAAATTGACATAGACAGATTTACAGGAGAAAAACATTTTTAATTTCATATGTATGCACAGGAGTCCCACAAAAATATAAGACCCCAAGAAACAACCCAAAAATTAAGGCTTATGTACTATCCTGAGCTACACAATAGGGGTTTGGGGCCTCTAGGGGTGATGGAGACATAAGAGGGTGAGGGGAGGAAATGGGTGGTGAATAAAGTGTGCCTTGCTATGTAAGATACAAGTCTCTCAGGTGATAAAAATTGTCTGGAGTAAATCTCTTCCTGATATAGATACCCTCTCCCGTGAAAATTTCCTTGTTAAATGTAGATTTCCTTTATAAAAGAACAGCTTTTCAGAGCAACTCCCATGTCTACAGTTTCTTAAAATAACCAGCTTGAAATAATCAATATCCCAAAGAGGTATATTTTGGGGTGGCACAGTCTAGTCACTGGCAGTTCTGTTTTGGAGTGGTATGTCCTGAGCCCCTACTCAGGCTCAAGCACCTACCAAAAGGGTCTTTATCCAGAAATCTACGTGGCTTCATCTGTGACCTCCTTCAAATCTTTGCTCAAATATTACCCAACCATCCTATTTAAATGTACAGTCCTTCCACCCCACCTCCAGCTGCCCTGCCATCCTTTCCTCTACTTTCTTTACCTCTCTGCTAAATCATTGTCAGACATGCTATATATTTTACTTCCTTATCTTGTTGGTTATCTGCCTCCCTTACTAAAACGTAAGTTCCACCAGGCGCAGTGACTCACTCCTGTAAACCCAGCACTTTGGGAGACCAAGGCGGGTGGATCACCTGAGGTCAGGAGTTTGAGACACCAGCTGGGCCAACATGGAAACCCAGTCTCTATTAAAAATACAAAAAATTAGCCGGGCATGGCGATGCGTGCCTGTAATCCCAGCTACTCAGGAGGCTGAGGCAGAAGAATCTCTTGAACCCGGGAGGCAGAGGTTGCAGTGTGCCAAGATCATGCCACTGCACTCCAGCCTGGGTGACAGAGCGAGACTCTGTCTCAAAAATAAATAAATAAATAAAAATAAAGAAATAAAACATAAGTTCCTTGAGAGAAGGGACTTGAGAGTAGGAACAATTTTGTTGTGGCCCAGTGCTTGGCAATAAATACTAGTAAAAATTGTTGTAAGAAATGTGAAAGGAAAAGAGACCCCAAACTCACAAAGGGAAAAGTTAAGCTTGGGAACTGAGTCACACAAAAACTGCCTTATTTTGGTTCCTAAACAGACAGCTGCAGCAATGGAAGGCCGCATATTTCCCCAGGTGACCTTTCTCACAAATTGCTCAGGAGGAATTCCTTGTGGGCTCCAAAGTCCTCACCCTAAGGCCAAGTTCTGTTGAATCTCACCAGTAATGGACTGTTCCTCTTTTCCCTCCTGCTGCTCTTTCCCCTTTAAGAATGGAAATCCTGAAACTGTCTTTGGAAAAAGGACAGGCCACAGAGCCTTCTGTAACTTTTGTCTCTTTTTCCCAGGCTTATCGTCAACCTTGGCAAAATAAACCGCTAAGTTGACGGAGATCTGTCTCACACACTTTTTTTTTGGTTTACGGAACAAATAAATGAAGGTTCTGTGGCAGGATCCAAACCCAGGTTTGCTTGCCCCAGAGTCTGTGCAGCTGGGTTCCAGGGCTCCACTGATCTAAACACACTCCCAGGATGTGTGTGAGAACCCCTGGGCTGCACAGACAGCTGGAGAGAGTCTCGAGGGGAGGAACGGCAGGCCCTGATGGCTCCCTCTGAGAACCACCAAAGTGCGTACTCCACGGGGAACCGTGGAGGCCCCACCAAGCACTGGCCCACATCTGTGGTTGCTGTGACCTTGGCTAAGTCACATCCCACTCCTCCCAGCCTCAGTTTCCATAGCTGTGGGATCTTCCAGCGGTGAGATCCTTGGACCCTGGGGTAAGGCCCAGATACTCCTACCCCACCGCTGCCTCTTGTAAACAGAGTGAGAGATTCCTGGGCCTGGGATGATGAGGCAGGTAAAGGAAACTAGCTATTGTCTCTGGGAACAATGGGGAACTCCAGAGGGGTTTGGGCAGGGAGGTGGGGGAGGGGCAGTGGCTGGCTCCAAGGAATGGATCTAGTCTTAGTTTACTCTCTAACCCCTGACTCTTCCTGGGATTAACTGCCCTCTCCACCACCTTCCCATCCTCACTTCCATTAGCTCCACCCCACCTCCCTTGCCTGCCCCAGACATTTTCTCCAAGGCGGGAACACTAAAGCTGCTGTGGATTTCCTCAGCATTCCTGGAAAAATAACCATCTTCGTCAGGAACAAAGCCGCCAGGGAGCAGTTTCTTCCAGTTCCCAGTTTAGCCTTGTGTCATGGATCCTTCCTGCACTTCCCTGACCTCTGCCTCCCATGCTCTGCAGGCAACTTTGAGGAAACTGACCAAATCTCCTGTTTCCTTAAGGTCAATTGAAAAAAAAAAAAAATAGTATCTGGATACCAACCTGTGAAGGTGAGGACTGTGGGCTGGCACTAAGTGGCCCCTGGGATCTGCCTTTGTGGTCCACTCCCCAGATGCCCAGGGCCATCCAGAAACATTCTGGATGATGCCCATACACAGGCATCAGTTAATCGGGCCAGACATGACAACATACATTGTGTGCCAACTGTGTGAAAGCCCGTGCAAGGCTCTGGGTCAATGGTGAAGAGGACAGACACACCAAGAGCCACCAGAGTGACAGACAGCAGATGGGGAAAGCAGGAATGATAGCAAGAGTTGCACTAGAGCTAATGGGTTCTTGCCAGACCCACGGGCACCGAGAGTCCTGCTCTTCCCACCCCTTCTGCATGTCTCCACCCAGGCGCTCAAGAGCATGCTGCGACAGGCCACTGCCTCCGCATGACTTGCATTAAAAACATGTGTCTGGGTCCCAGCTCGTGAAGTTGGCTGGAGGTGCTTCTGAGTTGGTCGCTCTGGAACCACATGCTGGCTCTGGGACCCTCTCTCAGGGCCCCTCTGGATGCCAGAGCAGGCTGTATATTGCACAGCGGGAGTTGAGAGTGGCACCTTCCGGAGCTGTGCTATGGGGTGGTCCCCCTCCCTAAAATGGGAATTATAATAATACCTACAGCTGACCAGATAAAGAGATGAGGAGAATGTGAGGCTCAGAGTTTGGCTACCAGGTAGGTGTCTCATAAATATTAGTTTCCTTCCTTCCACCCTTATGTCAGAGGCCAGCAGAGAACTTGCTGCTCCTTGGAGGCCTGATGCAAGGCACCCTGCTGCTCATGGGCAGCACTTAGATCAGAGGCTGGGGCTCTGTTAATGCTTGAAGAATCAAGGGAGGCCTGCGGAGGCTGTGGCCCCTCGCTCTGTCATGTTTCACTGGCCTGTTGTCCTCTGGGAAATCAGCATTGGTGTGGGGCCCTTCCTGTTTGTGGGAGGTTGAGGACAGCTCTGACCCCTAAACAAGGAGTTCTGACAAGGAGCCAGGGAGGCCTCATCAAGGGCAGGGTGTGTCAAGGGGTGATGTTACCAAGGAGCAGGTGGGGAGACCTTGGGGCCAGGAACCAGAGCCAGCCAGGTATAGGCAGTGTGGGTGGGGAATGGGCGGAGTTCTAGCCCAGGAACTGGGAGCTCAGCCCTGTCATAATCACAGTGCCTTTCTGCCTGGGACAACAGGCCAGAAACCACCTACCTGAGTGAGGAGCTAGGGCCTGAATGTGACCACTGAAAGAAGAGGTGATGCGCTTTGGAGGGATGGTCCCTTATCCATGACCATCATTCCTCTGCCCACCAATTCCAGGCAATGATAGACCCATGCACAGGCGACCGGGCAGTGGGACACACACTGGATATGCCTGTAAGACATGAGCAAAATGGGCCAGGGAGTTGGAGGTTGCCTGAAAGAGTAGCTAGCACAGACAGATGGGACTCCCCAATCCACAAGAACAGTTGTTCTAGCCAGGGAGGAGGAGGTGGCCCAGGAAAGGAGCTTGTATAGAATACAGCCATTGTCCCCACTGCAACAGCTGTTGCCCACTGCCCCCCACCCCCCACTCAGCTGACAGGACCCTGAGGGTGGGAGGTGGGGGCCCTACCCTCTCTGGCAATGCCTCAGAGGGAACAGTCAGTTGTTGGGGCAGGAGACAGCTGTTTCCTGGACAGTGAGAGGGATGAGGGTGGACAGAGGAGCTTGAGGAGAAGGTAAGGAAGGACATGCCTAGCATATCTGATGTGGGGAGGGAGAGCAGCAAAAACCACAATGCCACAGGGAAAAAAATCTAATAAAAACCTGATGGCCAGGCGCGATGGCTCACGCCTGTAATCCCAGCACTTTGGGAGGCTGAGGCAGATGGATCACCTGAGGTCAGGAATTTGAGACCAGCCTGACCAACAAGGTAAAACACCATCTCTACTAAAAATGCAAAAATTAGCCAGGTGTGGTGGCAGGCGCCTGTAGTCCCAGCTACTTGGGAGGCTGAGACAGGAGAATTGCTTGAACCCGGGAGGTAGAAGTTGCAGTGAGCCCAGATCGTGCCACTGCACTCCAACCTGGGTGACAGAGCAAGACTCTGTCTAAAAATAAAAAATAAAATAAAATAAAAAAAACTAGGCAAGACCCCAGTGGAGAAACAAATTTTTTATGGAGAAACCAAAAAAGAAGACCTAAATATTTGAATATTTGAGTGAATGAGGCAAGGTAATGGTCAGTAAAGTATTATGTTATAATTTTTTTTTTTTAAGAGGTAGGCTCTTCCTCTGTCTCCCAGGCCTGGAGTGCAGTGGCACAATCATAGCTCACTGTAGCCTTGACCTCCTAAGTTCAAGCAATCCTCCCACATCAATCTCCTGAGTAGCCGGGACTACAGGAACAGGCTACCATGAGCCACTGTGCCTGGCTATAATTGTTATAAAGATGTTAGTTCTGACCGGGCACGGTGGCTCATGCCTGTAATCCCAACACTTTAGGAGGCCAAGACGCTTGGATTGCTTGAGCCCAGAAGTTTGAGACCAGCCTGGGTAACATGGCAAAACCCAGTCTCTACCAAAAAATACAAAAATTAGCCAGACATGATGGCTTACTCCTATAGTCTCAGCTACTTGGGAGGCTGAGGTGGGAGGATGGCTTGAGCCCGGGAGATTGAGGCTGCAGCGAACAGTGATCATGCCACTGGACTCCAGCCTGGGTGGCAGAGAGAGACTGTCTCAAAAAAAAAAAAATTAGTTCTCCCCCAAATTAATTAGAAATTCAATGCAACTCTGACCAAGAATCCACCAATCTGTGTTTTTTGTCTTTCTGGAAGCTGATTGTAAAATTTATATGGGAGTCTCAAAAAAGAATAAAATAAAATTTATATGGGAAAAAAAGACCAAGAATAACCAAGTTAATGCTGAAGAAGAAAAAGAAGAGGGGGGCCAGGCGTGGGGGCTCACGCCTGTAATCCCAGCACTTTGGGAGGCCGAGGCAGGCAGTTCACTTGAGCCGAGGAGTTCGAGATCAGCCTGGGCAACATGATGAAACTGTCTCTACTAAAAATACAAAAGAAAATTAGGGGGCACAGTGGCACACACCTGTAGTCCCAGCTACTCGGGAGGCTGAGGTGGGAGGATCACCTGAGCCTGGGAAGTCTAGACTACAGTGAACCATGATAGCACCACTGTACTCCAGCCTGGGTGACTGGAGTGAGATCCTGTCTCTAAAATAAATAATGAAAGAAAGATAACAAAAATAAGAGGGCACTAGCCCTATAGATACCAATCTGGCCAATCTGGTAATATGGGAATGAAAACAGTGTGGCAAAATGCAAGAATAGACACAGTGACTAAGGAACAGAATAGAGAGATTAGAAACAGATCCAAGAACATGTAGGGGAGAGGGGGAAT
Organism: Homo sapiens; assembly: GCF_000001405.40. Taxonomy (NCBI): domain Eukaryota; kingdom Metazoa; phylum Chordata; class Mammalia; order Primates; family Hominidae; genus Homo; species Homo sapiens. The sequence goes on along the minus strand of NC_000006.12, from coordinate 44,199,027 downwards.
TGCTGGTCAGTGAAGGGACAAAAATGGTCAGAAATAGGGCTGGAACAGTTGGCCATCCCCAAAAGGAAAAATAAGATTTGATCCTCTGGCACATCAATTACAAAAATAAATTCTGGGCCAGGTGTAGTTACTCACGCCTGTAATCCCAGTATGTCTGGAGGCCAAGGACAGATCACTTGAGGTCAGGAGTTTGAGACCAGCCTGACCAACATGGAAAAACCCTGTCTCTCCTAAAAATACAAAAATTAGCTGAGCATGGTGGTGCACGCCTGTAATCCAGCCTGGGCGACAGACCAAAACTTAAAAAAAAAAAAAAATTCTGGTGGCATTAGAGATCTAAATGTATAAAGTCAAACTATAAAATATAGGCACTGGTGCCTGTAATCCCAGCTACTGGGGAGGCTGAGGTGGGAGAACTGCTTGAACCTGGAAGGTGGAGTTTGCAGTGAGCTGAGATTGCGCCACTGCACTCCAGCCTGGGCAACAGAGCAAGACTGTCAAAAAAATAAATAAGTAAATAAATTAAATTAAATATAGGCACAGATCTTTAGGAATTTGGGATAGGCCAGGCACGGTGGCTCACGCCTGTAATCCCAGCACTTTGGGAGGCCGAGGCGGGTAGATCACGAGGTCAGGAGATCGAGACCATCCTGGCTAACACGGTGAAACCCCATCTCTACTAAAAATATAAAAAATTAGCCGGGCGTGGTAGTGGCGGGCACCTGTAGTCCCAGCTACTCGGGAGGCTGAGGCAGGAGAATGGCATGAACCCAGGAGGCGGAGGTTGCAGTGAGCCGAGATCGCACCACTGCACTCCAGCCTGGGTGACAGAGCGAGACTCTATCTCAAAAAAAAAAAAAAAAAAAAAAAAAAGAGGAATTTGGGATAGTAGAGAATTATGTGTTGTATAGATTCTTACAAACTTTTTGTTATGGCAATTTTTTAAATTATGAGAATAGTATAATAAACTCCTATGCATGAGCCACCTAGCTTCAATAGTAAGTTGAGATCTTTTGATACTACAAAAGATACTACAAAGTGAAAAGACAATCCCCCGCAGGCTGGAAGGAGATATTTGCAGTCCATATAATTGAAAAAGATTTAGTATCAATTACAAGTAACATACTTTTATAATCAATAGGGCCAGGAGTGGTAGTTCACCCCTGTAATCCCAGCATTTTGGGAGGGTGATGCAGGAGGATCACTTGATCCCAGGAGTTCAAGGCCAACCTGGGCAACATAGTGAGGCCCTGTCTTTATTAAAACATAATATAATATAATCAATAAGAAAATGACAGAAAAAGAAACAAAGGATCAGAGGTGGCAATCTCCTGAAACATGAGTAAGTAATCCATAAATGTGAAAAGCTAGTTATCCCTGACAATGGAGAACTGCAAACTATACCCAGAAAGAGTTACCACATCATACTCCTGAGAAGTGGCAAGTCATAGGGTACTGGAAGGAGAGGTGGTGCTTTTTTGTTGTTTGTTTTTTTGAGACGGAGTCTCACTCTGTCACCCAGGCTGGAGTGCAGTGGCATGATCTCAGCTCACTGCAACCTCCGCCTCCTGGGTTCAAGCGACTCTTCTGCCTCAGCCTCCGGAGGAGCTGGCATTACAGGCGTCTGCCACCACACCCAGCTAATTTTTGTATTTTTAGTAGAGATGGGGTTTCACCATGTTGGTCAGGCTGGTCTCGAACTCCTGACCTCAAATGATCCGCCTGCCTCCGCCTCCCAAAGTGCTGGAATTACAGGCGTGAGCCGCCGTGCCCAGCCTGTTTGTTTGTTTTTGAGATGAAGTCTTGCTCTGTCCCCCAGGCTGGAGTACAGTGACTCGATCTCGGCTCACTGCAGCCTCTGCTTCCTGGGTTCAAGTTATTCTCCTGCCTCATCCTCTGGTGTAGCTGGGATTACTGGCTAATTTTTGTATTTTTAGTAGAGATGGCATTTTGCCATGTTGGTCAGGCTAGTCTTGAACTCCTGACCTCAGGTGATTTGCCCTCCTCAGCCTCCCAACATGCTGGGGTTACAGGCATGAGCCACCATGCCCAACCTGTTTGTTTGTTTTGACACGGAGTTTTGCTCTTCTTACCCAGGTTGGAATGCAATGGCGCCATCTCAGCTCACTGCAACCTCCGCCTCCCAGGTTCAAGCGATTCTTCTGCCTCAGCCTCCTGAGCAGCTGGGATTACAGGCATGTGCCACCACATCCAGCTAATTTTGTATTTTTAATAGAGACAGGGTTTCTCCATTTTGGTCAGGCTGGTCTTGAACTCCTGACCTCAAATGATCCGCCCACCTCAGCCTCCCAAAGTGTTGGGATTACAGGCATGAACCACTGCGCCCGTCCTGTTTGTTTGTTTGGAGACCGAGCCTTACTCTGTAGCCCAGGCTGGAGTACAGTAACGCAAATTCCGCCTCCCGGGTGCAAGTGATTCTCGTGCCTCAGCCTTCTGAGTAGCAGGGATTACAGGTGTGCATCGCCACGCCCAGCTAATTTTTGTACTTTTAATAGAGATGGGCTTTCACCCTGTTGGCCAGGCTGGTCTCAAACTCCTGACCTCAGGTGATCCGCCAGCCTCAGCCTCCCAAAGTGCTGGCATTACAGGTGTGAGCCACTGCTCCCAGCCTAAAGAAAGAGTTTATAACACAATGATTTCAGAGGGCAATTTGGCACTATCTGATAAACCTGGAATTGCATGTTTATTATTTATTTCCCTGGAACCCAGCAATTCTAAACTGTAGGGGTGGCTCTAGAGAAACTCCCATAGATATGATACGGAGATATGTACAAGGATGTCCAGGCTGGGAGTGATGGCTCTCGCCTATAATCCTAGCACTTTGAGAGGCCGAGGCAGGAGTTTGAGACTAGCCTGGCCAACATAGTGAAACCCTGTCTCTACTAAAAATACTAAAATTAGTTGGATATGGTGGCAGGTGCCCGTAATTCCAGCTACTCAGGAGGCTGAGGCAGGGGAATCGCTTGAACCTGGGAGGCAGAAGTTGTAGTGAGCTGAGATCATGCCACTGCACTCCCGGCCTGGGCAACAGAGTGAGACTCTGTTTCAAAAAAAAGGAAAAAAAGAAACCAAAATTGTCCATTCATGTTCTTTATAATAACAAAAAAAATTAGAAACAACTTAAGTGTCCATGAATAGGAGAATAGAAAAGTAAATTTAGATTTATTCATAAAACAGAATACAGCAGATAAAATGAAAGTACTATCTCATGTATCAAAAGGGATAAGTATCAAAAACATGATACATAACGTGAGTAAAATAAAACCAAATGGCAAAAGGATATGGGCCAAATTACATATTTGTAAGAATTTATGATACATGAACAATAATATATATTTTTGTGGGTGCATATCCATGTAGTAAAAGTAGAAACATAGCCAGGTATAGTGGCTCATGCCAGTAATCCCAACGTTTTGGGAGGCTGAGGTGGGAGGATCACTTGAGCCCGGAAAGTTGAGGCTGCAGTGAGCCACAATCATGCCATTGCACTTCAGTCTGGGTGACAGAGTGAGACCCTGTCTCTCACACACACATAAAAAAAAAATTACAGCATAGATGGGAAAGACAGAATTTCAGGAGAGTGGTTCCCTTTCAGGGAGAACGGGCAGAGATGGCGATGTTCCACAGGGACAGGAGGAGACTATAGCTGTTTCAGTAATGTGTTATTCCTTTAAAAAAGAAAGAAAGTGGCCAGGCGTGGTAGCTTGTGCCTGTAATCCCAGCACTTTGGGAGGCAGAGGTGGGCAGATCACTTGAGGTCAAGAGTTGGAGACCAGCCTAGCCAACATGGCAAAACCCCATCTCTACTAAAATTACAAAAATTAGCTGGGCTTGGTGGTGCGCACCTGTAATCCCAGCTACTCGGGAGGCTGAGGCAGGAGAATTGCTTGAACCCAAGAGGCGGAGGAGGTTGCAATGAGCTGAGCTTGTGCCACTGCACTCCAGCCTGAGCAACAGAGCAAGACTCTGTCTTAAAAATAATAATAATAAATAAATAAATAAAAAGAAAATGGAAAGAAATAAGACAAACTGTTAACACTTTAATCTTGGTGGCGAATATACGGCAGTATTCTGTTTATTATTTGCTATCCTCTGTATTTTATTATTATTCTGCACACCATCTATGTAACATGGTGTGAAACATGTACTGGTCTCCCTAACCGCTGCAGTCTTTCTCTAGATCTCCCAAACTCTCTTCCATCTTTTTCCCTCCCTTTCCTTCCCGACCTCCCTCAAGTTTCTGGCTCCCCAGAAGTCGAGGCAGTGTGGCCTGGCAGTTAGGGAGTGCGGTGCTGGCAGGCAGGCCTCTTGCTTCCAGCTGTCCCCGAGCATCCTCCTTTCTGTCCTCAGTGTCTCCTTGGGTGTCTAGAGCTGACCCCTTTCCACCCTGCCTTTCCTCTCCAGCCCCCGTAGGCAGGAGTTGGCTCTTTGTGCCAGGGATGAGGGATCCTGCTGGAGGTGAGGCTGCCATCAAGGGAGTGGAACAGGATGGGCAAAGAGGGAGGCTGGGGGTGACCTTGCCACGCCACACCATGGCAATCCTGGGAGTGCAGCCTGCTCCCTGCATCATGGCCCAGAAGGACTGCAGGTGCCCAGCGGAGCTCTGCTTATCACTCTCCTCTGCTCCTTGAAAATCCAGTGGATGCCCCTGCCCAGGCTAGCCTATTTTCTTCCCCCCTTGCCCCATCTTCCTCTTAATAAGAGAGTTCTGGAAATATGAGGGAAGGGACTAGAGACTTCATTCTAAGAGTGATGAGGACCTGGAATGGTGGGTTTGGGGAAAATACATTTTTCAATACCACTAAAGGCAAGTCCATACCAATTATGACAACAGATGTCGTTAAACTTCTCTGTGTTTAGTTCACCTGATGAGTATTCTAGTTGGATCTGATAACATATATATCAAAGAACAGAAAATATTGGAATAGTTCTTTTTAAAGAGCTGCTACATTTTGAACATATCTCCAAGAAAGTGGGTACCTGCACAAAACTCTACCTATGGAAATTACTTTTTTTTTTTTGGAGACGGAGTTTTGCTCTTGTCTCCCAGGCTGGAGTGCAAGGGCACGATCTCAGTTCACGGCAGCCTCTGCCTCCTGGGTTCAAGTGATTCTCTTGCCTCAGCCTTCCGAGTAGCTGGGATTACAGGTGTGTGCCACCACGCCCGGCTAACTTTGTATTTTTAGTAGAGACAGGTTTTCACCATGTTTTGGCCAGACCAGTCTCGAACTCCTGACCTCAGGTGATCCACCAGCCTTGGCCTCCCAAAGTGCTGGGATTACAGGCATGAGTCACCGCGCCTGGCCAGAAATTACTGTTAGAGTTAGAATCATGCTAGAAGAGAGCGGCTGTGTGATTGGATTCATTTTAGGTGGAGAGGGCAGCTCTGAGACCAAATAATAGGAATAGTATTATTTCATAGAAAGACAATATGGGGTGATAGTTAAGCAAATGGACTGTGGAGCTATGCTGCCCACGTGCAAATCCCAGCTCCTCTACTGCCAGTGTGGAATCTTAGGCAAATAAGTCATTAGCCATTCTGTGCCTCAGTTCACTTTTCTGTGAAATGGAGCCAATTTGTTAGGATTAAGGGCATAATACAGGTTGAATGTTAGAATGGTACCTGGTATAGAAAACATGTCAGGTGCAGTGGCTCACACCTGTAATCCCAGCACTTTGGGATTACACCCAGCCTGGGTGACAGAGCGAGACTCTATATGGAAAAAAAAAGAAAAAGAAAACATAACAATGTAAATATTCAATGACTAGTAGCACTCTTTGTTATATCCCAGAGCTCATATTCATTTATCCTATTATTATTTACAAGTATATGGTTCAATTGGCCCTTATAATTTTCCCCTGAGTGTTCTCTTCCTTGACAGATGAGTAAACTGAAGTTCAGAGAGGGCCTCGGTGACAGAAAAGGGTGGTAGGAAGACAGTCAAGGTAAAAAAGTTTGTGCATCAGACCTGGGAGGGTTCCAATTCCAGCTGGGGCACTTTGGCCCTTAAGAGGCATCCTGGATGGAGAGCTTTGAAGTTCAAAATAGGAAGCGGTCACGTTAGCTGGGACCGCCATTGGTTGCTTTAGTCAACACACTCTTGTGCAGGCTCTCGAAGTACATCAGAGAAAAAGACAGTCCTGCTCTCAAGATATGGTCAGTAGGAGAGGCAGGAGGAAACAGGAAATTACAAGACAGAAAAAGAAATGGCCTGCACCTTAGGAGTCCAGGACACTTGGCCAATGTGTGAAAAGTGAGAGCTGGCTTCCTGGAGGGTGGAGCTTTAACCCGAGGCCTGGAGGAGTGGCCAGAGAGAGAGGAGGGCTTCCAAGAAGAAAAGAGGGGGTGTCCTGGGAATGAAGAATGGGTAGAATGTGACAAACAGCCCCTCTATCCATGCTGTAGGGAGGGGGTTAGGGTTCAGGTGAGGAAGAATAGGAGCAGACGGGAGCCAGACAGTGGGGTGAATTCAGGAAATGCTTAGCGGACCTGAGGCGTCAGCCAGCCACAATGCTCAGGCGAGTCCTGGACGTCCTTCCTGGCTGTGTCACTTACAGAAACAGGGAAACCAGGACCCTTTTGGTGGATGAGGTGATGATCCAGGTTCCCAACAGGATTCTGAAGCCCTGTGAAACCTAGCGTTTGACGTCTCTGGAGGGAGTGGATGGGGGGCAAGAGAAAAGTGGGTGGGGGAAGGGGGGTCAAGGAGAGAATGAAGCTGTTGTGGGGATGAGCAGGATGGGAACTTGGAGATTCCCACGTCAGCACCTCACTCACCTTCCTTGGAAGACAGAATAAGCCCAGAGAGCTGTCCAACAGGTAGGAAAGTGCAGTTACAGACTCCCACAGGGATGGAGTCAGTTTAAGACAATTATTTTGAAATTACTTTGTAAATAAACACACACACACACACACACACACACGCAAGCGCGCACACACACAGAGGCACTGATAAAGAGCAAGAAGAGGCCGGGTGCGGTGGCTCACACCTGTAATCCCAGCACTTTGGGAGGCTGAGGTGGGCAGATCACCTGAGGTCAGGAGTTCAAGACCAGCCTGGCCAACATGGAGAAACCCTGTCTCTACTAAAAAATGCAAAAATTAGCCGGGCATGGTGGCACGTGCCTGTAATACCAGCTACTCGGGAGGCTGAGATAGGAGAATCGCTTGAACCCAGGAGACAAAGGCTGCAGTGAGCCAAGATCCCGCAACTACATTCCAGCCTAGGAGACAGAGTGAGACTCTGTCTCAAAAAAAAAAAAATTATAAGAAAAAACAAAAACGGGCTGCGCACAGTGGCTCACGCCTGTAATCCCAGCACTTTGGGAGGCTGGGGGGAGCTGATCACCTGAGGTCAGGAGTTCGAGACCAGGCTGGCCAAGGTGGTGAAACCCCATCTCTACTAAAAATATAAAAGCCAGCCAGGCGTGGTGGTGGGCACCTGTAATCCCAGCTACTTGGGAGGCTGAGGCAGGAGAATCGCTTGAACATGGGAGGCAGAGGTTGCAGTGAGCCTAGATCACACTATTGCACTCCAGCTTGGGCAACAGGAGCAAAACTTTGTCTCGAAAAAGAAAAAGAAAAAGAAAAAGAAAAAAAATGTCCAGTACAAAAATGGGCAAGGACAAGAGGCTCAGGCAGGAGGATCACTTGAGCCCAGGCGTTCCAGGCTATAGTGCCTGATGATCCCCCCTGTAAATAGCTGCCATACTCCAGCCTGGCAACATAGTGAGACCTTTAAAAAAAAATGTATATATATATATATAAAATATGTAACTCTATATTCTTTGGGAACATATATATAACATATATGTTACATATAATATATGTATTTAATATATAACATATGTTATATATACACATATATATGTAACATATATACCATGTTATATATAACATATATTTCATATATATAACATATATGTTCCCAAAGAATATAAAGAGATAGTTCATAGAAAATAAAATGCAAGCAAAAGCAAAAAATGAACAGTTGCTCAATCTCATTTGCTGTAAGAGAAATGCAAATTATGGCTATGCTGAGATACCATTTTTCTTCTACCAGATTAGAAATATGTAAAAACTTGCCCACACACGGTGTTTATGAGTCTGTAGGGGAAAACGGCAGTCTCTTATCTTGCTTGTGGGAGTACAAATTAGTATTACCCTTATAGAGGGGAATTTCCTTTTTTTCAGAATTACTGATATACATACTCTTTAGCCCAATAATCCTACTTTTAGAAATTTATTGTATAAAAATATTTTACTGGGATAAAATAACATGTATAGTGTTATTTATTGCAGCACTATTTATAATAATGAAAGATTGGAAAAAACTGTCAACAAAGAACTGCTAAATAACGAGACTTTAATCCAGTGCAATACTATACAGCTATAAAAAAAATAAGGAAGATCTCGGCCAGGCACGGTGGCTTATGCCTGTAATCCTAGCACTTTGGGAGGCCGAGGCGAGCAGATCACTTGAGGTCAGGAGTTCAAGACCATTCCTGGCCAGCATGGTGAAACCCCGTCTCTACCAAAAATATAAAAAATTAGCCGGGCATGGTGGCGGGTGCCTGTAATCCCAGCTACTCGGGAGGCTGAGGCAGGATAATCGCTTGAACCCGGGAGGTGGAGGTTGCAGTGAACCGAGATGGCGCCATTGCACTCCAGCCTGGGCAACAAGAGCAAAACTCCAACTCAAAAAAAAAAAAAAAAAAGGAAGCTCTCTATATACTAATAGAAAAATATCTCCAAGATATATATTTTAAAATTGCTTTTAAAAATAAGCTAGCTATTGGGCTAGGCACAGTTGCTCATGCCTGTAATCTCAATACTTCGGGAGGTCAAGGCAAGAAGATCATTTGAGCCCAGGAGTTCGAGACCAGCCTGGGCAACACAGTGAGACTGTCTTTACAAAAAATTAAAAAAAAAAAAAAGCTGGCCATGTTGGCGTGCACCCATAGTCCCAGCTACATGGCAGAGTGAGGCAGAAAGATCACCTGAGCCCAGGAGTTCAAGGCTGCAGTGAGCCATGATTGTACCACTGCACTGCAGCCTGGGCGACAGAGGGAGACCCTGTACCTAAACAAAACAAACAAAAAGCAACCACAAAAAAACAAAAGAAGCTAATGAGCTCATCCTGCTTTACTTTTTCTTCACTCAGCATCTTCTCAGGCTCTACAGCTGTGGCTGGGTGGCATCTAGTCTGCTGCTTCTGTTGCATGGCATTCCATGGTTTTCAAGCACATTTGGGACCCAATTTTCTCAGAGACCAGAGGATGAAGCTGCGAAGATATTCTGAGGGAGAAGAGAAGTGGGGTTGAGGCTGTTTCTCTGATGTAGCCTCATTCTTTGCAGTAAAAATGAAGGCTGTAGTGAGAGGTCTGGGGGAAATCAGGGCAGTGGGTGTGGAGAATGGCAGTCAGTCATCAGGAGAAGAAATCTAGCTTGCCACGTGGCCTCCATCGAGGTCAACCAGCATGAATCAGGAGGATGCAGGCAGCATGGTTTAGTGCCCATTCCCAGCAAAACTCAGCCACCTGGTTTTATGAGCAGAGGACTAAAAGGGACTAGAAAGTATGGGCTGCCTGCCTGTGGTTACAGGTCCCTTGGAGACAGCAAGGACATAGTGGGAATGGCCTCCCAGGGCACTAAGGCTGAGCTGGGATGGAGTTGCAGTGAAGTTGGATGGAAATGGAGCCTGAAGGGACTAGAAGAATGGTGTGCCTCATTTTCCAAATTTTAAATAACATTGTATATAGCCATTGCTAATAATATTTAATGCAAGCAAATGGTAAACACTAATGTCAAGGACTATTGTAAATCTAATATGCATCTTGCTTATTCAACTGTATGTCATAACCCTCATGCCATTTGTGTTATTTAGTTCAATGGCTTGATATTTTATCGTGTGTAACATCTAATGTGTATTTATTTATTTATTTTTGAGACAGAATCTCCCTCTGTTGCCCAGGCTGGAATGCAGTGGTTTGATCAGAGTTCTCTGCAGCCTTGAACTCCTGGGCTCAAGCAATTTTCCTGCCTCAGCCTCCCGAGTAACTAGGACTATAGGCATGACCCACACCACTCCTGGCTATAACATGTTCACAATTGAAAATTTGTTTTTTTTATTTTTTTACTATTATAGATAATATCAAAGTTTTTTTAAAAAAGAATGATATGCCTAAGTGCTTCACTTTCATTATCGCAGTTGTCCATACAACAGCCCTCTGAGATAGGAATTGTCACCTCTAATTGACAGATTCAAAAGGATACTCTGTTAGAAAGGTAAAATAATTTGCCCAAAGACACATAGCTCGTGAATCTTCACCTTAAGCCACTATGCAAATTGTTGGGAAAAGAAAATAACTTTTATTTGGTGAGGTGGCAGGTGCCTGTAATCCAGCTTCTTGGGAGACTGAGGCCTGGGAATCGCTTGAACCTGGGAGGCGGAGGTTGCAGTGAGCTGAGATCGCGCCACTGAACTCCAGCCTGGGCGACAGAGAGAGACTCTGTCTCAAAAAAATAAAAATAAATAAAATAAAAATAACTTTTATCTGAGGAATGCAAATCCTTTTAATTATCAGACCCAGAGAGACAGTAACATGACACACAATTGCACCCTATACCCTGCACTCCCCTTTAAGTTATGTATTCATCTCTTGAAACTGCTTGCTACTTCTACAGGTAGCTATAAATTATCCTAATAATGGGACACCAGACACTATAGCCAATAACTAATCAATGTTATTTCTGAAAACCGGTGAGAATTCCTAACAAATAACTTTGTATCATTCCACTCACTGTCCTCCTTTTTTACCTTTCTTTTCTTTTCTTTTTTGTTTTTTGAGACGGAGTCTCACGCTCTCACCCTGGCTGGAGTACAATGGCGCAATCTTGGCTCACTGCAACCTCCATCTCCCGGGTTCAAGCAATTCTCCTGCCTCAGCCTCCCAAGTAGCTGGGATTACAGGTGCCCACCACCACACCTGGCTAATTTTTTGTATTTTTAGTAGAGACGGGGTTTCGCCATGTTGGGCAGGTTAGAACTCCTGACCTCGTGATCGGCCTGCCTCGGCCTCCCAAGGTGCTGGGATTACAGGCGTGAGCCACTATGCCCAGCCCTTTTTTACCTTTAAAAATGCATTTTGGGCCGGGCACAGTGGCTCATGACTTTAATCTCAGCACTTTGGGAGGCTCGGGGGGGTGGGCGGTGGGGCAGATTACTTGAGGTCAGTAGTTTGAGGCTAACCTGGCCAACATGGTGAAACCCTGTGTCTACTAAAAATACAAAAATTAGCCATGCATGGTGATGTGCACCTGTAGTCCCAGCTACTCAGGAGGCTGAGGCAGGAGGATCACCTGAGCCCGGGAGGCAGAGGTTATAGTAAGCCAAAACTGTGCCACTGCACTCCAGCCGGGTGACAAAGAGAGGCCCTGACACACACACACACACACACACACACACACCCCAAAACAAAACAAAACAAAAACCTTTTTGTTTTTTGAGACAAGGCCTCGCTCCGTCACCCAGGCAGGAGTGCATTGGCATGATCACATTTCACTGCAGCCTCGACCTCCTGGACTCAAGTGATCCTCCCACTTCAGCTCCCCACACAGCTGGGACCACATGTGTGCGCCACCAGTCCTGGCTAACTTTTTCTTTTCTTTTTTTGAGATAGTCTCACTCTGTCACCCAGGCTGGAGTGCAGTGGCACAATCTCAGCTCACTGCAACCTCCGCCTCCCGGGTTCAAGCGATTCTTATGCCTCAGCCTCCCGAGTAGCTGTGACTACAGCCGTGTGCCACCACGCCTGGCTATTTTTTGTATTTTTAGTAGAGATGGGGTTTCACCATGTTGGCCAGGCTGGTCTTGAATTTCTGGCCTCAAGTGATCTGCCCACCTCAGCCTCACAAAGTGCTGGGGTTATAGGTGTGAGCCACTGTACCCAGCCTAAAAATCCACTTGTAACTGCTGCTAATCGGGATGTATATTCAGAATAATTTGAATCTATTCTCCAGGGTTACAATCCTTAAGTTTAGCCCAAATAAACTCTCTACTTATGTGAAGTTTGCTTCATTTTATGTTTACAGAGTGTTCGTGAGTAACCAGCTTTGTTACAAACCGGAAGGGATAGTCCTGATTTGAGAGTTTTCTGCTTCCTTTCCATCCTGGCTTGAAGTTGGCAGCATTTCACCCTAGGCCATGGAACAAGAGGTGGGGTCAGCATCTTCCTAGGGTTCCCAGAACCAATCCGGACTGCCCGGGACCTCTCAGAGTCTCAAAGGACCTGCTAGGTTTTTGTTTTTAAAAGATGGAGTCCCCGTGTTGCCCAGGCTGGTCTCAAACTCCTCAGCCTCCCGAGTAGCTGGGATTACAGGCATGTGCCACCATGCCCAGCATGGACCTGTTAGCTTGAGGCTCTCACTGACCTCTCCCTGCTCTCTCTGGGGACTTTTGCTCATCACTCAGAGAAGCTCTGTGGAGAGCAGGTGGTGGCTGCCATCTCTTAGAGAGAGAGGGAGGACGACAAGTGGGAGAACAGTCTTTCAAAGAGGCTCCAAAGAGAGTGTGACCTATTCTTTCAGGCAGGACTGGAGACGGAGAGGAAGCAGGGAGGGCTGACAGGACAGGAAACGATTCCTCTGAAGGCGGCGTGGGGTGGTGATAATGGAGGGAAGGCGGCTTTATATCCAGGCAGACTAGCTTTAGTCTTTGAAGTCACAAAGAAGGCAGGGGCCAGGGCTGGTGCAGACAATCAGTCACCAGATTAAGGAAGATCAGAATCCCACCTGCCTCACTAAGCACACAAGGGCTGGGTTTAGTGCACGTGGAAGGAAGCTAGCGACCCCAGGAAGCTGCACAGGTACACAGAGACAGGAAGGGTTTAGCTTCATTGGGGATGACAGATCTCTAATCTAGGGGAAGTTGGGGGTGCTGTCTCTACCTGAGAGGCTGAGAAGCGCATGTGCTTGGGCTCCAGTGTCCCTGCCAGAAACCAGAAGGGGAGGCTGTGGAGGGCTCTGGAAGGACAGGAGGAGAAGTACAGTTTAGGGGCTGCTGTGAGTGGCCTGGGTGTTCTCACTACTGCAGGGGGCTGGGGCTGGAGTTGGGGTGTGGGCACCTGGGACAGAGACCCCGAGGTCAAAAACAGGTGGACCCAGAAATAAGTGTTTCTTCCATGCCTCCTGCAAGGACAGTAGCTTGACAAGCAACAAATTTCTTTTTTTTTTTTAATTTTCTTTTTAATTCTCAGCAAGGCAAGTTACTTCTATATAGAAGCGTGCGCCCTTATAGATGGAACAATGGTGAGCACACATTTGGACAAGGGAGGGGAAGGGGTTCTTATCCCTGATGCACGTGGCCCCTGCTGCTGTGTCGTTCCCCTATTGGCTAGGGTTAGACCGCACAGGCTAAACTAATTCTGATTGACTAATTTAAAGAGACTGACAGGGTGAGTGCTTTGGTGGGAGTCAGGGCAGAGCAGGTAGCAGGTGATTGGAATAAATTAGGGTGGAGCAGGTGATCGGAATGAGTCAGGGTGGAATAGGTAATTGAAAAGGTTGCTTTACGAGGAAGTGAAGTTTAAAAATAGAAGGCAAAGAATTGAACATACTGACATATTAATTCTTTGAAAAGAAATTTAGAACTCATATCTAACAATCCCTCCCCTTGTATTTCCTTACAGCTTTCTTTTCATACTTTTTTTTTTTTTAACATGTCTTGACTTAGTTGCTTTGCTTGATTTTCTAAAAGAAGAAGCTTCTCTGGATAAGGTGGAGGATAGTTAAGGGAGGTTTTAGTAAGTGGACAGGCAACAAATTTCTAACAATAATAATAATGATTTGAATCTGAACACCTTTAAGGCAGGAACGAGTTCACCTATTGCCACAGTCCTCAGCCTTCCCAGTCCCACACGAGGAGGATTTGTTCATTTATTTATTTAAATTGTTTTTGAGACAGAGTCTTGCTCTGTCACCCAGGCTGGAGTGAAGTGGTATGATCTTGTCTCACTGCAACCTCCACCCCCCAGGTTCAAGCAGTTCTCCTGCCTCAGCCTCCCAAGTAGCTGGGATTATAGGCGCGTGCCACTACGGCCAGCTAAGTTTTGTATTTTTAGCAGAGACGGAGTTTTGCCATGTTGGCCAGGGTGGTCTCAAACTCCTGACCTCAGGTGATCCACCTGCGTTGGCCTCCCAGAGTGCTGGGATTACAGGCGTGAGCCACCGCGCCCGGCAGTTCGTTCATTTATGTGACCTGCTGGCTGCAGGTGTCAGATTTTTAACCTTCGAGGCTCCTGCAGTGCCACCTTTGGGGACCCCAGTTTGAAGCAGCAGATGAGAGTCCTGGAGCCCTGGCTCAGCCCCCGTAGAAGCGCTCCACCATAGGGCACACCACACAGTTCTTCACAGGGAGGGACTTGTGTGCTTAGCATCTGGCACTGCCCATAAACGCCAACTATGGCCTCTAGTTATTGTGACAACTGCACATTTCTATATGCTCCCTATCACCCTTGGCTGAGAGCTACCCAATCCTTTGGTCCTGGGTAAGTGACTTCCACCCTTGCCAGTCTTTTCTTGGCATAAAAACACAGAGACATGGAAGCCAATGGCATGTGCTATTTATTAGAATAGTATCCACAGATGGGGAGGAAAACAGAGGCTGTGCCAGGATGGGTGGTCAGCAGGTAGGTGTGAGCAGGACAGCAAGCATGGAGGGTAAGAAACGGGCTACAAGTCCCTTCCCTATTCTTGGCCTCCCCAGCCAGGGGGACCCTGGGGAAGCATCAACTACTCTTTAGTAAAATATACTCTGAGAGAGCGATGGTGGGGGAAAGCCAGCCATCAGAAGCCGGGTTGGGGAAAAAAGAGAAAGCCTCTGAGCTGGGGGAGTGGGCACGGAGGTCCCACTGCTGCAGTAAACACGGCACCTGGGACCCGGGCACTGCCACCTGGAGCCCATTTCATCAGCAGAGACCGGAGAGCTGAGGGCTACAAGAAGCACCCCACCCTCCTGGGCTAGAACCTCGCTGCTGCTGCTGCTGGTAGAGATGACCAGGCTCCTACAGCGCCTCTATCCCCACATGGTCATCTGCAGCCACTGTGGAGACAGGAAGCAGATCCCAGGGTGGGAAGAGACGGGGGCAGGATGCTGGCCCGGGGACATCAGAGCTGGGTGGGGGTGGGGTTGAGGGGCAGGCAGGTGCAATCCTGCAGATTCCTTCCCACCCTTCTCCAAGTACCTGTTCCAGGCTCAAGCAAATATGGCCAGTATTCTTGGGGTCCATGGTTAGAAAGAATGCTGCGTTACAGAGGAAGCGGGGGAGAGGGGCTGAATGCTAAGTCAGTGTTCCGAAAGAACCACTCCCAACTAGGTAGGAAGGGGCGACACCAGGTGTTCCTGGCTGTTCCCCACATAAATCCCCTAGCCAAGTGGGGAATTAATGATAGCAACTCACATAGCCTCACCAGGAGCCAGGCCCAGTTCTGATTGCCTTCCATAGACTAACTGGTTTAACCTGCACCTCAGTCCTTTGAGGGCAGTACTATTATTATCCACATTCTAAAGAGGAGGGAATGGAGGCACAGAAAGATTAAGTGACTTGCTCAAGTCACCTCTGCCAGCAAGTGGCGGAGCTGGGCTTTGAATCCATTTCATGTGTGCCTTGTAAGGGGGAGGGGATCTGGAGCAGCACCCATCAGGGTGGGTGTTTGGGAAAGGGCCCGCGGCCCCTGGCCTAGGCTGGGGAGTGGGTAGATGCCTAACTCACTGAACATGGTCTTTAGCCTCAGGAAACAGCTGATGAAGCTGTCAAAGTCTATGATCAGGTCATCATCTGCATACCTGGCCACCAGGACCTGCATTACCTTGTTGTTCAGCTTGATGCCTGAGAGAGGGAGAGAGAAGTGGGGAGGGGAAAAGTCTGGGCCTCTGGACACTGCCATCCTCTTCCCTGCCCCAAGGCCCACTCCTGACCCTTGGCCACCTGCTTTCTCAATAACCAGGCGCATCTCATAGGAGTTCAAGGTGCCTGAATGGTCCTGGTCACACTCTCTGAAGATGTCCTGAAGAGACAGACAGATATGGTAGGGCCACATGCATGGCATGGTGGTTGAAATAATGAAATACTGAGGCCGGGCGCGGTGGCTCATGCCTGTAATCCCAGCACTTTGAAAGGCCGAGGCAGGCGGATCATCTGAGGTCAGGAGTTTGAGACCAGCCTGGCCAACATGACGAAACCCCGTCTCTAATAAAACTACAAAAATTAGCTGGGTGTGGTGGTGCATGCCTGTAATCCCAGCTAGTCAGGAGGCTGAGGCAGGAGGCGGAGGTTACAGTAAGCAGAGATCGCACCACTGCACTCCAGCCTGGGCAACAGAGTGAGATTCCGTCTCAAAAAAAAGAAAAAGAAATACTTTAGGACAGTTGGCTCACAGCAGTGGCCTAAGACCCCATGCCCCCCTCCAACCCTGGCCCACTCCTGATATTCCTATCATCTGGTGACCTAAGGGTTAATTCCAAGCATGGGTTGTCGGGGGCACTGGTGCCCTGCCCAGCGCTCTTTGTGTGCATCCTTCATGACTAGATGATACCTGAGCTATACTTGTTATAAAATATTTTGACTGGGTAATATGCCACACTCCAACAGACCCTTTTCATGTGTGTGTGTGGTGTGGTTGTGTCTGTATGTGAGTGTGTGTGTGTGTGTGTGTGTGTGTGGTGTGGTTGTGTCTGTATGTGTGTGTGTGTGTGGTGTGGTTGTGTCTGTATGTGAGTGTGTATGTGTGTGTGTGAGTGTGGTGTGGTTGTGTCTGTATGTGAGTGTGTATGTGTGTGTGAGTGTGGTGTGGTTGTGTCTGTATGTGAGTGTGTATGTGTGTGTGTGTGTGGTGTGGTTGTGT
Organism: Homo sapiens; assembly: GCF_000001405.40. Lineage (NCBI taxonomy): Eukaryota > Metazoa > Chordata > Mammalia > Primates > Hominidae > Homo > Homo sapiens. Next base: position 44,182,103 of record NC_000006.12, on the reverse strand, counting down.
CTGTATGTGAGTGTGTATGTGTGTGTGTGTGTGGTGTGGTTGTGTCTGTATGTGTGTGTGTGGTGTGGTTGTGTCTGTATGTGAGTGTGTATGTGTGTGTGTGAGTGTGGTGTGGTTGTGTCTGTATGTGAGTGTGTATGTGTGTGTGTGAGTGTGGTGTGGTTGTGTCTGTATGTGAGTGTGTATGTGTGTGTGAGTGTGGTGTGGTTGTGTCTGTATGTGAGTGTGTATGTGTGTGTGTGGTGTGGTTGTGTCTGTATGTGAGTGTGTGTGTGTGTGGTGTGGTTGTGTCTGTATGTGAGTGTGTATGTGTGTGTGTGGTGTGGTTGTGTCTGTATGTGAGTGTGTATGTGTGTGTGTGAGTGTGGTGTGGTTGTGTCTGTGAGTGTGTGTGTGTGTGAGTGTGGTGTGGTTGTGTCTGTATGTGAGTATGTGTGTGTGAGTGTGGTGTGGTTGTGTCTGTATGTGAGTGTGTATGTGTGTGTGTGAGTGTGGTGTGGTTGTGTCTGTATGTGAGTGTGTATGTGTGGTGTGGTTGTGTCTGTATGTGAGTGTGTGTGTGTGTGAGTGTGGTGTGGTTGTGTCTGTATGTGAGTGTGTGTGTGTGTGTGTGGTGTGGTTGTGTCTGTATGTGAGTGTGTGTGTGTGTGTGTGAGTGTGGTGTGGTTGGGTGTGTGTGTGTGTGTGGTTAGGGCTTGGGTTCTAGCTTCCCCTCATTAGTTCCATCTCTCCTAAGACCCTCTTTTCCTCACCCCTGGAGGCTGCCCCTTTAGTGCCCTTTACCATCCATTTCTTGAGTTTTTTCCACAGGATCTTGAACTCTAGAAGCCCCAGCTTGCCAGAGCCATCTTTCTGGAAGGTGGTCAAGGACAGCAGAGAAGGAGTGAAGAAGGCATCCCAGGGGATAGGGAAGCAGCGGGGGTTCCTGAGGGGACACACAAGCCCTGGGGTTCCGGTACTGTAGCAGCCAGAAGAACTGGCATCTTCTGCTACCCCAGAGCCTAATCCCCATCAGGGAGGAGGACGTGGCTGGCCCAGGGTGGCCATCTCTGGGCCAGGCTTGTGGGCAGGGGACAGGGCCAAGAGAGCACTGGACAGGAGGATACATCCATGAGGTTGATCATGCAGCGGCAAGCATCCAGGCCAAAGCCCTTGGTCTTGAAGCTTTTGACTGTGAGGAAGGGAAGGGGTAGAAAGGAGAGACAGGGTAAATGAGGTATCGTGGGGGCACTGGGAGTGATCAAGAGGGGCACAAAATATGGGGGAGGGGTCGTGTGCAGCAGGAGTGGAAGACTCACATTTGATGGCCATCCTGTTGAGCAGCCTCTGGAGCTCATACACCCCTATCTCCTTGCCCTAGGAAGGGGAACTGTGAACCCCACTCGGGCCCCTCCAGCCCCTCATCCCCCTCCTGTCAGCCCTCCGCTCGTGGCCTGCTCACCTCTCCTGCCACTATCTTAAACAAATGTAGGAAGTCCTGGTCCATGTCATCCTCAGAGACCTTTTCCTGGGGGCCGGGGAGCAGGAAAGGGACCTGGTCAGAAAACTTCTTTCACAGGCCCAGGAGCTTCCTTCCAACCCCCAGCCCTACAGTCTCCCCTCACCTCTTGGAGTTGCTCAGCATAGTTGACTTCATCCAATTCCCTGGGCAAAATGATTGAAAGCTCAAGAGTTACCAGGGGGAGGGAGGTGGGGGTTTTAGTGGGGTGCTCTGGGGGTCATGTCATGTCTTTGAAGCAATATAGGGCAGCTCCATGGAATATGGGTTCTAGTTCTAGTTCTGGTTCTGCCACTAACTGGGACTTCACCTTCTCATGCCTCAGTTTCCCTGACTGTAAAATAGGGACAAAGTGAGGGAGGACCCGACAGCAGCTCCCTGAGCTTGATATCCTGCAGCTCTTGGGTGGCGGGCCTTGGAGCAGTGAGCTGCAGCCCCTTACCATGACTCGCTGTGCTTCTCGGTGAAGACCCGAAGCAGGAAGTCAGCATCTCTGTGTGGCTCAAAGGTGGAGGGAATAATGATATATTCCCCCGGAGGCAGCCGGAGTTGGCTGCTCACCTCCCGTGAGTTGGTGAAGATCTCTGAGAAGCCGTGGTCCTGATACTTCGTGAAGAATTCCTTCTTCAAGTGGACATCCTGAATGTTCTGAAACTATATGCATCCTGGAAGTGGGTACAGGACTGGCATGGGAGGTTAGGGAGGGAGGGTCCCCCAGGGTGAACAGCCTGGCCGGGCAGGGTTGGAGGTAGGTGCCACCACCAACTGACCTGGCCTGGACACCATCTAAGTGGCCCGCAACTCCAACAGGGTCTCTTCCTTTCCCGACCCCTACCAGCCCTGAAGAGGGCTGGAATCCTAACCCAGTGACCCCCAGAGCCTCTCGCCAAATTCCACCCTTTGCCAATCCACTTGCAGCCAGGGGTGGAGTGGGTATGTGTCCAGGAACAAGCCCCACATCTTTATCTTCTGTACCTCTTTTGGGACCTGGGAAGGGAAGAAAGAGGAGAGTCAGATCTCTAGGGTGGTGAAGGGCCTCAGGCCTTCAGAAGCCAAGTGGGATGTGTATAGTGTGTGTCTGTGTGTGTGTGTTGTTGGAGGGGTATTAAGGGCACTGGGATACTGGTGGTGGAGTGGGGCACGGGCTCTGACAGTTCAAAGGTCCTGGCATTAACAATCCCTCTGCTGCAGAGGTGGGAGGATTGCTTGAGCTGGAGGTCAAGGCTGCAGTGAGTCACGATCATGTCACTGCCCTCCAGCCTGGGCAATAGAGTGAGACCCTGTCTCAAAAAAAAAAAAAAAATTCCTTCAGCTTTGGATAGGAAAGTACAGTTTATGCAAGGTAGATTTTTATCATTCCAGGTTAAGGGAAGGAAACAGAATCCCAAAGATGTGAGGTGATTTGTCCAACCTCAGATGGCTGAAAAGTGAAAGAGTTAGGATAAAAATCTAGGACAGTGTTTTGCTTTTCCGTGGAACACTCATATCCTGCAGGAAGTGAATAGAAGATTACTAAAATTGAGGATCGAGGACAAATAAGTTTGTAAAAATGTGAGTTAAACCAAGTTAAACAGGTTGCTCTATTGCAGAGGTGGCTTATCAGCACCTCAGTGTGCTTGTGTGCACCGGAGAGCTCAGGCTGCAGTAGTCTTTCCTGAGCTTTTTTAACCTTGAAGATGTCTTTGAGACAGGGTCTCACTCTGCGCCCAGGCTGAAGAGCAGTGGTGCGATCATGGCTTGCCGCAGCTTCGACCTCCTGAGCTCAAGTGATCCTCTCACCTCAGCTTCTCGAGTAGCTGGGACCACAGGTGTGTGCCACCATGCCCGGCTAATTTTTTTTTTTTTTTTTTTTTTTAATCGAGACAGGGTCTTGCTGTGTTGCCCAGGCTGGTGTTAAATTCTTTGGGCATCCTCCAAGTGATCCTCCCACCTCGGCCTCTCAAAGTGCTGGGATAATAGGCATGAGCCACCTCCCCCAGCAAAAATGTTATCCTGAGGCACCAGTCTGTTAGCCTGGTGGACTAATGGCCCTAAGAGTAGGGCAAGGCTTGTGTCTGTTTTGCTCACTATTGAACCCCTGGAGACTGGACAGGGGCCTGGCACACAGTAGATGCTCCATAAATACTTGCTTATATAAGGGAATGCAAGTGAATGAACAACATTCTTTTGGAGAATGTGGAGAATTTTGCAAAGCATGGTTTGGCTTGGGAAATGCTTATCAGGGCTTTCTCTTGGCTCCTGGAGTGAGTACTGCTGGTGGGGCAGACAAGGGGGATGGATTGTCGGGCGGGGCGTGTGGAGAAGTCTCAGAGCGCCTGGGAATCAGGACACAGGCTTGGCCTCTGACCCTTGGATGTGTGAGCTTGGGCAAGTGACTTCATGTCTCTGGCCCGCAGGCTCCTTCCGCTTCCTTAAAGGCATTAGTAGTTAGTATTCCTAAGACCTTTGGAACAATGCCTGGCACAAAGGATGAAATCTGTGAAGAGAAAACTGCCGGCTCTGGCTTGAAAGGCACAAAGCACCATTCAAGAGTCAGGGCTCAGCCTGGGCAACATAGTGAGACCCTATCTTACGAAAAATTTTAAAAAACTAGCAGGACAATTGCCTGTAGTCCTAGCTAGTCAGGAGGCTGAGGTGGAAGGATTGCTTGAGCCTGGGAGGTCAGGGCCGCTGTGAGCCGTAATCACGCCACTGCATTCCAACCTGGGCAACAGATTGAGCTCCTGTCTTAAAAAAAAAATCAGGGCTGTGAAGCCTGTTGGAGCCTGTCCCTCTCCCAGGCAGGAAGTGGCCCTGGGGAGAAAGGAGTGAGGCCAGGCAGCCGGGTGTGGTGGCTCACACCTGTAATTCCAACACTTTGGGAGGCCGAGACAGGCAGATTACCTGAGGTCATGAGTTCCAGACCAGCCTAGCCAACATGGTGAAACCCCGTCTCTACTAAAAATACAAAAATTAGCTGGGCATGGTGGTGCACGTCTGTAATCCAGCTACTGGGAAGGCTGAGGCACGAGAATCACTTGAACTGGGGAGGCTGAGGTTGCAGTGAATGGAGATTGTGCCACTGCACTCCAGCCTGGGCAACAGAGTGAGACTCTGTCTCGAAAAAAAAAAAAGAAAGAAAGAAAGAAAGGAGTGAGGTCAGGTGAGGGAGAGTGAGTGGCGGGCGAGACCAGCCAGGCACCCACCGCGTAGAGGACAAAGCCAATGGTCTGCAGCTGGGCTCCCTGCTGCCGTGCATGCCGCCAGTTCTTCTGCATTAGGGCCACCAGGCAGGTGCAGACCACAACATTGCCCTCTGCGTCATCCTCTGGGTCATCCCCCTCAGGAAGAGAGATCTTAAACTGGGGGTTGGTCCAGAACGTGCCTGTGGCGGAAGTGGGTCAGCGTGGTTATACGGGGGCTTCCCTTGGCCACGCCCTTCCCAGGGTGGACCGAGCTTCCCCAGCCACACTGGAGCTGTCTCCTCCACAGGGGCTGTGAAATCTGACTAACCCTTGACCTCATGGACCCTGACTCCGGTGACTCGTGCCCCAGGTCTGGTTTCGTGGTGAGCCGTGGCCCATCCTTCACTCCCTGCACACCCCCTCCCCTCTCACCCCTCACCCACCAGGGTGGTTCCTGCAGCCCCCTGCGGAGCTGCCTCTGCGCCAGCTGCCCTCGTAGAAGGTGGTGTGCCAGTAGCTCTTGTAGTCCCCAGAGAGTGTATCAGGCGTGAGGTTGCAGATCTCCAGGAGCGTGAAGTTGTTCAGGAAATCTTGGTAGGACATCCTGTGGTGGGGTGGGGGTGGAGCCCGTCAGCAGCACACTTGCATCCTCAGTTCCCTCTCCCTGAACCACCCCCCACAACCACCCCAAGCCTCCCCATCCAAGGCACAGAGAGGAGCGGAGCAGGGAGATGAAGGACCAGGGCCTAGGGTGGTGGTAAGAAGCCCACCCCAAGCCACACTGACCAGAACTCCCCGTCCTCCGTCTTGTGCAGCAGCTGCATCTGGATGTCTGAGGCCACCTCTTCCCACTCCCTGGCACTGGAGCAGAGATGGGCGGTGGAAGGAGAGGGGCGGAGGTCATGTGGCACCTCCTTCCTCTCCAGGGGACTGCCTCTTCCCTGAATGTCTGCCTGCTGGGGTGCGGAGCTAGATGGAGAATCTAGAGGGAGGAGCTTTGCCCTGTTGTACAGGTTGTTCTCCTAGATGGGACACCAGTCGGTCCACCTGGCACCGCCTGCTGTATCCTCCGACCACCCCTCACCTGGGTTGGGGACACCTACCTGTCACTCCAAGCTCCATTCCACTCAATCCGGCCCCAGGGATTCCGGACCCGAATCAGTGTTTCCATTTTGCCTCTGTAGTGGACCTGGGTGGGCGGGGGTGGTTAAAGGTCAGAGTTATGGGGTCAGGGAGACGTTCTCCTCCTTCTCAGGGTCCTCAGGGTAGGGCGCATTTCTCAGGACTCACATCCTGAAGGCCAGTCACAGAGTAAGCGTGCCCTCTCACCAGCATCTTGTCAGTCATGGATTCCAGTTCACTATCACTGGTGACCTACAGAACAGAGAGGGAGGGAGAGCATGGAGGGCATGGAGGGCATGGAGGACCTGGACTGGGCACCCAAAGGAAGGGGCGAGCTCTCCAGGTTAATTTTTTTAAACTAAACTTTTAAATTATTATCATTATTTTGAAATAATTGCAGATTCACATGCAATTGTAACAAATAATACAGAGAAATCCCGTGTATCCCATACTCAGGTTCCCCCAGTGGTAACATCTGGCAAAACTACAGTGAAATATCAAAACTAGAACGTTTTAAAAATTATTATTATTATTTATTATTATTTGAGACAGAGCTTTGCTCTTGTTGCTCTTGGAGTGCAGTGGTGAGATCTCGGCTCACTGCAACCTCTGCCTCGCAGGTTCAAGGGATTCTCCTGCCTCAGACTCCCAAGTAGCTGGGATTACAGGCGCCCGCCACCACGCCTGGCTAATTTCTTGTATTTTTAGTATAGATGGGGTTTTACCATGTTGGCCAGGCTGGTCTTGAACTCCTGACCTCAGGTGATCCGCCCACCTCGGCTTCCCAAAGTGCTGGGATTACAAGCATGAGCCACCGCACCCGGCTTTATTATTATTTTTGAGACAGGGTCTCGCTGTGTCACCCAGGCTGGAGTGCAGTGGTGTGATCTCGGTTCACTGCAGCCTCAACCTCCCAGATTCAAACGAGCCTCTCACCTCAGCCTCCTGAGTAGCTGGGACTACAGGCTCTTGCCACCATGCCCAGCTAATTTTTGTATTTTTAGTAGAGATTGGGTCTTGCCATGTTGCCCAGGCTTGTCTCAAACTTCTGAGCTCAAGCAATCTGTCCTCCTCAGCCTCCCAAAGTGCTGGGATTGCAGGTGTGAGGCACCGTGCCCAGCCCAGAATGCTGATATGGATGCAATCTGTAAACCTTATACAGATTTCCCCAGTTTTACAAGTGCTCACTTTTGTGTGCTCTATGCAATTCCATTATGTGTAGTTTCATGTAGCCACCACCACTGTCAAGATATAGAACATTTCTATCACCACAAGCATCCCTTGAGTCGCCCTTTTATAACCAAACCCATCTCTTCTCATGACTCCACCTCCCTAAACCTTGGCAACCACTCATCTGTTCTTAATTTCTATTATTTTGTCATTTCAAGAATGTCATTTAAGGCCAGGCACAGTGGCTCACACCCGCAATCCCAGCACTTTGGGAGGCCAAGGCAGGCGGATCACCTGAGGTCAGGAGTTCAAGACCAGTCTGGCCAACATGGTGAAACCCCGTCTCTACTAAAAATACAAAACTTAGCCATGCATGGCAGCAGGTGCCTGCAATCCCAGCTACTCAGGAGGGTGAGGGAGGAAAATCTCTTGAACCCAGGAGGTGGATGTTGCAGTGAAACGAGATCGCATCACTGCACTCCAGCCTGGGTGACAGAGTGAGACTCTGTCTCAAAAAAAAAAAAAAAAAAAAAGAATATCGTGAATCATGCAGTGTGTAACCACCTTTGGAGGGGATTGTCTTTTTTTTTTTCTTTTTTCTCAGCTAATTAATTTCTTTTTTTTTTTTTTTTTTGGTAGAGATGAGGTCTCACTATATTTCTTAGGCTGGTCTTGAACACCTGGGTTCAAGCAATTCTCCCACCTCAGCCTCCCAAAGTGTTGGAATTACAGGCATGAGCCACTGCACCTGGCTAGGGTTGGCTTTTTTCATTCAGCATAATTCCCCTGAGATCTGTCCTAGTTTCTCTGAGTATCAATAGTTTGTTCTTTTTTATTGCTAAGTAGTATTCCACGGTGTGTAATAAACAGTTTGTTTAACCATTTACTCATTGAAGGACATCTAGGTTGTTTCCTGTTTCGGGGCTATAATGAATAAAGTTGCTGTAAACATTTGTGTACAAACATTTTTGGAGACATGTCTTCATTTCTCTGGGATAAATGCCAAGAATGCAGGGTCATATGTAGCACCCTGGGTTCATGTATTTTGTCGAGCAAATGTTGGTTGGGTGCCTATTGCATGCTGGGCTCCTTCCTAAGTTCCAGGGTCCAGCAGTGAATGAGACAAAGAAGGTCACTGCCCTCATGGAATGTGACTACTATCTGGAGAAGATGGGCTATGAGTGAAAACATAGATAAGCAAGATAATTTCAGGTCACAATAAATGTTGGGGAGAAAGTAAAAACCAGATAGAAAGTAAACAGGGCTGGCTGGGCACCGTGGCTCATGCCTGTAATCCCAGCACTATGGGAGGCCGAGGTGGGTGGATCAGTTGAGGTCAGGAGTTCGAGACCAGCCTGGCCAACATGACAAAACCCCTTCTCTACTAAAAATACAAAAAACTACGCAGGCAGGGTGGCACACGGCTGTAATCCCAGCTCCTTGGGAGGCTGAGGGAGGAGAATCACTTGAACCCAGGAGGTGGAGGTTGCAGTGAGCCGAGATCTTGCCACTGCACTCCAGCCTGGGAGACAGAATGAGACCCTGTCTCAAAAAAACAAAACAAACAAACAAAAAAAAACAAAAAGAAAGTAAATAGGGTGGGGACGGCGACTTTAGACGGGGAGGTAGGGAAGGCTAGTCTGGGGAAAGGGCAGTTGAACTGAATGAGAAGGTGCTGGCCGTGCAGATACTGGGGGAAGAGCCTTTTGGGTGACAGCAACAGCAGGTGCAAAGGCCCTGAGGTGGGACCATGCTTTGCTTACTTCAATGGAGCAACCCATGAGGGAGGATCGCTCCACGGCCTTCCTAAGGAGCCTGAGCAGGTTCTGAGGGGGCCTCTGGAGTTGGAAGCTCTGGGCCACGCCTCCTGTGAAGTCCTCAAGGCCCTCCATGGTACTGCCCCCTGACAATGCTTCATAGGACCCACTCAGCCTGTGGGCACAGAGAAGGCACTGTTGGGCTCTAGGATGGAGGTGAGGGGAGGGAGGGATGTCCTGCTACCCCCTCCCCTCCCCCTGATTCCAGCTGTCCAGACAGAGGCAAGGCAAGCCCCCTTCCTCAGCTCCCAGCACTCACTTGGCATACGCCTTCTCCAGCAGGGCACTCCAGAACTCACTGCGTTCGGTTGAGTGCACAAACACCAGCTTGTCATTCTTTGTGGGCAGCCGGTCATCTACCACCACGTTCACCCACTGTCCAAACTGCCAAATCTGTGGGTAGCAAACACACACCCCTTGCGTGGGAACCCTATCATCAAGCGCCTCCTAGTGGCCAGACCTGATGACACGCCAGTGTCAGAGGCTCCACTCTCCAGAATCACTGAATAGAGAGGGAAAGGCAACCCAAAGCCTGAGCCCGGCCCCGCCTCCTCTCCAGCTTCTGCCACGGTCTCCAGAGGGGAATTTGTCCACACATTGCTAAGTCAAAGGGGCAGATTACAAAAATTATGTGACAGAGACTACCAGTGTCACACACACCCACACACACAGTGGAGAGGAAGAGAAGGAGAAGGGAGAAAGAGCCACAAATTGCTAACAACTATTTTCTTTTGGGACTTAAAAAATTAGCTTACATGATTTCTTTGGTGGGCAGATATTTCTCTGATAATTAGTCCAAAACCCACCCTAATAAATGCTATTTTTCAAAAGGAAAGAAGGTAAACTTCAAAGCATATATGATTCTTCCCCCGCCCCCAACAAAGCCACAGTGGCTCTCACACTGTCCTTCACCTGAAAATGGAAGATGCCAGCATAGTTTTTCTTGAAGCTCTGTCCTCTGGGCACCACGCGGTATAGCAGTTTGGGGCAGGTGGTAAGGGAGCCGATGGCAGCCAGCAGCCAGCAGTCCCCTGGAAAGACAGGCAGGGCTTTGCCACCCCTGAGCAACCCCATATGTGTGGGTGGGCCTCAGAATCCAAGGCCTAGGGGAGCAGGAACTTGACCCTGTACCCCATTCTCACCCCCCCGGCGGAGAGGCACCCTCCCTCAGCCCTCCCACTAAAGAGTGTTCAGGAAGGAGGTAAACAGGGAGAAACTGAAGGCGGAGAGACTCTAGTAAGGTGAGTTTCTGTACATTTTCTTTTTTGAGTCAGTGTCTTGCTGTGTCACCCAGGCTGGAGTGCAATAGCATGATCTCAGCTCACCGCAACCTCTGCCTCCTGGGTTCGAGCGATTCTCCTGTCTCAGCCTCCTGAGTAGCTGGGACCACAGGCGCCCGCCACCCCACCTGGCTAATTTTTGCATATTTAGTAGAGATGGGGTTTCACCATGTTGGCCACGCTGGTCTTAAACTCCTGGCCTCAAGAGATCTGCCAGCCTTGGCCTCCCAAAGTGTTGGGATTACAGGTGTGAGCCACAGTGCCTGGCTGTACCTTTTCTATTATGTGAGAGACACATCCTTTTGTTTTTCTTGAGTTTGGAAAAGAGGTACTTTTGGCCTCAGGCTCTAGGAACCTATTTTTTTTTAAAGTAAATTTTTATATATAAGTAGAGACAGAGTCTCACTATGCTGCCTAGGCTGGTCTTGAACTCCTGAGCTCAAGCAGTCCTCCTGCCTTGGCCTCCCAAGGTGCTAGGATTACAGGTATGAGCCACTGCACCTGACCAGTAACCTGCTTTCTTTGAGACAGAGCCAATACTCTCCACATTCTTCCAACAGATCCAGTCACCTTCCTGCACCCTGTGAGTACACTGGTGTGGCCACGAAGTTCCCAAGAGGTCTCTCCCTCATGTCACCCACATTATATTGGGGACCCAGGGCTCAGTATGTGCCCCAGCAGGGTCCCTGGAGCTAGGCATTGAAGTGGGTATGAGGCAGTGTCCCTGGCCTGAAGTTCGGCTAAAGGGAATCCTATGGGAGATGAGCACTACAGACCTCCATTGCCACCTGTCTCCTAGGCATCTCAGCCCTTGCTGGGTGGGGTCCAGGGGCAGGGTGCTGTGCATCCTACGCCAGGCTGAGGTTGAGGGAGCAGAAAGTTTCTATGATTACCAATGGCCTCTTGGCTGCCTGGAGAGAGGAATATCAAGGGCGCTCCAATCCCCCTCACTGTTAGAGTGCCTCGGAGAAGTGAATTCCCTCCTCCAGCCCATTGTCCCTCCAGCCTACTGAGCCACAGCGGCCACAGCAGCGGCCCTGGGGTCTAAGGTCTCCTTGGCCTCTGCTCTGCCCACACCTTGCCCTTTTTTCTGCCCCAAGGGGACAGAATTCAGTCTCAGAGAAAGCCCACCCTGGCTTTATCCCTAAAGAGGCAGCGAGGGATCTGGAAGAAACCCTTGAACGGGACCAGACTTAGGGAGAAAGATCTACCCTGGGGCTTTCTATGGGAGCCCTGTGAGAGTGGGCTGAGTAGACCCCGTTGCCCTCCTATTTGATACCCCAGATTGATCGGGTTCTAGCACCTGTAGTGGTTTCTACAAATTCTTTGACCATCCTCCCTTCCAAAGGTAGAGCCTAATTCCTCTCCTCTTGAGTGTGGACCAGATTCAGTGCTTGCTTCTAACAAATAGAATATGGTGGAAGTGATGATGTGCAACTCCTGAGACTAGGTCAGAAAAGGCATTATGGCTTCCTCCTTGTCCTCTCTCTTAGATAACTCGCTTTGGAAGAGCAAGCTACCACGTTGCGTGGACACTCAAGCAGCCCCATGGAGAAGCCTATGTGGTGAGGAACTGGGGCCTCCTGCCAACAGCCAGCAAAGACCTGAGAGCTCCTGCCACGTAAGTGCACCCTCCTAGGAGCAGACCCTCCAGCCCCAGGCGAGCCTTCAGATGATCACAGGTTGCAGACGTCTTGACTGTAACCTCCTGATAAACCCTGAACTAGACCCATCCAGTGATTCTGCTTCTGAATTTCTGACCCACAGGAACCGTGAGATAAGAAATTTTTTTTTTAAGTTGCTAAGTCCTAGGTAATTTATTATGTAGTCAAATGTAACTAATATTCCCCCCGCAAGACCCAGGCTGCAGCAGGCAGGGAGTGGCATCCAGACTTGGGAGGGGCAGGAAGAATGCACGGTGTTCTCACTGTCATCTCCTCAGAAGGGGAGGGACAGGGGAACAGAAGCAGGCTGTCTGACCTCAGGGCTCCCTGTTTCCCAGCTTCAAAAGACACCCTGGCACCCCTCCCCCAATCCTCTTGCCCAGGTGGAGACCAGCTTCCTGTGCCCCACTCACCGAGGATCCCCTGGCAGATGTCTGTTGGAGAAATCCCATCCATGATGAATAGAGGGTTGTTTATGATATCCTGCAGTGAAGGAATAAAGGTTTCAGGGGGCCCAGGACACCCCCTCCCCACCTTTCTCCCACTTTTGCTGGGGAATGATGCCCACCTTGAAGTTCCAGGGGAACAGATATGAGGGGCAGGGAGAGGGTACAGGACCAACTTGGCATAGCTGCAGCTTGTGATAGCAGAGGTTGGTGGGTGATTTCCTTAGGGTTACCTAGGAGGTTTGGCTTAAGCATATTCAGAACTGTCCCCAGCTCTGATGAAGGTGGGGCCTAGTGCCAGGGTCAGAATGGGGTAGTGGGGGGTTGAAGATTGAAGATTCTAAAAGTGATAGAGGGATCACTACAAGCTCCCTTCCATCCATGAGTCCATGCCTCCCTTCCAGTGCCCACCTTGGGCCGCTGCCAGGAGATGTTCTGCACATTTTTGGAGTTGGGGCCCAGGTCCTTGAAGCCCAGTGAGCTGGGTTCAGCAGGGAATAAGGGGTCCTCGAAGAGCTCCCCCTTTCTTAGACAGGCTGCTCGCAGCTCCTCAAAGCTCTGGTTACCAAAGTTCTGGGCGTTGTCGTGCTGGCCCACGCCCTTGGCCTTGAGCCGGCTGTTGTTTATGTGAGCCACCATTCCCGTATCAGTAAAAGTGGGCTCTGCTTAAGAAAAAAAAAGAGAAATAACGCAAGTAAAAAATGTAATAAGCTGGGCACAGTGGTTCACTCCTGTAATCTCAGCACTTTGGGAGGCTGAGGTGGGAGGATCTCTTCAGCCTAGGAGTTTGAGACCAGCCTGGGCAACATGGTGAGATCTCATCTCGACAAAAAAATTTTTTTTAATTAGCTGGGCATGGTGACGTGTGCCTGTAGTCCCAGCTACTCAGGAGGCTGAAATGGGAGGATCACCTGAGCCCTGGAGTTCGAGGCTGTGGCAGTTTGAGGCTGCAATGAGATGTGATGGCACTCCAGTCTGGGTGACAGAGCAAGACCTTGTCTCTAAAAAAAAATAAATAAATAGGCTGGGTGTGGTGGCTCACACCTGTAATCCCAGCATTTTGGGAGGCCAAGGTGGGTGGATCACCTGAGGTCAGGAGTTCGAGACCAGCCTGCCCAACATGGCGAAACCCTGTCCCTACGAAAAATACAAAAAATTAGCCGGGTGTGGGGGCAAGATGCCTGTAATCCAGCTACTTGGGAGGCTGAGGCAGGAGAATCGCTTGAACCCAGGAGGCGGAGGTGCAGAGCTGAGATCATGCCACTGCACTCCAGCCTGGCCAACAAGAGCGAAACTCTGTCTCAAAAATAAATAAAAATAAATAAATAAATATTTTTTTTAAATGAAAGAAGACAGTCACAAAGAACCCCATATTGGCCTGGTGCAGTGGCTCATGCCTGTAATCCCAGCACTTTGGGAGAACAAGGTGGGCGGATCACAAGGTCAGGAGTTCGAGACCAGCCTGGCCAACCTGGTGAAACCCCGTCTCTACTAAAAATACAAAAATTAGCTGGGCGTGGTGGCGGGCGCCTGTAATCCCAGCTATTCGGGAGGCTGAGGCAGGAGAATTGCTTGAACACAGGAGGCAGAGGTTGCAGTGAGCCGAGATGGTGCCACCGAACTCTAGCATGGGCGACAGAGTGAGGCTCCATCTCAAAAAAGAAAAAAAGAGAAAGAACCCCATATTGCGCGATTCTATTTATATAAAATGTCTATAGAGAGAGACAGAACGTAGATTAGGGGTTGCCTGTTGCTTAAGGAGATAGGAGATTAGAAGTTGATGGCTAAAGGGTATGGGGTTTCTTTGGGAGGATAATGAAAACAATCTAAAACTGGTTGTGGTGTTGGATGCATAACTGTGAATATACTAAAAGCCACTGAATTATACACTCTGTTTTTTGGGTTTTTTTCCATTTTTTTTTAAGAGGCAGAGTCTTGCCATGTTGGCTGGTCTTGTACTCCCACCACACCCAGCTGGAATTGTACTTTGGAATTATCCTTTGGTTTTTTGTTTTGTTTTTTTTTTCAAAACAGAGTCTCACTCTGTTGCCCTGGCTGGAGTACAGTGGCTTGATCATGGCTCACTGCAGCCTTGACCTCCTGGGCTCAAATTATCTTCTCATCTCAGCCTCCTGAGTAGCTGGGACCACAGGTGTGTGCCACCATGCCTGTCTGATTTTTTAACTTCTAATTTTTGTAGAGACAGGATCTCACTATGTTGCCCAGACCGGTCTTGGACTTCTGGGTTCAAGCAGTCCTCCAGTCTTGGCCTCCCAAAGTGCTGGGATTACTGGCATGAGCCACTGCACCCAGCCAAATGGTACACTTTAAATGGGTGAACTGTAGGGTATTTGAATTGTCTCTCAATAAAGCTGTTTTTTTTTTTTAATGGCCTCCAGACCATCTAAACAGATGCTGCTATTTTTTTTTTTTTTTTTTTTTTTTGAGATGGAGTCTCATTCTGTTGCTCAGCCTGGAGTGCAGTGGCATGATCTCGGCTCACTGCAACCTCTGCCTCCCAGGTTCAAGTGATTCTCCTGCCTCAGCCTCCTGAGTAGCTGGGATTACAGGTGCCCACTGCTACATCTGGCTAATTTTGTATTTTTAGTAGAGATAGGGTTTCACCATGCTAGCCAGGCTGGTCTCGAACTCCCGAACTCAGGTGATCCACCTGCCTCAGCCTCCCAAAGTGCTGGGATTACAGTCATGAGCCACCACGCCCGGCCTAGATGCTGCTCTTTTAAGGAGAGTGGAAATAATGGAGTGTAGAGAGCAGAGGGCAGAGGGAAGGGCTGCTGGTGTCGGACCGGGTCAGATAATGGCTGAGCAGGTGGCACTGGGCGAGTGTCAGGGTAAGAGTCGAGTCAGGCTGACTGATGGATCCCGGGCCTGCCAGGCGGCTTGGGACTCTGGACATCCTGCCCACACCTCCGCCCCCAGGGGGACTGCAAACTGCCAACATCCCTTCCTGAGGGTAGCCTCCCCTCCCCCCGCCGCCCTCCCCACACAACATGACTGACTTCCCCCACCAGCAGGCCCAGGGGAAGAGAAGAGAGTGAAGGAGGAGGAAGAAAAAGGGAGGCCACAGAGCCACGACGGGTCTGCAGTCCTACCCGCACATGAGCCCCGAGGCTTATCCTCCTGTGATCCATCCAGGCTCTCTGCTGACTCCGGAAGACTCGGCCCTAGAATAAGAAAGAGTGGGAGGAGGGGAGGAAGGCTGTGGTCTAAAGTTAAACAGAGCCCAGCTGGGGCTGGGGTGTAGGAAGATTTTAGAATGAGGAAAAGAACTGGGTTGGGGCGCAGCTACAGGGAGGGCAGCAGGGTTCTGGGGTTGTTTAGAGGTGAGACCCTGCTTGAGCCCACAGAAGGGTGAGTCCCCCAGAAGCAAGAGCAGGAGGTCTCAGTTAGTCCTCCTCCCCTGAGTGACAGAATCAAGAGACTAGTTATAACAGCAGAGCTGACAGCACTGAGCACCTTCTCTGTGCCAGGCACGCCAGCCCTACAAGGGGGTACCTGCAATACCCTGATTACTGGGAAAGGGAGCAGAGGCCCAGAGGCTAAGCAGCTTGCCCGAGGTCACAGAGTGAGGGTTGGGCGCGGGGTGAAATCCGTACTGCAGACCCTGGACCAAGCTAGCAACCTTCACTCTATGCTGAGCCTCCTGAAGGGAAGTGTTTCTCCTCAGCCTGAAGGCTGGCAGAACCTGCCCCATCTCTGTTAACAAAGGCATCGACAGATGATTCATTGCTGAACTTATCCCCCTTCCTCTTGCCACTGCCCCAAGCAAACCCCTTCTCCTGTTCCACACGAGTACCTCCTTGGGATTTCCTCAGGTCCTATAATGAACCCCTGTTCTCCTGGTCCCCCAAGATCCCAACACACCGCATCCCACATCAAAACAGTCATGGAGTCCTTCACAAGGGCATCCCCTCCTAGGACCCTAATTTCTCATTGCTACCATCACTGTCCGAGGCCAGGGCCTTCAGACAACCCCCAGACCTCAAATGGCCTCTTGTCTCCTGAAGACCCTCTCCAATTCATCACATATGCTCCCCCGACCACATACCACACCAACTCCCTTTGAGTGAGGTTTTGAACCCTTTACTGCTTCTGGAAACTTTCAGGACATCGCTTTGCCAGCAGGATAAGGCCAGCCCCCAGAGCCCCCTCCAGCCCTGGGCCCACTACTCCCAGTACAGACCCATCCCTTTGACCCCTCTTGAGTGTTCCAGACTTGGGGAGACCCTGTCTGTCCAAGCAGCTTTCCTGAGCTCTGTGCCCCAGGAGAGACAGTCCCTCCAGCAGTCTCCTCAACCTCATCCTCCCCTTCCCTCCACCTAGCCAGTGAGCTGGGGATCTTCCCAGACCCTGTCACTATGTCCCTTGCATTGTCTACTGCACCCTCTTAGCATCTCTCCTGTCCTCCTCCACACAGCCCGCGATAGGGGCTGCCCCTGTGCAGAGCCACATCCAGTGCAGTAAGCAAGGACTGGAAGCCAAGCATCCCCTCACAGGGAGGCCTCCCAAAACATCACTTTATCTCCCCATGCCTTGGCTTCTCCACCTGTGAGATGGGTGATATTCTAAAGTGTTTGCATTTGTTTCTGACACAAAACTCACTCAATAAATTAACCTTAAATAGCAAAAATCTAGGCCAAAAGAATGATTCCCCAACTGGCCCCTTTCTTCTAACATCCTCCTCCCCCACTAGTTCTCCACAGTGTTAGCTGAGATTTTGAAAATGCAAACCTGGGGCAGCATGGTGGCTCACCTCTGTAATCTCAGCACTTTTGGAGGCTGAGGCAGGTGGATCACTTAAGGCTAGGAGTTCAAGACCAGCCTGGCCAACATGGTGAAACCTCGTGTCTACTAAAAATACAAAAATTAGCCAGGTGTGGTGGTGCACACCTGTGGTCCCAGCTACTCCTGTGGCTGAGGCAGGAGGTGGCTTGAACCTGGGAGGTGGAGGTTGCAGTGAGTTGAGAGAGCACCACTGCACCCCAGCCTGGGTGGCAGAGAGTAAGACTGTGTCTCAAAAATAAATAAATAAATAAATAAAACATAACATAAAATAAAATGCAAACCTGATTATACATACCGCTCCCCCTCCCCAGTACTTTAGATGTCTCTCCCTTGTTAGCATGACAAACCCAAACCAGGCTTCCACCTGCCATCTGGCCCCACGACTTTCTGCACAGGTTACCCTCATTCCTCTTCCCATCCTTGTGCCTCTGCCTGCAATCATTCCTGATCCCATGCTCACACTGGGTCCACCGGGGAAAAGTCCTGTTCAGCCTCCCAGTGCCTGCTTGATGCTGCCTCCTCTGTGAAGCCTCCCCTGTGGTGTCCGCGCAGAACTTGGGGCTGCGCTAGCATCCTACACTTTTGTTAGGACACCCATCACTACCTGCCTTCCCTGAGTTGACCTGTCTGCCTCCTCTGTGAGGCTGTGAGCTCTCAAGAGGAGAGGGTGAGGCCACCTTGTATACTACTGAGTTTCAAAATGCTGGCTCAATAATGCTTGCAATGAATGAACAGATGCCTTGCTTGGTATTGTGGTTAATTGTTCATAGATGTTTTCTCTCTTCCACCCCTCCCCTACTCCCTATCCTGCAGCAACCCCAATATACTATATATTTTGTTTATTGTTTACCTCCCTCATGAGTGAAAGCCTGTGAGGGCAGGGATTTTTGTCTGTTTTGTTTGCTGCTGTATTCCTGCTGCTGTATTGAGTACATAGTAAGTGTTCAACATAGATACACTTTTTTGAGACAGAGTCTCACCCTGTTCCCCAGGCTGCAGTGCAGTGGCACAGTTATGGCTCACTGCAACCTCAAACTCCTGAGCTCAAGCAATCCTCCCTCCTCAGCCTCACGAGACCAGCAAGGGGAACATGGTGAGACCCCTGTGTCTACAAAATAAAAATTAAAAAAAATTAACTGGGCATGGTAGCATGTGCCTGTGGTCCCAGCTCCTTGGGAGGCTGAGGTGGGAGGATCACTTCAGGCTGGGAATTGGAAGCTGCAGTGAGCCATAATCCTTCCACTGCACTCTAGCCTGGGTGACAAAGTGAGACCCCCCATCTCAAAAACAAACAAACAAAAAATAATAAGGTTGAGGAGACTCAGGATCCTGAATTTTGCTTCTCCACAGAGCCTGTAACTTGTGATGAGAAGATATTAGGAATCCTGCCTCAGTTATGAGTAGTGAGCACTTATATAGCATTTCTAAAAATAATAATAGTTAGCAGCGTTTGAGGGCTCACTACATGTCTGGCACTATTCTAAACACCCGATGTGCATTAGCTGATTGAATCATCCCAACAACCCCACTGGTTAGGCTTACTCTTATAACTTCCCTGCTATAGACAGAGAAACTGAGGCAGAGAGAGGCTGAAATTCCTCAGACTCGGTGGGCATTAGAGTCAGGGCAGGCTGCTCTATGCTCTCAGCCATCAGGCTCGCTGCCTTGCTGGGAGGTCGCCATGGTGAGGAGCCATGGCTGTGCTGGAGAGGGATGAGTGAGTCAACTGGCCTTGGTGCGGCCCCTTCGTCCATTGTACTGCAACTTGTGTGTGGTCTTTGTGAAGTCACTTCCCCTGTGTGGAGCAGCTGACAGGGGGTGTTGAGGATGGATAAAGGTGTTGGAAAAGGGGTGGCTTGTCCCTTTTTAGCAGAGCTAATGCCCTGGGCTGCACTGGAGCCAGAGAATTAGCTGTGTGACCTTGGGCAAGTTGTTTGACCTCCCTGAGCCTTGGTTTCCTCACCTGTGTATAGAGGCTGCTGCATTCTACCTGCGAGGGTGTTTCAGGATTGAAGAATGCAACGTGTGAAAAAGACTGGAGTTTAGCAGGTGCTCAGAAAACGTTACTCACCTTCTCCCCACTGACCTAGTTGGTCAACTGGTATTTGTTGAGCTCCTTCTAGGATCACATGGCCCATGCTCTGTGTCACATATGTGTCCCTCCATCATAGGATTTAATGATACTAGTGATATTACTCCAATATTGGAGTCATGTGTGTGCTTGTCTGTCTTTGCCACTGGTTTGAGCTCCTGAGAGCAAACCCTAACTCGTGTTAGGCATGTTTTATGGAGAATTTATTCTGGGCTGGTACTGAGGGGTCAAAGTGAATGCACCCCCAACATGGAGCGTGGAGAAGACCCTCCCATGCGATTCCTCCCCCAGGTTCAGCTCCATGGGCCGCAAAGACAGGAGAAAGTGCCATGAAAAGGGGCCACCAGGTTGATGGGATCATCAGGGAGGTTCTGTGGGGGAATGACTATCCCCCTTTCCCTATTCTAAGCACATCCCATTCCCCTGAGGGTGGGGTGCACTTTGACGTCCTGGTTCTGGAAGCATCAGGGCTGGGAAGCAGGGAAGAGGGTGGGTAGAGCCAGAGTCTGGGAGTTCTCCTCGCTCTTTTCTCCCTCCATTTTCCTCAAACCCTGTCTCTTCTAACCCAAGCCCTCTGGGATTATCTTAGAAATGGTAATGGAAGCTCCCTCACCCCCTCGGGCTATGATTACAGGTGTGTGTGTGTGTGTGTGTGTGTGTGTGTGTGTGTGTGTGTCTTTATTCAAAGAGACTGTGAGGGGGGCTGCGGGGGCGGGGTTAAACAGTGGAGCCCCTTTCAGATGAAGAGGGTTCCGAGGGAAGGGTGGAAAGCAGTCCTGAGAGGGGAGAGCTGAACACCTTCTGTTTCAGCCCCTGATCCCTATCTGTGAAGCTGGCGGATCAGGATGACTATTCCCATCTGAGCTGGGTGGAAGCCAGGGCCTCCACAGAGAGATTGAGTCAGAAGTTCTCAACCCGGGGTGATTACGGCCCCCAGGGAACAGGTGGCAACGTCTAGAGGCAGTGTTGGTTGTCATAACTGGGGCAGGTCTCAGGGGAGCTACTGGCATCTAGTAAGTAGAGGCCAGGGATGCTGCTGGGCGCCCCTCAGTGTAGAGGAAAGTCTCCACAATAAAGAATTTTCCAGTTCAAAATGTCAAGAGAGCTGGGGTTGACAAACCTGGGTTGAGCGAATCATCTAAGGTCATTCACACGATAAGGCAAACCACTCCATGCCCTTGCACCGTGCAGTCACTCCAGGCAGCCTCTACCCTGGCTGCTCCGAGGACTGAGGGTGTTGAGCTCTCCTGGGGGCCTGGAAGGACCAGGGAAGATGCTGTTGTTTGAGAAGACTGAAAGAACATCAGAGGGCAGGCCAAGGCAATTCAGGTTCCATCTTAACTCCCTTGTCTCATTTCCCCAGAGCCCTCTGTCCCCTAGTCACCATCCAGCCCAACAAGTCATTTCTCACTGTCTGGCCCCCAAACCCTGCTTCGAAGCTGCATACCCAGTCCCCAGGGTGTGAGGTCATTACTCAGCTCTGACTTGCAGGAAGGACTGACACACCTATCCACACCACCACAGTTGTCATGGAAAATGTCTTTAAGTTGGGCACTGTGGCTCACGCCTGTAATCCCAGCACTTTGAGAGGCTGAGGTGGGCGGATCACCTGAAGTCAGGAGTTCAAGACCCGCCTGGCCAACATGGTGAAACCCCGTCTCTACTAAGAACACAAAAATGAGTTGGGTGTGGTAGCACATGCCTGTAGTCCCAGCTATTCAGGAGGCTGAGGCAGGAGAATCGCTTGAACCCGGGAGGTGGAGGTTGCAGTGAGCCAAGGTTGGGCCACTGCACTCCAGCCTGGGCAATAGAGTGAGACTCCACCTCAAAACAAACAAACAAACAAAAACACCAAAAAAAAAAAAAACCCAAAAGAAAATATCCCCTTAGAGAGGGCAAAAGATCCAAGCTGTCACATGGGCTAGGAGCGTGAGAAGGCTGAGACAGACAGACCAAGGCTGCCTGTGGGAAGCACAGACAGATGGCCAGAGCAACACAGTAGCTCCCCTTAACCCTAGGGGTACGTTCCAACACCCCCAGTGGACACCTGAAACTGCGGGTGGTACCAAACCCTGTATATATCAATACTATGTCTTTCCTTTATGTACATACCTATGATAAAGTTTAGTTTATAAATTAGGCACAGTAAGCAGTTAACCATAATAAGTAATAAAATATAACAAATACAACAATACAATAACAGTAATGTGAATGTGGTCTCTCTGTCTCAAAATATCCTGATGTTTTCAGACTGCAGTTGACAGCGGGTAACTGAAACTGCGTGGAAAGCAGGGGCTGCTGCATGTTAAAAGGCATGAATGGACAGGAAGCTTTCTGCTGCAGCTGCACATCCTGTCTCCTCCATCAGACTGAGAACCTACAGATCATTTTGTTGTTGTTGTTGTTGTTGTTTTTTGAGGTTTTTTTTGAGGCGGAGTCTCACTCTGTCGCCCAGGCTGGAGTGCAGTGGAGCGATCTTGGCTCACTGCAAGCTCCACCTTCTGGGTTCACGCTATTCTCCTGCCTCAGCCTCCCGAGTAGCTGGGACTACAGGCGCCCGCCACCACGCCTGGCTTATTTTTTGTATTTTTAGTAGAGACAGGGTTTCACCGCGTTAGCCAAGATGGTCCCGATCTCCTGACTTCGTGATCTGCCCGCCACGGCCTCCCAAAGTGCTGGGATTACAGGCGTGAGCCACTGCGCCCGGCCAGATCGTTTTTAACTAAATCAGTTTTATTTTATTGACAAAAAAAGTATATATCTGTTGTATACGACATGGTGTTTTGAAATATGTATTCACTGTGGAATGGCTCAGTTGAGCTAATTAATATCTGCATTACTGCACATACTTGTTATTTGTTTGTGGTGAGAACACTTAAAATCTACTGTCAGTGATTTTCTTTTTTTTTTGAGATGGAGTCTCGCTGTGTCGCCCAGGCTTGGGGTGCGGTGGCACGATCTCGGCTCACTGCAACCTCCACTTGCTGGGTTCAAGAGATTCTCCTGCCTCAGCCTCCCGAGTAGCTGGGATTACAGGCGCCCGCCACCACGCATGGCTAATTTTTGTATTTTAGTAGAGACACGGTTTCACTATGTTGGCCAGGCTGGTCTCGAACTCCTGACCTCAGATGATCCACCTGCCTTGGCCTCCCAGAGTGCTAGGATTACAGGCGTGAACCACTGTGCCTGGCCTCTCTCAGTGATTTTCTAAATGCAATACATTGTTATTAGGGGACTATAGATTTAAGGACAGTTTGATTTCCGGCACTGGGAAAAAACTAAGATGTTGTGTCAGGGAACTTTAAAAAAAAATAAATACTAATAAGTAATAATAATAAATAAATAAATTATATTTTGAGATGAGGTCTTGCTATGCTGACCAGGCTGGTCTTGAACTCCTGGGCTCAGGGCACTTCTGAAGAACAAGGACTGGGTTTGGGGTCACCAGCTAGGCCTAAACTTCCTAGGGTCAGGTAAACAGGGAGGGCCTGAGAAGCTGGGAGGCTGGGTCTAGGGGCCCATGGTCTCACGGTGCCCCAGGCTGAGGGTGAGGTACAGGGCTGACCTTCTGCTGGCCAAGGCTGGCTGCCCTCTGTGCACCCTAGCCCCACAGGAACAACTCAGTTCTGCCCAGCCCTCCCCTTCCCCCCAGCCCACTCTCCCCCATCTCCTGGAGTCTGGTCCCAGGCTTGCCTCAGGTAGTCCTGCCCCTGCCACCCTGAGGATCTCATCTTCCTGGGCTGAGGGACCTGCTTTTCTAGGCTTAGGAGAGGTTCTCTCTGTTCCCTAAAGTTTTCTTCTCTACGTGGGCTTTTTCACACAAACCCTTTTCCCCAGCAGCCATGACAGTGGGATGGCCGGCCCCTCTCCTCTCCCCAACTCCAACTGTCAGTGGAGAGGAGAAAGAGTTCCTGCCCGGCCTACCACCCAGTCTGACCACCAGTGGCCTATCCTTCCCCAAACAGTCTGAGAACGAGGCCCAGGTCCTGTCCTTAGGGAGCATCCAGTCTGATGGAAGAGTCACTCTCTGTACCCTCAAGGGGCATCCAGTCTGATGGAAGAGTCACTCTCTGTACCCTCAAGGGGCACCCAGTCTGATGCGGGACACAGCTCCTCCCCTGGGGGGAGGCTCTAGCCTGCAGGAGGTACAGGAGTGGGGCAAGGCCCCATGAGTGCCTACCTGGGGAGTACAGCATGCTGGTGGCTAGCTCGGTGCTTGACAGTTGAAGGTTCTGGTGGGAGGGGGAGAAGAGACCCTCCCCCCAGAACTCTCTCATTGCAGTGGGATTCCTAGGTCAGCAGCCGGTTTAACAGCTGCCTTCCCTTTTCTCCTTCTCAGTAACCCAGCCCCTTACCCAGCTGAGGGCTACCCGCTTTAGGGACAGATGACCCAGCACCCCTGCCTTGCACAGCCTCCACCAGCCTGGCTGTCCTCACTGTATCACGGTCATCCCATCAGGGTAGGTCCCAGTCCCTTTTTTTCAGCCCAAGGTTTCCAGGAAGGGGTTGTCCCTGACACACCAACCTGACCTTTACATCCAGAAAGCCTTCTCATTCCCAAAAGCCCCTTTCTCACTGACATGGCATTTTTCCTGTGTTGCTGTCTTCACATGGCACCCTCCTCTGTGTCTCTTCTTCTTATAAGGACACCAGTCATATGGGGCTAGGGTCCCATGCATTTCAGTATGACCTCATCTTAATTGAACGAATTACATCTGCAACCACCCTGTTTCCAAATGAGGTCACATTCTGAAGTACTGGGGGCCAGGACTTCAACATGCCTTTTTGGGGGACACGATTCCACCTGCAACACTCTCCTTGCCTAGCCCCAGTCTGGCAAGGTTAGGCCACTGGTCTGACCACATGTCCTGCCTCTGCACTGGAAAGTGGGAATGCTTTGAGCTAAGAACTCTGCTCCAGAGTGCAGTCTTCTCTGGAGTGTATGATGGCTGAGGACAGGGACTGTCAAGGTCATCCCAGTGCCCCTCAGCCCTGCCTGGTGCTAATCAGGCACAGAACAGGTGTGAGAGCACCCAATGGGATCAGAGAACCTTGTTCCAAGCTCTGAAACAGGAGCTGACCTTGGGCGAGCCCTCCCCCTTTCTCCTTTCTGGGACTCAATCTCCTCATCTACGAGAATATTAATTATGGTTTGTTATTATGTGCCAAACACTGGGCTAAGAACTTCCTACTTATTTAATCCTTAAAACAGCCAGAGGCCATGACATTGCTATTCCCATTTTATAGATGAGGAAAGTGAGGTCTAGAGGTATGATGCAACTTGCCCAGGGTCACACAGCTGTTAAGCGGTCGAGCCAGGATTTAAACTAATAACTTCAGATTTTTTTTTTTTTTTTTTTTTTTGAGATGGAGTCTCGCTCTTTTGCCCAGGCTGGAGTGAAGTGGTGCAATCTCAGCTCACTGCAACCTCTGCCCCCCGGGTTCAAGCGATTCTCCTGCCTCAGCCTCTCAAGTAGCTGGGATTACAGGTGCCCACCACCATGCCCAGCTAATTTTTGTATTTTTAGTAGAGACGGGGTTTCGCCATGTTGGGCAGGCTGGTCTCGAACTCCTGACCTCAGGTGATCACTCGCTTCGGCCTCCCAAAGCGCTAGGATTATAGGCATAAGCCACCGTGCCCGGCCATAACTTTAGCTCTTATCCGTATCTTCTGCTGCCCCCAGCTGTGAAAGGAGGAAGTGGTCTTTGGGGATCCTGTGGTCTCCCCTGCCCACTCCTGATTCCACTATTGCACCTCTTGGATGCCTCTAATGTGATCTGCCTGGACATGAACTCTGTGACGAGGTGCCAGGGGTAGGGTGCAGGCAGGCACGGGTGTTCCTCTCTATTACAGCCTCCCACCCTGGGGGAGGGCTGTCCTCAGGACTCTTGCTCAGTGTGCTGCTTGGGCATTATCTGGAGTTTCACATTTGGAAATGCTGGAACCTGGCTTTGAACTTCAGGCCCTGCAGGAAAGGGAAGGCATGCTGGGCAGATGAGGAATGAGAGGGTCTCGGCTAACCAGAGGTGGGGGCTGAGGTCTGTCCAGGCCATGCTTTGCAGACAAGGGGGCTTGCCAGGCAAATGGCGGTGGTGTGCCTGCCCATCCATACGGAAAACAGGCTTCGGGAGCACCGAGAAGCCTTCACACAACCAAGGTGCTCCTTTCAAAGCCATGCCAATATTTGTCCAACCACCAGCAGGCACTCCCTTGGCCCCAAGACTTTGGGGACTCTACCTGGGAGCTCATGTTTCACAACTGCAGATCTGACATACATATGCAGGCTGAGGCCAGGACCAAGGCCTCAACTTTCACCTCCACTGTCACTGGCCCATCCTCCACCCACAGCCCGCCCATAAACACTGACCCTCCAAGCTGTGTTTGCCGCAGCTCCCTGCAGCCTGGGGCTGGACCTTGGGCGCTCTTTGCTCCTGCTCCTTGCTGGCGCCTGGGCAATCTTTATCAGGCTTGCTGTGTTTGCTGTTCCTGCTGTTGGTGGTTCCTGTTGACTTTTGTGGAACCTGGTTCTCCTCCTCCTCTGAGGTCTCTTTTCTTCCCTCTAAGAGTTCCTTTTTCTTCCTTTTCTTCAGGGTTGCAAAGTGATTTAGTGACAGAATAAGGACTGGAATGCAGGCCTCCTACAGTACATGCAGTACATGCTGTGTGTGCATGTGTGTGGGTGTGCACCACATGGCTCTGTGGGCCTTTGCAGGGTGGGCTACAGCAGTCACAGGACCTTTTTTCGAGGTGATTTTTTTTTGTTTTTTTTTGAGACAGGGTCTTGCCCTGTCGCCCAGGCTGGAGTGCAGTGGCATGATCTCAGCTCACTGCAGCCTCCACCTCCCAGGTTCAAGTGATTCTCATGCCTCAGCCTCCCAAGTAGCTGGGATTACAGGGGTGCACCACCATGCCCAGCTAATTTCTGTATTTTTTGTAGAGATGGGGTTTCATCATGTTGGCCAGGCTGGTCTCGAACTCCTGAACTCAAGTGATCCACCCACCTTGGCCTCCCAAAGTACTGGGATTACAGGCGTGAGCCACCGCGCCTGGCGAGAAGGTGAATTTGAGCTGGGTCTTGGAGAATGGGTAAGATTTGACTGGAGGGTGGGAGGGGGCTTCTCATTGAGGAGATCAGGCCCTCCTGGGGAAGGGACAGATGGGCTGGCGCCAGGCTTACTTTGAGGTGCTCAGAAGGGCCTTCGTCCTGGCCCAGCATGGACCCTGTGGCTTTGCACGACCTTTTCTCCCTGAATCTCTGTCCCATGTGTGTTGCTCAGGGACTCAGGGGAATGATCAGAGTGGGCGAGGCTGGTATGGTGGCCACCTGGGCACAGGGGCCCTTCCTGCCTCTGAGATATCCCTTAAGTCTCTCCCCAGCCCCACTCTCTCCTCTCAGTGACACAGAAATGAGACTCTGAACAAGTCCCTTGCCCAGCGTCATGCAGGGACCTCAAAGAGGCCCTCCAGATAGGAGGGTGGGGACCCGGCCCAGGTGCCCAGGGCAGCACAAGTCAGACACCTGCCTCAGAGCTTTTCTTTGTTTTTATTTTAAAGGAAAAAAACAAAAAAGAACAAAAAAACCAAAAAAAAAACAGTGCAAAAACCCATTTTCCAGTGTCAGCCTTGCCCACCCCCACCCCCAGGCCACCCCAGCTGTGAGCCTGACTCTTCCTCCCACTCAGCACCCCCTCCCCCCTCATGCATCCCCTAGGGGCTGGAGGCTCCACTTCCCTGGAGGGCCAGATCCCAGGAGGAACTGTGGGGTGGAAAAAACGGAGGGGGGGGAACAGCCCCAGATCCACCTGCCCCCCAGGTCTCCAGCCACCGGCACCAGGTGCACCAGGTACTCCTCTTGGCTCTCATTAACCCTCTCCTGGTCATGCTACTAGCTGGGGAGGGGTGGGGGGTACTGATCTGGGGGAACTCCCTCTGCACCCCTCTTTGCCCCGGGGCCGGCTCGGGGCTCTCCTCACTGAGGTTGGGGGGCTCCCTCCCTCCATCATGGGGGAGAGCAGTGAAACCCCCAAGTTTAAATACCTTAATGAAAGCAGGGGCTGGGGAGGAAGGGGCTTTAGATCTAATAAATTATTAGCGTTTTAGTGTCCGTGGGAGTGGGGGTGGGGTGGGGCAGGATGTGGCCTCCAGGGCCCCTCCCTCCCCTTACTGGTGAATCTCATTCTCTATGAGGCTGTCCTCGCAAGACTGGAAGTCTGTGTCCGTGAGGGCGTCGGGTGGCATCAGCAACTCCTCATCTTGGGATGAGGATGATGGGGGCTCATCCCCTGAGCTCCCAGGAGCCCCATCCCCATCCCCGTCCACCTCTGAGTCCTGCAGCACCTGAGCGATGTATTTCTGAAGGAGGAGAGGAAATGGGGGCAAGGTGAACAGCTGCCCCTCATGGATTGCGGGAACACCAGGGCATGTAGGACAGCAGAGTGGGCAGGGCCCTGGGGGGCGGGGGCAGCCCTCCAGGGAGACCAGCTCTCTTCCCGCCCCCATGGGGTCTGGCACAGGTTCCCCTTTCTGCAGGACTAAGGGAACACTGGGCTTTGAGGCTGAGTCTGTCAGAGGCCCCTCCCAACCCTTGAGGGCACTCACCGCAGATTTGGGGACAGCAGCAGCAGTGGGGGGCCGTCCATTGCTTCTGGGGTCCACAGTATCTGTCTCCGTGTGCTCAATCTTGAGGGGCCCAGAATGAGTCAGGAAGTGGGGGCATGTCCTCAGCCCTGATCATGACCCCACGCCCGCTTGGCCCTGTTGGCGCTGCCCTCAGCCCTCGCCAGCCCTGTGGCCCTCTGCATTCCTCCCCTTGAGCTCCTGCCCGCAGCCATCCGCCTGCCACCCTTGCCCCACACCTTGTAGTTGTGGGCACTGAGGTATTTGAAGTGTCCAAAGCAGACGTGGCAGAGACAGATGACGATGGTGATGACCAGGACCACAAATGTGAACATAGACGTGGGAGCTAGGAACCCTGGTGTTGGGGGGCAAAGAATGGGGTTGCTATCTCCTGTGGGCCTCCCCACCCCAGCTTCTGATACCCTCTGAATGCAGTCCTCACTCTCCCAGGTGCTACAGACTGGCCCCAGCCTCTCCCAGGCCCCTTGCCTGCCACCCCCAGCCATGCGGCTTCTCCTGTGGCCTGCTCTGGCTGGAATCCACTCTGCTCGCCACCCCCCGTTCCCTGGGTAGGGATCCCTCACCCGTGCGCATGGTGGAAAAGAAGAGCAGCCAGAAGAGGCAGAGGATGGGCGCGGCCACCACCTGGTTCACAGCCCCCGAGTGGATCTTCTTGTCCAGCTTGGCCGGCAGGTAGGCGTAGTAGAGATTGTACCTGTCTACCAGGTGCTTCAGCAGCATGTACATGAGCCCTAAGGGAAGCCACATGGGCCCTGACCTCGGAACCAGTGCTGCCGAACCTTTTGTGTGTCTGTCACAGGTTGTTCTGGTCCTGAGAGTGCTGAAGGGTTGGCCCCCTCCTCCTGCCCGGGCCCCAGGACGGGATAGTGCCCCGTGCCCCAGCGTGATCACAGAACTTCAGCTTCCTCCGCTACAACCCCTCATTCTACTCTCCTCATCAGGAATTCTACTATTGGAAATCTAGTCATTTGAATCAACAAGCATCTTCTTAAAACCCGTATCATTTTTCTCTAACCCTGTCCCTAAACAGATACGTATAAATTAAGGGACAAGTTCTATTTCCCCAGAGGCTGAGGGATAGGGAGTTTCTAATGAGGACAAGGAAGTTAGTTTGGGAACTTGGAGCCTTCAATAACCAGGGAGGGTTGGTTAAGGAGTTAGGATGTTATTAGGGAGGAAAGTAGAGGCTACCAGTGGGGGTGATGGTTAAAGAGAAACTTTGCTAAACTTCAAAAAGGAAGAGAGACCTGGCCAAGTCACATAGCTCAGATACAGCAGACTATCTCCATGAGTGGCAAGGACCCATCCCACCCTGGAATCCAAGTCTTTCCTGAGTTTACAGGGTGGTGTAAAAGTGTGCACATGGATGCCTGTGTGGGAGTGTGTGTGTGAACATGTCAGCACGTATGTGATCTGTGTCCAAGCACATCCCGCTGAGGGAAGGCACAGGTGTGGGTAAGTATGGCCATGTTGGTGTGACTTTGCCCTGGGGCCCACATGCCAGCTGGGTCTGGCCTGAGCTGATGGCTCTCCCCCTCCTCCCCACAGGCCAGGCCCCAGACTGAGCCAGGGACCGGGCGGGAGCCCCGAGGGGCCGGTCTCCCAGCCGGGCCCTGTCCACTCGGGGTGGCCTGCATTCCTAGAGTGGAGAGGGTGAAGTCCTGGGTCCCCCCGAGCAGGGCCCAGGTCCCGGCGCGGCGGTGCCTACCGAAGGGCACGATGATGGGGCAGGTGATACTGTAGGTCATGACCACCGTGAAGACGCACATCATCCAGGCGTAGGCTGCGCCAAACTGGAACTCGTAGGCCTGATGCTGGGGGGGAGACGGGCAGGAGGATGGCTCAGGGAGGCAGGGACTGACCAGAGGGGCAGGGAAGGAGGGAGGGGGAAGGGAGCCAGGACCTCTGGGGCCGGAAAAGAAGCCATGGGGAACAGGACCTAATGTCTAGGGTAGGGTAGGGCAGAGCAGATGGAGAGAGGGGCTATGGCCGAGAGGAGGGTCAGGGCGGTTGCAGTGATGGGGCACGGAGAGGGGCCTTCAAGGGTCGGGGCCTGGCAGGTAGGGGGCAAGAGTTGGGTGGACTTGAGAGTGGGATGCCCAGAGCCCTCTTATTAAGACAGAGGGACCCTAGCGCTAGGGACCCAGATCTCCCCAACTCCCATCATAGAATGCTACTGTCAGAACTGGCAGGGGCCTTCAGGGTTACCTATGTCCACCCATGGCAGAATACGAAGGCCCCAGATATGGGAAGGGGATGGCCCGGATCCACCGTGAGTCAACTGTACTCCCCAAGTCTCAGCCCTCCTGTGCCCCTCAACCCTAGCGCGATGGCTGCTGTTTCTTGTTGGGCCACCAGGGGGCGCTGTGCGGGCCGCTGCTGCCCCAGGCGGCCGTACCCGCTTCACGTTGCGCCTCTCGGCGGCCGAGCGCGCCAGGCAGAGCCGGATCATGTACATGAGCAGGCCTGGGATGCGCAGCAGGTCCATGGCGTTGCCGATAAAGGCTGAGGCAATGACGTAGTTCACGAAGAAGGCGCCGTTGTCGGGCAGGAACACACACCTGCGGGCACCAGGTGCTCCAGCACTGCACCCTTGGGGTGACCCGGTGGCCGCCCGCCCACTGCCAGAACTACAGCACCCAACACCTCCACCACCAACATGCTTCTTCCATGTGGACACCCCCAGCTTAGCGCCCCAAGCACCTGTGCCCTGTTCCCCCCAGAGACATACAGAGTGGCAACAGACAGCTCCAAGAACTTGTGCCCCATAAAGACCCATGGAGAGAGTGCTCAAGACCACCTAAGGCTGCTAGAATGTTCAGGGGAGAACTGTCCAGGACCCCCAAAGACAACCCAATGAGACCCTCAAAGAACCCAAAGGCTGACAGCCCCAGGAACACCCAGAAGATTCCCCCACTTAGACCATAACTCGAGTTACCCCCAGAGTGTGACATGAGCCTCAGATACCTCCACAAACAAGCTTTGAGACCCTTCCCGCAACATCTCTGGGGGAGCCCAGGAACCTTTATCAGTGCCTGAGATGCCCCAAGTGTGACTCAAAGATCACCACAGATGGCCTACAGCAAAACCCCTAGAGTTTGTGCCCACAGCCATGGTGCATGACCTTCAATATATCCTCACATGATTCCCAGAGAAGATGCCCATACAGAACTCCACAGTTACATCTCTGAATAAAAGCCTGAAATTTTAGAGATGTTCCCAGAACTTGTACTGCTAAACATCCCAAAGTGTGAGTCCTTTAGCCTCCCCGCCCACAGACACCCCCAGAGTTATAAGGTCAAGAGCCTCCTACACATACCCAAAAATATGGGCTCTAGAGACCTTCAGGGATACCCCTAGTAGCCTCCAAGACACTCCCTAAGTATCACCAAGACCTCCCTAGAGATGGTTCCCCAAACCTCCCAAGTGGAACTCCAGAGACGCCCACAGTTAGTCCCAGAATATGGGCACAAGACACCCCCATAGAAACTACCAGAATGTGGAGCCCCAAGCCCCAAATATACCTTGAGGATGATCTTAGCATCCAAACAGGTTACCAGAGAGTGAACACCAACACAGACCCCAGGGACTTCTACCATGTATACACACCCAAGACACCTTGTGGGTGCCTTTGGGGTAACCCCGCCAGATCCTCTCTCTTCTGCCCCCTCCAGGAGTTGGAAGCTTTGTTGCACCCTCCCATGGGGCTGGCAATGTCTCTCAAGCATACCCACCCCTGCTGTCTGGTCTCTTTCCCTAGGGGCCCCAGTCACTCACTCAAACCGAATAGCTGCCTCAGCCAAGAATTTCTTATCAAAGAGCCAGCGGAAGAAGAGGTCCAGGCTGGAGGGAAGCAGAGGAGAGATGGGGTGGGAGCTGGAGTGGTACAGAACACCAGGGGAGGGGAAGTCCCTCCTCTGTGAGCCACTGGGGAGACTCCCAGACATGGGGTGGGTAGCTCAGGAGGCCTGGGGGTGGCCAGGCTTCCCATCTTGGGCCCCTTGCTTTGTAGGGGAGGTAGGGAGGCTGAACTGCTCTCCTCTCCCTATCCTGCTGTCCCCCTACCCTGGCTCCTGCCCCATCCTTCTCAACTCACCTGCTCAGTCCCAGCGAGGGTAGGAGCAGCACCATGAAGATGAGGAAAGTGTAGCACTTGTGCATGGTTGTCCTGTTCTCCCCAGAGCTGGAGGGAGGGGAGCAGGGAACGGTACAGGTCAAGTGAGCCCAGGCCCCAGACTTGCTCCCCCAACAAGGACAATGTCCAAGGAGTGTCCCCTGGGAAGGGTGGGCCTCCCAAGGTGAGGGT
Source organism: Homo sapiens (assembly GCF_000001405.40). Taxonomy (NCBI): domain Eukaryota; kingdom Metazoa; phylum Chordata; class Mammalia; order Primates; family Hominidae; genus Homo; species Homo sapiens. The sequence continues at coordinate 44,150,100 of NC_000006.12, read as the reverse complement.
GCTGGGCACTACCCCTTCCCTACCAGCTGTGGGACTGCCCAGGGCCAGGAGCCTGAAGGGCAAAGTGCTGCCCAGAGAGGATGGGTCATTGAGGGCAGGCCACAGCGAGGTGTGGTGTGAGTGGAGGCACCTTACCGTGTCCAGTGGGCTTCAAAGAAGGCTGAGTAGTAGACGATGGTGGGAAGGAGGGCCGAGAAGCACCACAGCAGCAGGGTGGGGAAGAACTGGGTGATGATGGGGTTCTGCAGCAGGGCACAGGGGGGCGTCAGGCAGGGCAGTCTAGGGGGCCCAGGTGGCTTTGCTTATGTGCCTCCTCCCCAGCTGGGCCCTTGGCCTCACAACTCTCAGGGCTCCCATGTTGGAAGCCCAGAACATCCGGAGGGCTGGGGTGAGGGTGGGGGCCAGGGCCATATGTATAACCCCAGGGTGGATAATACTGATAGTCAGCATTTGCTGAACATCTACTATGTTCTAAGCAGTGCTGATGTACTTGCCATGTCTTAATCCTCACAATAATGCTGTTACCCCATTTGACAGATGAGTAAACTGAGGCAAAAAAAAGATTCAATAGCTTCCCTAGCTAGCAAGCCATGAGGTAGGGATTTGAATCCATGCAGTCTGGGTCTTATCTATTATGGTATTATCACTCCAAGTGATTTGCAAACTGTCCTTCTTCAAACTCTGAGGTTCTAAAGAGGTATGCTCTATGCGTGGGAGGAGAGGTGAGGGGAGGCCAGGCAGACATGCATGCCACCCTACTGTCATCGGAGCAGCCCTGCTTTTCCACACTGGGTTTCACACCGATAAAGAGATCAGAATCCAAGTCCAAAGCCACTGATCTAGTTGAACCTTTCCATTTTTTCAGTTAGACTGAGGGGTGAGGGAAGGGGACTTCTCTGAGATCAGGACTAAATGCAGGCTCTCTCTCTTCCCTGGGTGTTTCTCCAGGTGTTGCACACCTGAGGGTGGCCTCTCTCAGGGGGAAGGTGGCAGGGAGCCCAAGGGAAGTGCACACAGGGGTTTTTGGGAGCTGGTTGGTGGCACGGGGTTGGAACAAGCAGAACGGGCTGGGCTGGGCAAGTGGAAGAGGGATCAGGGCCTGGTATCTGTGTGTTGTGACCCAGCGTGGAAAGTGACAGGGGCATGAGGCCTCACGTTGAGGTACTCCACAGGCTTGGTGACGTTGAACTTGTCCATGGTGGTGATGATGATGGCTGGAGTGGTGAGGAAGAAGAGGAGGATGAAGAGGACGACATTGATGACCAGGCAGCGCAGCCACCAGATGAAGCCTCGGATGGAGAGGTGCTCCCTGGCAAGGTGGGGAACCGGTCAGTCCAGGAACCAAGGGCAGGATTGGCCCCCAGTGACACCAAGACACTCCCTCTCCTCCGCCTACCTACTGAGCCCATCCCAGGCCCTGGAAAGCCTGCCCTGACACCTGTTTGCTCACCAGTAGATGTTCTGAGGGTCAGGGGCATAGGACACGGTCCAGTTGGAGATGTGCAGGGACTCGCTGCAGGATGAGGGGCGTGGCTCCCCACGGCAGGTGCAGCCCTGGCATTTACACACGTTGAAGTCCTTCAGGATGCTAGAAAGATGGGCACTGGTTACCACAGGCCCACCTGGAGGCCACACTGCTGGCAGAAGGCCATGAGCACAGGGGTCAGGGAGCCCTGGAGGGCTGCTCAGGGCCGAGGGCCGAGTTGGGGACTCACATGGCGGTGATAGTCTCATTGTGGAAGGTGACAAAGGCCATGCCAAGAGGCTTCTCATTCACCTTCTCCTTCTCCCGCTTGTAGTCTTCCTTCAGCTTCTGCTCCAGCTTTGTGTAGTACTCAATGGCCTCCACCTTTGTGGGAGGGTTAGGGACAGGGCCTCTAGTTGGAAAGCCAGGCTGGGGCCTGCAGCATCCAGCCCACGCTGACTTGGGGCTTCCTACAAGCCAGGCACTGCTCCTCTAAGCATTTTTTTTTTTTTGGAAACAGCGTCTCGCTCTGATGCCCAGGCTGGAGTGTAGTGGTGGAATCTCAGCTCACTGGAGCCTCAAGCTCCCAGGCTAAAGTGACCCTCCCACCTCAGCCTCCCAAGTGGCTGGGAATACATGTGTGCAGTACCATGCCTGGCTAATTTTTGTATTTTTTGTAGAGATCAGGTTTTGCCATGTTTCCCAGGCTGGTCTCAAACTCCTGGCTCAAGTGATCCACCTGCTTCAGCCTCACAAAGTGCTGGGATTACAGGCATATGCCACCGCACCCAGCACCTCTAAGCTTCTTTATATGTATTACTCACTTTACCCTCACAACACTCTCATAAGGTGGGTACGTTAACCCCATGAGGAAACTGAGGCACTGAGCAGTAAGCAACTTGCTCAAGTCCCCAGAGTCAGTGGGTACAGCACAACATTGTCCTTTTGGCTGACATTTTCTAATTTGAGGTTTGAAAACCTGGTCACTGTAGGGACATTAGACAAACCCAACAGTGGGAACTGAGGCTTCAAGGATTCCAGGGACAGGTGGGGACTCACTGAGGGCAGGGCCCCAGCCTTGCCTGCCCAGGACCTGTCCAACTTCTCCCGACTCAACAGCCAGCCCGCGTCATACCTGCTCACAGCCTCGCACCACACAGCAGCAGAGGTGGCCACAGGGCTTGGGGTTGATCATGGTAGGCACGTTCTCCTTGCTCTGGAGGTTTGTGAAGTACAGCTTTCCCCGCTCGGCCTTCTTCCTGTGGGACCCAGATGCCTGGTCACCTACATCTGGGGCTGGGGCTGGCTCAGCTTGGGGGTCATCTAGCTCACTCCCCAAGGACAGGAGCTGTCTTGTTCTTGTTTAGGATACATGTTTCAGATGTGGCCACATCCCAAGGTCTCCCCACCCATCCCTAGAGGGCCAGAAGTTCTTCCTGCAGGCTGACCTAAATTTCTCATACTGTAGCCAAAGAAGGGCATGTCCTCAGATGCAGTGGGGACCATGGGCCCCCCTTCCCCTCACAACAAACTCTAACCTCCAGGCCTTGCTCTTTCCAGAGCTGAATTAACAGGCACACCAACGAGTTGAATTAAAATCAAATGCCCTAGGAAAAAATCTAGAAGGGGAGCCTGTGTGGTAGCCAAGATGTCCTCCACAATGGCAGGGGGCCCTTGGTGTCACCCTCCTCTGCCCCCAGTCCCTTACCTCTCTGCATCGAGGAACATTAGGCGAGCCACGTTGTAACACGGGCGGGCTTCGAGAACTGTGCAGTTGGGGTAGGCTTCCCTGAAACACAGTTCATGTATCATCTTGTGCAGGGACCCCACCCACCTGCCCCTGACTTTCATCCATGACCCCATCACCTTCAAGAAACACATCTCTGGCTGGACGTGGTGGCTCACATCTGTAATCCCAGCACTTTGGGGGGCCGAAGCGGGAGGATCACCTGAGGTCAGGAGTTCGAAACCAGCCTGGCCAACATGGTGAAACCCTGTCTCTACTAAAAATACAAAAATTAGCTGGGCATGGTGGCACGTGCCTGTAGTCCCAGCTACTCAGGAGGCTGAGGCAGAAGAATTGCTCGAACCCGGGAGGTGGAGGTTGCAGTGAGCCAAGATCGCGCCACTGCACTCCAGACTGGGCGACAGAGCGAGACTCCATCTCAAAAAAAAAGACAAAAAAACCCACATCTCCAATTCAAGCTGCCTTTTTCTTAGTCTACAAAACTGAGAGTTCCCCAAGAATAAAGCTTTGGAGTTCCTCCTCATGCTTATCTGAGTGGGGAAGTGGGAGCAGAAGGCCTGAGCACTGTGTGACTGCAGGCTGGGCTAACAAACCAGGATGTGTAGGGACATACTGCATGCAGGTAGGGAAGCCAGGGCTATGGTCTGATTCCTGTCCAGGGCTGTGACCTTTAGGTTGAAAAAAATTGCATCTAGTCATAGGCTATATAATTCCTTAACCCTGTTCCCAGAAGACCTGGTCACAGCCCAACACTTAGCCTTGACCACAGACTGACCTCAACCAACCCATAACCCAGTCTACAAAATGATCTCTAACTTTGGCCCAAGACAGACAAGAGATTGATCCTGACCCCTGACCAGGGTGAGACTGACCTGTAACCCTGGCCAAAGACTGACCCTTAAGCCCACCCTGGCCAAAGACTGACCCCAGACCTGTTGCCCAGACCCAAGACTGACCTCCTAACCCTGACCCCAGATTCATCCTTACCTTGACTTAAGACTGACCAGAGAGAAACTGGCACTGACTCACTAGTACCTGGTACCAGGCAAGGCTTGAAGAATGCTTGCTGAGTGAAGGAATAGTTCATTTTTTTGTTTGTTTGTTTGTTTCAAATATTCTGAGATGGGGTCTTGTTGTATTGCCCAGGCTGGTCTTGAACTCCTGGGTTCAAGTGATCATCCTGCCTCAGCTTCCCAAAGTGTGGGCATTACACTAGTGAGCCACCATGGCTGGAGGGAATAGTTTCTTTTTGTTTTTTGTTTCGTTTTTGTTTTTGTTTTTGTTTTGTTTTGTTTTTGAGACGGAGTCTCACTCTGTCACCCGGGCTAGAATGCAGTGGTGTGATCTGGGCTCACTACAACCTTTGCTTCCCGGGTTCAAGTGATTCTCGTGCTTCAGCCTTCTGAGTAGCTGGGATTACAGGTGTGTGCCACCACACCCGGCTAATTTTTTTTTTTTTTTTGTATTTTTAGTAGAGATAGGGTTTCAACATGTTGGCCAGGCTGGTCTCGAACTCCTGACCTCAGGTGATTGGCCCGCCCTGGCTTCCCAAAGTGCTGGGATTATAGGCATGAGCTGCCATACCCAGCCTAATAGCTTTTTTTTTTTTTTTTTGAGGCGGAGTCTTGCTCTGTCGCCCAGGCTGGAGTGCAGTGGTGCAATCTCAGCTCACTGTAACCTCCACCTCTTGGGTTCAAGTGATTCCCCTGTCTCAGCCTCTCCAGTAGCTGGGATTATAGGCACATGCCACCACGCCTGGCTAATTTTTATGTTTTTAGTAGAGATGGGGTTTCACCATCTTGGCCAGGCTGGTCCTGAACTCCTGACCTTGTGATTCACCCACCTCGGCTCCCCAAAGTGCTGGGATTACAGGTGTGAGCCACCGCACCTGGCCAGTAGTTCGTTTTTAAATCTGATCATGCACTGTTCTTTGATCCTAATCCTTAATCTAGACTGAGTCCCCATCTTTTTATATTTTATTAAAATTTTTAGGTTGAACACAGTGGCTCATGCCTGTAATCCCAAAACTTTGAGAGGCTGAGACAGGAGGATTGCTTGAGGCCAGGAGTTCATGACCAGCCTGGGCAACATAGTGAGACCCTGTCTCTAAAAAAAGAAAAAAAAATTAGCCAGGTGTGGTGGTGAGTGCCTGTAGTTCCAGCTACTCGGGAGTCTGAGGCAGGAGGATCGATTCAGCCCAGGAGGTCAAGGCTGCAGTGAGCTATGACCACGCCCCTGTATTGCAGCACTCCAGCCAGGGAGACAGAGTGAGACTCTGTCTCAAAAAAAATTGTTTTTTTTTTTAAATGAAGGACCACCAAGTATTGAATGCATGAGTTACTGTTCTAAAGTATTAAGATAGTCCTCATAAACCCATGAGAATTTAGAAACTTAAATCTGGGATAGGGTCCTTGAGATGTACTTCCCAGGAGGCTAGAGACCTTTCCTCTGATATTGTTCCTCAAACCATTTGAGGTTTCCCCTTTGGAAGGGTGAGCTCTCATTCTCACTAAACTCATCTCTAATCCTCTAAATCCAACCACACAGGCCCGTTGATTTGCATGCAAGATATTTCCTAATTGTGCTGAGACAGTCTTCCAATCCAGACAGACTGCAGACTTGGACCACAAGCCCTGCCTAATCCTGACAATGAGCTCAAGCGCTGTCTCTTAGTCCTCACCATATACCCAGCCCTGTCCCAACAGCTTGTATATAGCAGGTGTTCAATACACATGTGGTAAATGAGCGGATCAATGAAATGGCTACTCCATAATGCTCATCCCAGTGATCCAAAAAACTCCAATTAGGACTAGAGTCTCCCTTACCCCTGCTTATAGGCTGACCTCTCCTAAACAAAACTATAGACCAACCCCTGAAACACAACTAGGATCTTCAGCTTCCCAAGGGCACTGATCAGGTCTGATTATACTCTGTCTCCCAGGCATGAAGCACATAGTAGGTATACAATAAATGTGGGCTGAATGAATAGACAGTTGACTAGTAGGGTTCACTCAGGTCTCTGTTCAAATGCCACGCTGTCAGAGTCCCTCCCTGTCTATCCCATCAGAAATAGCAACCCTTCCCAACCCCTCTTACCCTGCCTGCTTCCCTGCTGTGGTTTTCTTAGCACCTACCTCTTCTTGACACAGTCTCTATTACTAGTTCATCCGGTCCCTGTCCACCCCTCCCCACTAAAATGAAAGCAAATGAGGGCAGGCCTTCTGTCGTTTACTGCTATACCCCCAGCTCCTCCCCAAGCAGGCACATAGCAGGTGCTCACTAGATATTTGTATCAAAAAACAAAAACAAAAACAAAAACAACAAACACCAGATTTCAATACAAGCTGACAACTGATTCCAACTGGATGGTAATATTAAGATGTCACCTAATTCATTGTTACAAAAGATGGTATGAGAAAAAAAAAAGATGTCACTAATTCTGAGTACACACTGTCCTTAATCCTGACCCAGAGTGCCCTTTAATGCTGATGACAGCTTGAACCTCAGATAGGACCCCAAATAGTTCTCTCATACTGACAAGAATGATCTAATTTTGACTGCTGTTTTATAGCCTGTATAAGGGCTGGGCTTGTTTCTAATTTATTTGTGCCTGGCACATAGAAGGTTGTCAATAACTGCATGTAGTATGAAAGAGTATCCATCTACTAATGCTGATCACACACCAGTCCTTAATCTTCTAACACAGGCTCTGGAATCTGACCCTGACCAGATAGATGTTCACTCTCAATCCTGCCCAAACACTATCTCTGATTGGATCACACACTGGCCTGACCCAGGACAATGAGTGAACTCTGATTCTGGCCAACTGACAGGTCTGGACCTCAGATTAAACCTTGATTCTTTACTTTCTTTCTTTTTTGAGACAGGGTCTTGCCCTATTACCCAGGCTGGAGTACAGTGGCGCAATCAGTTCACCACAGCATTAGCCTCTTGGGCTCAAGCCATCCTCCCACCTCAGTCACCTGAGTAGTTGGGACTATTGGTGCATGCTACCATGTCTGGCTAATTTTTATATTTTTTGTAGAGATGGAGTTTCGACATGTTGTCCAGGCTGGTCTTAAACTCCCGGGCTCAAGCAATCTTCTCAAGGGGATTACAGGCATGAGCCACCACACCTGGCCTAAACCCTGATTCTGATGGTAGACTGAGCCCAAATCTCAACCTCAGTCTGGGCCATGATCCAGACCACCAGCATCCTTTATCATGACCACTGGCCAGCTCCTGATTCTGACCACAGACTGACCTCAGAGCAATCTCTGATCAGACCCTGGACTAGCTCCTAAAGCCGACTGCCATACTATGAACCCCCTGAGAACTCAATGATTTTTTTTTCTTTTTTTGAGACAGTCTCGCTCTGCCGCTCAGGCTGAAGTGCAGTGGCACAATCTCGGCTCACTGCAACCTCTGCCTCCTGGGTTCAAGCGATTCTTCTGCCTCAGCCTCCTGAGTAGCTGAGACTACTGGTACGCGCCACCATGCCTGGCTAATTTTTGTATTTTCAGTAGAGACAAGGTTTCACCAGTAGAGACGGGGTTTCACCATATTGGCCAGGCTGGTCTCAAACTCCCGGCCCTCAATGATTTTTTTTTTTTTTTTTTTTAAGACATGGGGTCTCATTATACTGACCAGGCTGGTCTTGAACTCCTGGCCTCAAGTAATTCTCCCATCTTGGGCCTCCCAAAGTGTTGGGATTACAGGCGTGAGCCACCGTGCCTGGCCTCTTCTATTTTTTATTTTTTGAAACATTTGAAACAGGGTCTTGCTCTGTCACCCAGGCTGGAGTGCAGTGGTGCACAGGACTCACTGCAGCCTCGACCTCCTGGGTTCAAGCGATCCTCCCACCTCAGCCTCCCAAGTAGCTGGGACTACAGGCGCACGCCACCACACCTGGCTAAGTTTGTATTTTTTGGTAGAGATGGGGTCTTGCTATGTTGCCCAGGCTGGTCTTCAACTCCTGGGCTCAAGTGATCTGCCCACTTTGGCCTCCCAAAGTGCTGGGATTACAGCCATGAGCCACCATGCCTGGCCTCATTCATTTTTTACAGTCCCAAAGCCCACCACAGTAACTTATGACTAACAGCACTTGAGAAAGTTTGCTGAGTGAACAGATGCCTGTGTGAGAGTAGCCCTAATCCTGTGGTATAGAGACTGTCCCTACACACCCCCATGGAGGGGCCCTTCACTGATTCCCCACCCTATGAGCTGCGCCCCAAGGTGCATCCCTAGCCATGGGGTGACCAGGTAAGTTCCCTCTTTGCCTCATTATACCACCTCCCTTTTCTCTAGTTTCTGGCCATAGGTCTGCTCTACCCACCCCAAAACATAATTCTAGAGCTGAAAAAGCCTCAGAGAATACACAGTTCAAGTTCTCCTGGACTCCTTGGAATCCACTGGAAACCAAGGAGCTTCTCCCTGTCATGGCTGCACACAAACTCCAGAATGCTGCTTTTAATTTTGAAGAAGATATGTACTCCAATGGACCTGGGTCAACAACCTATGACCCAGTCTGAGCCAGGAGGAGGTTTGGGGGTTAGGGGGTTTGAATGACTCACTCTTCAGGTTTTTGTCTTATTTTTCCTGTTCTTAAAGGGGCCTATCACCCGACCCAAGTGCTAAACCACCCTGGAATCGGACATTTCTTCCTGGATCTAATCTCTATCCCACCCACGGCAGAGCTCCAGGCTAGGGTATAAGGATGTTCTTAGAGTTCAAAGGCAGAGAAGGCTCTGCAGCAGGGCTTGAGGGTAGGGGGAAGCGTGGCTTACTCACTCAAAATGCTTCTTGATCTTTTCTGACTCTGCATATTTGGAGATTCCATTGATGAAGAGGGTCCGCTTCACCTGGGTGACAGGGGAGTGGGTTTGCCTTCTGAGGCTTGACCCCAGTGGAGCCAGGGGATGTGAGGGGTGGGGGGCACTAGAGAAAGAGGCTTTGTTTTGAGTGGGTAGAGAAGTAGGTGAGCAGAGGGGAACAGATGGGGTGGGAGGAGGCCTTAGTTATGGATAAGCCAGGTCCCAGGGAAAGCAGGGGAGTGTTTCCAACAGAAATCAGGCAGTGAGCCTAACAAAAGAGCCACGCCGTCCCATGCTCTTGAGGGGTTATAGAGGCAGAAGGGGGTACTACTTTCAGCTCCTTAGACCCTGAGAACCCAGCACAGTGGCTGGCATGGAGTAGGTGTCCGGTTCTGGCTTGGTGAGTGCATGTAGAAGGGGAAGGAATATTACTATCCTAGGATCAGCCACTGCTATTTTCCCAAGTGCTGGGCACAGCACGGCTGTTTCTGTGTATTCCCCACAACCTTGGGGGAGGTACTGTTGTTATTCCATTTTACAGATGAGAAAATCATGGCTTGGGAGGTTATGTAACTTGCAGGATGGGAGCTCCTGAGCTGCTGTGCCAGCATTCAAACCTAGCTGACACCTCTTGGGGCTGAGACAAAAGAGGCCTGCAGGGAAGGGAAGGGAAGAGGCTGGGGATGGGGCAGGACCTGGGCTCTGCTCCACGCACCAGATCATCCTCCTTGTAGCGCATCTTGGAGGTGTGTCTACGCATGCTGTAGACGGTGAGCAGCAGATACAGGAAGGCGAAGGAGGTGTGCAGCCATAGCAGGTTGTTCCTGGGAGAAGCAGAGAGGATACATGGGAGCCACTGGGGCTAGGACACACTCAGAGGAGACACCTCAGCCTGTCAGTGTTAAACCCTTGATACAGACAGGGCCCTCTACTGCCACCAGCCTTCTGGCACTGACTCCTCGCAAGGCAGGCCCACATCCCACATCCCCTAGACACCAAAATTCTTCGATTCCAATGAAAATATCCCTGATAGGTCACCTTTCTACGCCCTACCCACTGGTTACAGTGTCTCCAACTGCCCCAGCTGGCCCTCCCTGGTTCCTGAGATTTCACCCTCCTCTTCTGTATCCTCTTCATCCTTGGGGGATCCTCAGCAGGCATTTCCCTCTTCTGTCTCCAACCCAAGCCCTCAGGGACCCATAGCCATCCCTGTAGGCTCTGCTCCCATCAACGCAGCTGCCTTTCCTCCCTGTCCCACATCATGGCCCAGACTCTGGTCGTAGACCTTGGCCTGGCCGACCAGCTTCGCATCTTACCCTGATTTCAAGTTGGCAATGGTGGTTCTCCCAAAGCTGTAGGCATTGTTCTCTGTGGGGTGGGAAGAGGGAGAGGATGATGGTGGGGTCAGGGCACATCCCCTCCAGCCCCATCCTCTCTCCACCCTAGCCGTCCTGGCCCTCACTGACCCAGCAGGTCCCCTGAGAAGTTGACAGGCAGCACGATGCCTACGGAGAGGACGCCCACAACCACCAGCAGCCCGATGATGTGCCGCTGAAAGGACAGGTAGTGCACGGCATCGCCCCCACATTTGTCCCGGATCTCATCATCCCTGCAGCCATACGGGTTGGACAAAGGAATTAGGTTAGGACCAGGGCAAGAAGGGGGCTGCAACTTGCCTGCCCTCACCCACTCCCACCCCAAACCCACCCTAGCTCCAGCTGATCTGGCAGTAGTATAGGGCTGAAATGGGACTTCTTGGTCCCCTATTTTCTGTGAAGGGAGAGGGGAGAAAGGGAGAAGAGAGGGGGAGGGAGAAAAAGGAGAAATGCATGGAGAAGGGGAGGGATGAAGGCAGAGGGCTAGAAGGAAAAGATAGGTAAAAGAAAGAAGAGACTGCAGAGACAGGAAGGGGAAGAAGAAAAATGAGGAATGCAGAGAAAAGGGAAGAAAAAAGAGAAATATCTGAGGAGGGAGGAAGGCAAGAGAGGAGGAGGACCAGCAGGAGGAGGAGTGGTGAAAGAGGCAGAAGTGAAGGAAGGATGGGAGGAGGGGCAGCAGCACCTCATGGGTGTGGCTGAGCCTGGCGTAGTGAAGCCCGGGTACCCTTGGGGGAGGCCTGGGGGAGTGGTGGCGGCAGTGCTGACCTGTCCTGGCTTCCTGCCTTTCTCAGCGCTCACTGCCTGCCTGCTGGACTCTGGCTGGATCTCCTGAGTTCTGCCTGCAGCTGGCTGGCTGCTCCCAGCCTACTGCTGCCCCCACTCACTGGCTGCACAGAGGTTGAGGCAGGGGCTCCACCCCCTCCCTCAAGGTGGGGCAGGGCAGGGAGAGAAGCGGGGGGGCCGGCAGGGGGTCACAGAGGAGATTATGGGGTCAAGTGAGTGTTCAGGGTACAGCAGAGGCTCAGGCACCCGAGGCTTGGCCTTTGAGAGCAGGGAGGAGGGTGCTGTGCTGGCGAGGAGTGCTAAGGCCCTGAAAGCTGCTGGCTTCTGAATTTTGTAGGGAGATGCCAGGTTCTGAAGTTTCTCTCTTTCTTTAGAGCTTGAAGATGGTCCACTTACTTTATCCTGAAGATGGCTGTCAGCCAGGAACAGAAACCCTGGGGGAACAGAGGGCTGTCAGCGGGAGTCCCCAGCCCACCAACCCGAACCTCTCTCCTCCCTCAAGTCCCACCCATTCTCATAATTACCTCCAGGCATAGCTTCCACACCCCTCACTAAAAAAAAATCCTTATACCCTCAGAACTAGCTTATACCCAAAAAGGGAGAGAGAGAGGGAAGGTCTCAGCCCTCAAAGAAAAAAGACCAACACTAAACAGGTTTATCTGTGAATCCCCATGTCCAGATCTACAGATTTCTGCAAATACCCTGTGGCTGTGTGGGCCAGGGTGGGATGGGTGGGGCTTGGGGTTCTAAGGTTAGCAGGACCTCCAGACCTCCGGCTAATAAGTTTGCAACATGGCTGCCAAAAGCAGAGAAGAGGGCCTTGCTGCCTGAATTCCAGCTATTTATCCTCTAGTCTACCCCAGAAGGACAAAAGCCCAGGGTCACTATGAGCTGCAAGGTATCTCCCCACCTCCGGCCAGGTGCGGTGGCTCACGCCTGTAATCCCAGCACTTTTGGAGGCCAAGGCGGGCGGATCAACTGAGGTCAGGAGTTCGAGATCAGCCTGGCCAACATGGTGACACCCCGTCTCTTACTAAAAATACAAAAATTAGCTGGGTGTGGTGGTGCGCGCCTGTAATCCCAGTTACTTGGGAGGCTGAGACTGGAAAATTGCTTGAACCCAGGAGGCGGAGGTTGCAGTGAGCTGAGATCACACCACTGCACCCTAGCCTGGGCGACAGAGCAAGACTCTGTCTCAGGGAAAAATTAAAAAAAAAAAAAAATCTCTCCCCTCCACCCTCCAGGCATGTAAAGGCAGAGAATGGGGATATTCAGGGGAGGGCTGCGCAGAGGGCACCCTGCCCCAAACTCCATCCAGCAGAAGGTCCAGACATAACACAGGATGGGGTAGAAAGGTGCCTTTCGGCCGTGATTCAGGACCATGCTACCTGTTGCCAACATCACCTGAGTCTGGGGACCATCTGGACACTTCTGGCTAGCAGATGTGACAACTTTGCCACCTACCAGTATGAGTCCAACTCAGGAAGCTGAAGGCCATCTTCTGCTGGAATTGCTGGAAGAGCTGCCACCCCTAGGACTTGCAGCCCAAGAGGGACTGACCAGGGCCACACCATGTCTGAGGATTAGAGTTCTGACTAGGCTCCTTACCCTCATGGAATTAATGATGGAGAGCCAGGCAGGTAACACCTGTGTGTTAGGTCTGATATGAAAGGGGTCTGGAGTCTGTTATGAATTGCCATTCATATGCCTTGTTAAAAGGGACCACTGCCACTCAGCTCCAATCCACAAGCAGGTCAACCGGCCCCACATGGCCAGGGGCCACCCACCTGCAACCTCCGAGCAACATGACAGATTCTGTTTTTCTAGGCAGGGCTGGAGGGCTTATTATTTCTTTTTTTTGTTTGTTTTGAGATGGAGTCTCGCTCTGTCACCCAGGCTAGAGTGCAGTGGCGCCATCTCAGCTCACTGCAAGCTCCGCCTCCCGCGTTCACGCCATTCTCCTGCCTCAGCCTCCCAAGTAGCTGGGACTACAGGCGCCCACCACCACGCCTGGCTAATTTTTTGTATTTTTAGTAGAGACGGGGTTTCACCGTGTTAGCCAGGATGGTCTCATCTAGTGACCTCGTGATCCTCCCGCCTCGGCCTCCCAAAGTGCTGGGATTACAGGCGTGAGCCAAGGGCTTATTATTATTTCTAAAACCATGACTACGGAAAAAAGGTGGCCTTAGGATTAATCAGCAGAAGTGGGCACAAAACTCTTTATGGCAAACAAAGTTGGGAATTCATGAATGTTAAGGCTGTGCTAGTTTGGAGACTGTGACATAGAGGACAGCAGCCAGGAGTTCAGGGCCTGGGGGGTCATCCTGTGGCTCCTTGGTTGAATCACTTTCTTTGCTGAGGAGGAGGCCAAACCAGCATCCCTGACTCCACATCACTGAAAGTGAGGGACTTCTCAGCCCATGTGCCCTGGGGGTGGGGTGGGGGACTAAGAAGTTTGGGGGGAGGGCACTCACATTGTCCCTTTGGTCAAAGTCAACGGAGCTGGAGACAGAGGTGAGACGCTCATACCGGTCATGGCTGTCCCCGTGCATAGCTGAAGCCACACTGGGGGTGAGGGAGATGAGAGATCAGAGAGCCTGGTGAGTCTGAGCCCCCGGGAAGCTGGGCTGAGTGCTCCAGAGCTCCAGGGCTACAGAAGGCACAGAAGGCACAGGAAGCGCAGAGGCTGAAGCAGAGAGGAATGACTGCCCTCTACCCTGCTTCCCTCAAATATGCCTCTTCCTTTCAGGGGGACTCAGGGTGGGAGCGGAGGTGGGCACTGATGGTGGGCAGTGGGGACTTGAGGGAGGAGGTAATCTTCATCATCTCCCTAAGGAGGCTGAAGCGAGAATGCCAGAGGGCCCTGCAGTTCCAGAGTTGACTGGCAGGGGCCGGGGGCGGGCAACGGAGCCAACATTATGCAAAGAGCAATGAGGAGGTGGAGGAAAGGATGGACCAGGAGAACCTGGAAGGGCTGGGGAGACTGGAAGGTCTCCTGGGTGGGACCCTACCCTCCGCTCCCCTCCCTCTTCCCTGACTCCAACAGCTGTTACAACTCCAACTCCAATCCTATAGACAGAGATGACAAAGTGACAAAAAAGCCCAGACTGGGGGGCTCCTTGGGCAGCCCTCCTCCCAGGCCTCCAGAAGAGGTGAGCAGGGAACCCTGGAATATGAAGAACTAGCTGTTAGCGGACAAGAAGCTGCTGGTGACACCCAATCTTGTCTCTACGTGATTGTGCTGAGGATTTCCTGGAGGACAGCCCCTCCCCTCCAGCCAACAAGGGCTGCATAGGCAGGGGCACACAGGGAGGGACTTCTCCCAGGCAGGGAGCCAGAGGGAGAGATGAAGGGGAGGTGAGGCAGAGACAAGCTGGGGAGCCCCCTGCTCTGCAAAGCACACCGCCTGCGTTAATCCGAAACATGAGCCTGCAGAGGAGAAAACTGCAAAAAGAAACCAGCAACTTGGCAGGAAGAGAAGAGAAGCGTGAGAGAAGAAAAGGGAAAGCTGGTTTAGTGGGAATGAGGGGGCTGGTGCCCCACATACTATTCCTGTTCCACTCGGTCCCTCTCCTGCCGCCGAAGCCTGGGGACAGAGAACAGACAGGGTTAGCAGGGGCGGGGGAGAGTCCCTGGGGACAGGTGAGGAACAGGGGCCCAACTTAGGGCCCTCATGCCCCCATGCCCACATTGGGGCTAGTCCCTTCTCATCCCCCCAGCAAAGGGGAATGAGAGAGGGCTGGCTCCTTCCTATTCCTGAGGAGTGTGGAACAAGATGTGTGTGTGGAGAGCTAGAGGGAGGGTCCCAGACCCTTACCTGTCTGCATCTGTCACCAAGGCCAGCCGCCCATAGTCCCAGGCCACCTTCCGGAGGATAGAGAATAAGAACAGCAGTGCCTGAGGGAAGAGGGGGCAGTTGGCAAGTGCAGAGGCTGTCTGTCCACCTGCTGGACTAGGGGGCAGAAGCAGAGGGTCCAAAATCTTGTCTTAGAAGGGGATGACCCTGGCTTGGGTGAATGGTCAAAGGCGAGGCTTGGGCTGGATGATGGGGACTCCTCCTGCTTAAGCCTGGGAAACCGGGGCAGGTGGGAGAGTGGTTAGAGCTGGAAGTGTTTGCCAGGTGTGTACAGGGCATGGATGCCAAGGTAAGGGGTGGCAGCAGGCACTTACAAGGAAGCACATGAAGTCGAGAGCCAGCACGGTGGGGACGCCCCCAAAGGGCAGGCCCTGCAGGACAGTGCTGCGGATGCGGGCGCTGTAGCAGTAGTCCTTGGGGTTGCTGTTGTTGAGGGCTGTGGTGCCCAGTGTGGCCAGCAGAAAGGGCAGCATGGCTGCTACTGCCGCATGGTCCTCCTGGGCAGAGGGTGGAGCAGTCAGCTGGGCTTGCCCCCATCCCCTTCATGGCCCAGTAGGGTGGGCGTGGGGAGGGGGCAGTGAGGACAGATCACCAGGCTGCCTGGGTGGATGGAAGCTCTGGCCTCTGGAGATAAGGGCCTAGGGAGGGGAGAGTTGAGTCACATGGATTTACCTTCACTGGCTCTCTGGCTATGACCCCACCCTGGGTCTGGGGAACTCAGTCTAGATGCCAGGCCTGGACTGGGGAGGCTGGTTTCATTAAGCTGGAAGGTATCTGTGATTTTCTAACATCTATCTAAATCCCCCCTGCCGCCGCCACCCCCACACTCTCATTCTCTCTGTCTTAGGGCAGGGGGCGGAGCTGAGCCTGGGAAGACAGGGAGGGGTCTTAGGCCTGAGGACTCAAGGGTAAGATGAGGGGTCTCCACGTCAGGGGAGAATGGGTCAGGAGCCAGCTGCCTCATCCTGATCTTTTCTTTCTATGCCTATTAGAAAAAATGGCATGATTTCATTTGGTTAGAGTTTTGAACTCAATATAACTGGCTTAGGTTCGACGATGGGTCAGAGTAGGAAGTCAAGTAAATAGTAGGACTTCTGGGTTTGAGTTACCTGCCTGGCCCCAGCCACTCCTGCTTATTCTCATTTCTCTTCCCCATACCATAGTCCTCTCTCCAGTTATTTGCACAGGGATCGCCTGAGTGTTATGAGCACTACAACTCCCAGAGTGCCATGCTCCTGCCTCTGAAGCAGGGAAGGCTGGGAAAGCTATGCCCTACGGCAAGCTTTTCCACTGGCAAAGGAGGGGGGAGTGGGTGGGGGCCTCTTAGCCTGCCTGGGCAGCCAGGGTGCTGCCTGGTTGCCTGCAACTGGCCGGCTGCATTGATGCTCAGAGTGGATGGGGTGGGCAGGAGGAGAAAAGGGACAGCCAGCCTGAGTGCCTGGGTTCTCAAAGTGCTTGGGGACAGAGCAGAGTGGGGCCCTGGGGAGGATCCCAGGATAGCGGAGAAGTGTGGCCTCAACAGATGCAGCACTGCCCCACCCATTTTACTGGGGGGTCCCTGGGGGACCCTTCTGCTGACAACACTGAAGCTCTGCCTCGGGGGCGGGCTGTGGAGCAGGGGAGGAGGTCCTCAGGGAAGAAAAAGGAAAACCAAAGAGAACAACAAAACTAGAAACAGTGACTGCAACTTCGGGAGCAGCATCCCTTAGCCCCCAGGGGGACTCAGAGGGTTTCTCCTGCCTCTTCCTAACACTTCAACCACAGGGCAAGAGGCAGAAGCCCTCAGATGGAGGGGAGGATGGAGTTGTTTATGTGTTTCACTTGGTCCCAGGGAGTCTCTGCAAAGCCTGGATTAGGAAGACTAAAGGAGTGTGTGCTGGTGTGTTATGCCTCTTCCTTTTCCAGTCCAAGCTGCCTTTAAAAACACACTAATTTAGTAATTGTATTGGGTACCATTTGTCCAGTGCCCTCAGTTTCAAGAATAATATATTACATGATTTCATTTAATCCTCGACGATCCTGAATTGAGTGTCACTGACATTTTAGGGTGGGGGCACAGGGCCTCAGAGGTTAAGTAACTTTCCCAAGGTCACACTGCTAATAAAATGAGGGACCTAGGACTCAAACCTAGCTCACCTTCTTTCTAAAGCTAGAATGATTTTCAGGGCACCACGGTGCTTTTCTGATGTTCCTAGAACAGGACTCGGCAGACCATGGAAGCTTTATAAATGCTCATTAAATGTTCTCAGGCCAGAGAACCTGTGGGTGCTGTGGAAATGTGTGTGTCCAGGTATGTAAATGTGTGTTGATGTGTGGACCTGTGTCCAGGAGGAGCTAGGTGACTGCATGGCAGTCCACGGAAATGAAGGGAGTTGTTGGCTTCGAAGTGGGGGTGTGAACATGGGTGTGTCTGGGAGCCCGGGTATGTAAACATAAGATGCACAGAACCCTGGGGCACTATGGGAGGTTAAAGGTAGGTATAGGTATCTTGGGTTGGGGGGACTCTAACTAGTCCCCCTTTCTCAATTCTCAACTCCAATGTACTCCAGCAATCTCAACACTCTATTCCCACCCCTTGCCTGTTTCTCTCTCTGAATTCCAAGGCTCCATCAGATCAGAATGAAATGAGAACAAGCCCCAGAGTACCATTCCTATCAACTCCTGTCTTCTCCACACCAAAGAAAGGTAGAGCATTTTGGAAGCTTCTACATGAAGTGGCCCCAGCAGGGTGGACAGGATCTAGCTAGATGGTTAGTAACTGAAATCACCATGCTCCTCTGCTGTCCGCCTCCTTGGGGTCACAAAGTACTCTCCCCTCCACAACAGCATTAATCTTCCCACCTGCATGGGAGGAAGGCAGGGCACACTCAGATCACTATCCCCATTTTACAGGGAGGAAGCAGGAACCCAGTAGGGGAAGCAACTTGCACAGTGACAGGACAGGTAAGGGGTGGAGCCTGGGCTGGCAGCTCTGCCAGTTGACAGGGCTGCTCCAAGCTTTTAATTGTGGGGGTGGGGTTGCTGGGTTGAGTTTCATCAAGGGCAGCTGCTCTCAAAGCCAGCACTGGGCTGAGCAACTGAGAAGAGGGAAGACATTGAGGCAGAATACCTTGGGGATGGGAGGTGGCAGTTCTTCCACTCCACGAGGTGCCTGCACCAGCTATATCCCAGTTTCTCTAGTCTGATATTGAGGTTTTGGTTGAGGTGTGTCCAGAGAGTGATGGAGCATTTTACTTCTAGCTAACTTTTTAATTTTACCATTAAGGAGTGTGTGCATGGTGGGGGTTGGAGAGCTATAACTTATAAGCTTTTTTTTGGGGGGGTTGTTGTGTATTTTTTTGAGACGGAGTCTCGCTCTGTCACCAGAGTGGAGTGCAGTGGCGCGATCTTGGCTCACTGCAACCTCTGCCTCCTGGGTTCAAGGGATTCTCCTGCCTCAGCCTCCTGAGTAGCTGGGACTACAGACACATGCCACCACGCCCAGCTAATTTTTGTATTTTCAGTAGAGACAGGGTTTCACCATGTTGGCCAGGATGGTCTCGATCTCTTGACCTCATGATCTGCCCACCTCGGCCTCCCAAAGTGCTGGGATTACAGGAGTGATATAAGCTTTTTCAGTGGAGTTACTGGGCAAGATTTAAGTTAGGGCTTTGGATCAAAGCAAGGCCATGTGGTCTGAGGGGAGGAGGGGAAGATGGAAGCGAGCTCTGTTACTACGAAACCTGAGTCTCAGTCTTCCAATCTGTAACAAAGAGATACAAATATCCTTACTCTACCCCTACCCACTTCAGAGAGAAAGGCAAGAATATATCCACAAGTGAGCATAAAAGTAGTAGTAGGTGCCAGGCACGGTGGCTCACACCTGTAATCCCAGCATTTTGGGAGGCCGAGCTGGGCAGATCACAGGGTCAGGAGTTCGAGACCAGCCTGGCCAACACAGTGAAACCCCGTCTCTACTAAAAAAATACAAAAATTAGCTGGGTGTGGTGGCATGCGTCTGTAGTCCCAGCTACTCGGGAGGCTGAGGCAGGAGAATCACTTGAACCCAGGAGGCAGAGGTTGCAGTGACCTTAGATCATGCCACTGCACTCCAGCCTGGGCGACAGAGTGAGACTCCATCTCAAAAAAAAAAGTAGTAGTAGGCAGGGTGGGGTGGCTCACCCCTGTAATCTCAGCACTTTTGAAGGCCAAGTGGGGAAGATACCTTGAGCCTAGGAGTTGGAGGCTGCAGTCAGCCATGATCATGCCACTGCACTCCAGCCTGGGCAAGAGAGCAAAACCTTGTCTCGAGGGGAAAAAAAAAAAAAAGCCAGGCATGGTGGCTCACACCTGTAATCCCAGCACTTTGGGAGGCTGTGGTGGGAGAATCACGTCAGCCCAGGAGTTCGAGACCAGCTTGGGCAACATAGCAAAACCCCGTCTCTACAAAAGATACCCCCCACCACCAAAATTTAGCTGGGCATGCTGGTGCATGTCTGTAGTCCCAGCTACTCCGGAAGCTGAGGTGCGAAGATCACCTGAGCCCAGGGAGTTCCAGGCTGCAGTGAACCAAGATCATGCCACTGCACTCCATCCTGGGCGACAGACAGAGACCGTGTCTAAAAAAAAAAAGGAAAGAAAAAAGAAAAACAGAAAAAGAAAAAAAAGTAGTAAAATAATAGTATTAAATGTTTATTTAACTCTTCTTTTGTGCCAAGCACTGTTCTAAGCACTTTACAAATGTAACTCATTTGCTCCCCATCACAACCCCAGGAGGACACTGAGATACAGAGAGAGTATATGAGCTGCTCAAGGTCACACAGCCAGTCTGTGGTAGACCCAGATAAGGACCCAGGCTGCCTGGCTCGAGTGTATGCTCTTAACCACTGCACTTTGCAGAGTTATCTGCAAACAAGAGCCACTTCCACCAGGGAGCCGGAGGCAGTCAGTTACCACACTGGAGAAATGCCATACCCTATTTCTACCTGCTTGCCTTTCCTCTTGCTTGTAGCTTCCCTCCACTCAGGCCTTGGGTTTGTGATTTCAGGTTCTGAGGCAGGCATAGGGGACAGGCACCATAGTCTGGTGGTTAAAAGCACAGACTCTAGGATGTGACAGACCAGGCTTCTAACCTGGGAAAATTACTTAGTCACCCTGGGCCTCAGTTTCTTCATTTGTAAAATGGGACAATAATCCAGTTGTGTTGTTGTTCTGGGGATTAAACAAGATGACTTATGTAAAGCTCTTAATATAGTTCAAGGCATATAATGGGCTCTAGGAATTAGTTATTGTTATTAATAAGGTATGGAATAAAAGGGGTTGGTTTAGAGAAAGAAAATTGGTAAAAACAAAAATAAGATAAAAACACAGAATGTAACATGATAGAAATATAACAGAGCCCCTCAGTCAGGTTGGGCTTCTTATTTAGACCTAAGGGTTTACACTGTGTTAGGGACTCTGCCACTGAGTGACAGGGAATATTCTCACTCTTTGAACATACCCCATCCATCTGTGGTAGCCTGGGAGGTGGAGGCATGGGAGAGTTATGGGTCAGAAGTTCAGAGATGATAACCCATTATTGATCAATTACCAGGAAGGATGCCAAGCTCTTTACTTCTGTTACCTTGTTTGATTCCCATGATAAAACTTGTAAGGAGGTGGTAGTAACCACACTTTTTTTCTTTTTCTTTTCTTTCTTTTTTTTTTTTTTTTTGAGACAGTCTTGCTCTGTCACCCAGGCTGGAGTGAAGTGCCACAATCTCGGCTCACTGCAACCTCCGCCTCCCAGGTTTAAGCCATTCTCCTGCCTCAGCCTCCTGAGTAGCTGGGATTACAGGTGTGTGCCACCATGCCCGGCTAATTTTTGTATTTTTAGTAGCGATGGGGTTTCACCATGTTGGCCAGGCTGGTCTCGAACTCCTGACCTCAAGTGATCTGTCCGCCTCAGTCTCCCAAAGTGCTGGAATTATAGGCATAAACACTTTTTAATGAAAACTGAGGTTCAGACAGGTTAAGTAACTTGTCAAGGTCACACAGCTGAAGAATAGTAGAGCTAGAATTTGAACGCAGGTCTCTAAGACTCTGCTATACTTGGAGAGAACTTGAATGATGTCCAAGGGGGTTCTTAGTTACCCACTGCCTGCCTTCTGCCTTGCCATGTCCCCATCCACCCACAGGCCAAGACTGCACTGAGTGAGCCAACAGCAGGCCCCAGCATGTGCCACCTGGGGCATGCCAAGGCCTGGACCCTCTGGTGCCCTGGAGGACAATCACGCTGCCAGCACACCCCCACTTGAAGCCTGGCTGACACTCCCACTCCCCACCTCACCCTGGCCTGGGAGGCAGGATGGGCCCCTCTTCAGCAGGTGTTGGGCACAGCCTCATTGCTCCCCGGCTGCTGCAGACTGGTAATGGGTAGGCAAGCCCCAGCCCCCCAGGGCGGTGGAGTGCTCAGGCTTGCCCCGAGCGGCCAGACCTCTGCCCAGGGGACCCAGGCAGGGGGCAGCACAGCGCCCCAAGGGCAGCCAGCCCCTCTGACCTCTCCTCCCCACTTCCCAAGCGTCCTTTCCTTTTCTGGGGAACAAGGTGCCAAGCTTTGGGACTGTCCGCCTTAGGCGGTCAAGACAGCCAGGAGGGACAAAGCGGCGCCCCCTCCCCACAACAGGGCCTTTGCCCCACTCTCGGTTTCGCGTCTGAATCTTTTCCCCACCGCACCCTCCAACGCAGGCCCGGGCGGCTCATGAATGAACTGCACTGTGTGGGGCGCAAGGAGAGGACACGCTCCCGGGGCCGGCCGCCTCTCCAGCCCGCCGACCAGTCAGTCCCCAGAGCCGGGGGCAGCGGCCGGCCTCGTGCCAGCACCTGCGAACCCTGCCCTTGCCCGAGCCCGAGCCCTTACCCCGGACCGGCTTCGGGTGTACTCGCCCCCGGGAGCAGCAGAAAAAATAAAAGGCACAGAAGGCATCGGACTTGGCGACCCCGGGGTCCAAAACTCGGGGGCGGGGGCGGCTAGTTCCCCAAACGGCGGCGGACAGGCGGGGCGCAGCTGGCACCCCCGAGGGTCGCGCAGGGGACGCGCACCTGCACCGGGCAGGTGGGAGAAGAGTGGCACTCGGGGGCCGGGGGCGGGGGTCCCACCCTTTGGGATCTCCCCGGGGCTGGGGAGAGCCGGCGGCGCGTATCTGGACCTCCGGCAGGGGTTGGAGGACTCACATTTGGCTCGGGATGGTGCGGGGTTGGGGGCAGCGCGCGCCACCCCTGGGTCCCGCGGGCCCGGGCACCTCTGGGTCCCGCAGGAGGTTGAAGGGAGGGGACGCGCAGCTGAGTCCAGGTTTTTTCTTTGGGTGGTGGTGGGATCTTCGAAGAAAAGAGCGAGGGCTGGGTAGGGGTCGCGTACTCACCCCCAGGCGCAGACTCGGCTCCGGCTCGGAGCCCCGGGTTGGGGCGGGGCGGGGCTGGGGGAGGGGGAGGGGGAGTCGCTGGGCGGCTCGAGCTCCGGGCTCCTGCGGCGGCCGCGGCAGTGTATGGGGGAGGGGGAGCGGGGGGAGGGAGGGGGAGGGGGCGGAGCCCCGCAGGTCCCGCCCCGCACGCCGGCGCACGCAAGGTGCGCGCGCACTCTCAGATCGCGTCCGCCGGGCTGGGCCTGGCGCGCAGGCGCTAGGAAGAGGCCGCGTGGGGCGAAGGCGGCGCTTGGCTGGTGGGGCCCGCGGCGGGATTTTCCCGGGCGGCGAGAGCGGTATGGTGGGGGGCAGGGGTGGGCGTTAAGTCCTCATTCCCTCCTTCTCCTCTTCCTTTCTCTGCAGTAGGGGAGGCCCACTCCCCGGGGTGAGTGAGGAGAGGCCAGAGTGGGAGGCAGAGCGTCAGTGGGAGGGGTCCCGACGGGGAGGGGGGGGTCCCGACGGGGAGGGGGGTCCCGACGGGGAGGGGAGGCCCCTTACCCGGATCCTCCTCCCTTCCGCTCTCCGTGGGCTGCTTCTGCGACCCCCAAGTCCGTGGCCGGCGCTCACCTGCTTTCCCCGGGTTGCGGCGTCGACTTGGGGAGGGCGGGCTGCGTTCAGCCGTCGCTGGTCACTCCGGAGCGTCTCCTCCGGCTTCTCCGCTTTCCGCGCTCCCCTCCCCTTTCCCAACTTAGGTCTGGAGATGAGTTAGCCAGACGCCTCTGTGGTGTGAGGATTGAGTTTTTGCTTTCACTCTGTCAACGCTGATGAGTGCGCCCTCCCCCAGGCCAGGGGGTTCCCTGGTTTCTTATTTCACCAGAGACTGCATCTACCAGTGATTAAGACTGGAAAGATGAAGGGAGAGACTGAGACTCTTTCTATATATCACCCACACAAATAGATCATAAAGGCACAACGGGCACCAACCTGGTCATTTAATTTCTGGTTCCTGGAGGGGACAAAAAGGAAGTATTGCTTTCCACAGCCGACGATAAATGAACTTTGCCACCGTAAGAGACGGACGGGACTGAATTTATAAAGAGGTTAAAAGGGCATATGACAGACACCTCAGGCTACTTGGGAAACTCTGGGAGTTTGGGAGATAATTAACTCTCAGGGCTGGTGGTGGTGGGGAACTGCCACTGCTGAACAGAAGGACACTGCCCACCTGGGGGGTTTGGATCTTGTAGTTGGTCAGCGTCTCTGCTGTATGCTGGATTTTCAAGAGTTCATTAGTAGCTTGTGGAATGCAACTGTAAGGTTTGATTTATTGCAGTGTTTTTCAAACTGAATCCTATTGGTGAGTTGGAAATCAGTTTAGTAGATCACGGCCACTTGAAATAGAAAATATCAGAGGGTGTTGCACTTAGGGTATTGTTTCTTGACACTTCAGGTGTACACACACGTGTGAGTGTACTAGGAGGTGTTCTACAGTGTGTTTCTGTAGGTCGCAGTGAGAAAAATTTGAAAAGCGTTGTCTCCTGTGCCCTTCTATTTGCCCTCTTGCCTTTCTTTGCCTGAGTTTTCAGTCACTTAAAATTGTCTGAGGATGCAGTTAGCATGCCAGGAATATACAGTAAAGAACAAGGTGGATCTTCTTCACGGAGGTTACTGTGTGAGACGAAAGACAGTTCACTGTTCATCACTGGAAATACTGTACGTGCTACTGAAAAACAAGGATTTTATTGAGGTAAGAAGTTGGTTGGCTTAATTAGGAAGGGCAGTTTTTCAACTGTGAAAGAAAGGAAGATGGAGATGAAGCCCGTTTTTGGTAAAGTGCTTGGTGGGAAGGGTCTTTGTAGGTTTGGATTCTGGGAGTTGTGAAATTGGTGTAATCTGTTGCTTGTGTGGAACAATAAAATTCACTTTGAGGTCAAATAGTATTATAATGGATATCTGAAAAATGGAAGTGGAAGCCATAGTTGTCTGGTTTTTGGATTTCTGAGGATCACTAGAAGGCCTTTTTTTTTTTTTTTTTTTTTTTTTTTGAGACAGTCTCTCTTGCCCAGGCTGGGGAGATCTGGGTGCAGCAGTGCGATCTCAGCTCACTGCAGCTTCTCCTGGGATCTAGCAATTCTTATGCCTCAGCCTCCCGAGTAGCTGGGACTGCAGGCGCGAGCCACCACTCCTGGCTAATTTTTGTATTTTTAGTAGAGATAGGGTTTCACCATGTTGCCCAGGCTGGTCTCCAGCCCCTGACCTCAATCGATCTACGCAACTCAGCCTCTCAAAGTGCTGGGATTACAGGCGTGAGCCACCTTGTCCAGCCAGAAGGCATTTTTTATATGTTTTTATTTTTTACAAAAAGTATAGTTATGAATCTGAGCATGTGGATTCCTGAACTATTTCTGCCTGTGCCTAATTAGGGTCAGCACCTAATCCTCAAGGAGTGTGTGAGCCATCAAGTGACACTTTCCAGGGCAAGCATTTCAGAAAGCCTGACATGAGAATTAAGTGCCTTGTGGAATCCTTGAAGAACAGTGGCCAAAATATTTTATTATTGCTCCTGAATATTAAAGATAAAATGTTTCCCTTGGGGCGGGGTGGATAACAACAACAAAATTTCCCTGGAGTCCACTTTTCAGGTGGTTGGGCACTGAGCATGGTTATTTAGACTCTTCTTAGCTCCTAGTCTTCAGTGTTGCAAGAATTCTTTAAAACCTATTTTGCTCCATTTATGTCTTTGGGATTATCATGCCTGGGCACACCTAAGGTGGATTTTCCTACTGTCAGGTTACTTGGATAGTTCTTAGGGCTGTAGGGGGGGTCTCGAAAAGCAGGTTATGGTTTAGCCTTCTATTTTATAGGCTCATGGTTTGTCTGGGTTGTAGCTTACCCTGGTGTGATTTTACATGTGTATTTACAGTGACAACTAGTATGCAAGAGAAGACTGCAGTTCAGATCTCAGAAATGTTGTTCTGGGTCAGGTAATATGCTGAATATTTAAAAAGGTCATAGTAAAGTAGCTTACCATTCACCAGTGAAACCACTCAGAGTAGGAGAGCCCTCTGTTAAAAACTCAAAAAATCTTTTATGTCTTAGAAAAGAGAGGAAGTAATTTACCATGTCCACTCTAAACTGAAAACACTTTCAGGGCTATGATCTTAAAGAGGCACCTATGGTGCTGCCCTGAGAATCAGGGAACGAGCTTGCTCTTCCTGGCCAGGATCTGGTAAACAAACTATCCTGCAGATCTAGTCTGTACTGGATAATTCAGAGAAGGATTGTCCACATTAAAATGATCCCTTACATGAGTGAAGCTAAAGCACTTCCATTTCCAGACCTCTTTGCTTTTCCCAATATGATCTCTGCTTGACAGAGAGTCGTTGAGACCCAGACAGGTGATTCCAGGGCCACAGACTTGGTGTGAGAGAAGGGGAGGATGGAGTGAAAGAGATATATGCTTTCCATCAGCAGCACCCTCCCACCCCCATTCTTTAACTTTTTCACACTACTCTCCTGCCTATCTGACATCTTAATAAACCTGGAGCCCACCTAAACCTGGCCCAATGGAGGTACTAATAGGAAGGGAATTATGTATATGATTCAGTAGAATTTTACTTTGACTTGTGCAGTTTTTCCTGAGTTTGACCAGATGAAGAATATTACAAATTTATATCTGGATTATAGATGTTTGTACACTTGTGAGGTAGGGATGGGAGGGGGAGCAAAACTGGAGTAGATAAAATATACAAATCTACACATTGAAAAACCATCTTGAATAATTGAGAATTGTCAGATCTATCTAAGTACTACTGCTTACTTTTTTTTTGAGGCAGGGTCTCGCTCTGTCACCCAGGCTGTAGTGTTGTGCTGAAATTATGGCTCACTGCAATCCCCAACCCCTGAGCTCCAGTGTTCCTCCTCCCTCAGCCTCCCAAAGTGGTGTAATTACAGGTGTGAACCACCACGCCCTAATTTAAATACTTTTGCAACAAGGTGGGGCATAAGTTATATAAACAAATATAGGACAAGAACCCTAGACATGTTTTCCCTTTGTGAAATGGGGTTGAGAAATGGGGTTTTCTAAGTGGTAGCTGTGGTGGAAACAGCTGATCATGCTATTGAGGGATACTTTACTTATTGATAGTGCTGCTGTGAGAACTCACACCTTGGCAGACCACTCAAAATCAGCTTTAGCTTTGGTCCGAGGCTGTCCTGAGTGTAGTGCAGATATTTATTGAAGAGATGGCTTTTTGTTTCCTGAGTTTTTTGAAGATTATGTTGCAGCCTTGCCAAAGGAGAAGGTGTACTTGCCCTGCATGTGGAACATTTATTTTATCCATGTAGCTTATTAGTGGCTAAAGCAGCATCTTCACTGTGCAAATATTGTGCAGTGTTTAATAAAAACAGCCTTGGGCTCTGGTCTGGGCCTTGTTGCCTTGTAACCTTGGACGAGTCAATCAACAAATCTTAGCATTTCTGTCTTCATTTCTCCAACTCTGTGGAGCCTGCAGAACTATTTAAAATCCTTAGCAGATTCAGCCCCCTTGCAGACTGTTGGTCTTTCCTGTTTGTCTTTGTTTCCATTGGGTGCTAGGACTGAAATCTTCAAAGAAAGTGATCTGTGTGAAAGTACTTTGAGATTTATAACATGCTATTGTGGCTATTGTGTGAGGTTACAAAACCACGCACACACCAAACTTCCTAAAAGGAAATAGTTGGGCAGCAAAAACAGTAATGAGTCTGTAAGCAACAAATGAAAGTACTTATTGGTCCAGAATGATTGAGGAGAAACCTGAGGTGGGAGGGGTTGTGTTTGCATGACAGGACAGAGGGTCCCAAGAATTCCTTTTTGTTTTTGATTTATTAGAGCTGCCAGGCCTTTGCTTTTCCTACTTTGATTAAGAAGGACATTTATATCCTCACGCTGGCAGAGTTTGTCCTTTTTGTGTCTGGGCTTTCCATTTGATTTCTCAGTCTCTTTTCCCGTCCGTTACATACTAGCAGAACCTCCTTTAAAGGCTCATTTGTGATTGTGCTGAACTTTTTGTTTTCTCCTTTTTCTATCATATCTAAGTACTACTTAGAGGCCATTTTCCTTGAAAGGTCTTTAAAATGTAACCGGCCAGGCACCTAAAGATTGAAATTGTTTAGGTAGAAACAATGTGTAATTATATATAGATCTGTGATACTAATTATATTTTGCTGATCCTCAAAACTTAAAGTAATGGTACTTTCCAGCTTTCCACAAAGCATCAGAGGTACAGGTTCTTTGTGTCTGCCCTTCCAACTCAGAGTAGCTAAAAATGAGCTCTCTGGCAGGGCGCGGTGGCTCATGCCTGTAATCCCAGCACTTTGGGAGGCCGAGGCAGGCGGATCACGAGGTCAGGAGATCGAGACCATCCTGGCTAACACAGTGAAACCCCCGTCTCTACTGAAAATACAAAAAATTAGCTGGGGTTGGTGGCAGGCGCCTGTAGTCCCAGCTACTTGGGAGGCTGAGGCAGGAGAATGGTGTGAACCCGGGAGGCAGAGCTTGCAGTGAGCTGAGATGGCGTCACTGTACTCCAGCCAGGGCGACAGAGCAGGACTCCGTCTCCAAAAAAAAAAGAGGGGGGGGAAGAGCTCTCTGTGCCTATGAGGCTCTCCCAAGTCACTGGGAGCCTGGGTGAAGGGCACAGGAAAAACCACCAACCCCTCTGAAATGGAGCCTCTCTGGAGCTGGAGGTTGAATTATAAATCAGTTCTTTTTTTTTTTTTTTTGAGACAGTCTTACTCTGTTGCCTAGGCTGGAGTGCAGTGGTGTGATCTCGGCTCACTGCAACCTCCACCTCCCAGGTTTAAGAGATTCTCCTGCCTCAGCCGGGCTGTAGCTGGGACTACAGGCACGTGCCACCACGCCCCACTAATTTTTGTATTTTTGGTAGAGACGGGGTTTCACTATGTTGGTCAGGCTGGTCTGAAACTCCTGACCTCAGGGGATCCGCCCGCCTTGGCCTCCCAAAGTGTTGGGATTATAGGCGTAAGCCACTATGCCCAGTCATAAATCAGTTCTGTCCACCTAACAGAGAGTCACTAAGCTGTAGGTGTGCTAGGCACAGTTCTGGGCACTGAGTGTCTGGCACTGAGCAGAGCAAGGGCTGGTCCCTGCTCTCACAGAGCATACATTCCAATGGGATCTGTAGGGCGATGGCAATTCCCCCATATTCCATTGAAATCCATAGTCCTCCCTTGCCTCTACAACTGAAGGGAGATCTTAAAGCAAGATGGAAAATTAGCATGGCTTAGATTGTATGAATTTGTTTTTTCTTTTCCTTCCACCCACCCTCTCTTCCCACCCCCCACCCCAGCTCTTTTTAAGGAGAAGTTGTGATTCATATTCTAAAACAGGAGGGTAATACTTAGTGCTGACCAGGAAGTGGCATGAAATGCCATCTCTGGCGCCAAAGTTTTCCAAATACCTGGCCTCCTCTAAGTGAGAGTGTTGTAGAGAAGGAACTGTCATTGAAGTCAGTCTCCTGTGCACAAGATCCAGAGTGACATTGCTTGTAAAACAACCATTGTATATAGACTAGGTCTGAAGTGATTCAGGGTCTGTGTCCATAGGGTGGATTTATGCTAGGAAATAATATCAGGGTCCATCAGAGTTGCTTTGAAGTAAATTGCTGCCTCCATTGCTCTTCCCTGATCTGAAACAGTTATTTTAGTGGTGGGATCAGGCATTTTCCATAGTAGGCAGTGTAGGCACCAGGCCCAGGAGGTGAGTCCAGGGGGCCTGGAAACAAAGCACGGGCTAATCCTCCATGATTAGCACCATCATTCTCTTACAGCATGTTTGCCTGACATGTCCTGATTCCAAAAATACAGATAAGAGCTCTGCCGTTTCTGGATTTACCTCCGTCAGAGCCATGGGGGACCTGTCTTTCTCCTGGCTACCTCATTTATTTTATTCAACAAGTATTTATTGCACTCCTACTGTTATCAGGACTGGCTGGGGTCTTTTGCTAGGGTGGAAGAGGAGGGTATAACAGTTTGTTTTTTTGGAGGGATAAGGGACATATATACAATAAGTGAATATTTGATTCTTTTGTGCTTTCAAGTTCATAGGAATGCTAACTGCTGGCCATTTGATGTCTGAGTCCTTTGGGTTTAGGTCTAGACGTCAATATCAGATCCACTAAAAAGCTAGTGAAAAGTCACTGAATTGGGAAGTGCTTCCTAGAGACATGAATATATCACTCTTGGGTTTGAGGGCAGTACAGGTAATCCTTACCATCGAAGTCTGTGTGGCTCCTGAATTCCTGTAGCACGTTCAGTTGCCATGTTGTCAGAATATCTGGTTTCTGAATTTTGGATAGTGAGTGGGAAGAAATAGAATGTTAAAGGACATCAGACTTATCTCAAAGTATACAAATTTACTCATTGTGGGTGTTTGGATAGTGAATATTGGTTCAGTGAGTGTTGCACTGGCACAAGGATGTCCCAGTGTTCAGGAGGGGTAGCAATTGATGCTGCCGTTTGACACAAGACTTTGTGGAGGAGATGCTTGTGGAGCTGGGTCACATTTGTCTGGGCAGAGATGAGTGTTGGTTGTGGAGATGGCTTGTGAGCAAGGTGCAGAGAGGAGGCCTGAGTTTGTGTTTGTGCACTGACAGCCTTACAGAGTGTAGGGAGGTGCTTTGTGATGATACCTGAGTCAAGAAAGTTCTGGGAAGCCCTTAAGTGCTTCTGCAGTTCTTGGACTAATGTCAGTGTTCTTGAGGAAGCAGTGCGGTGTTGAGAGGCAGGGTGTTGCACTTCTCGGGAGAGGGAATGTGGGTGGTGCTGGGTTAATCTTGAGGGTTCTGTGGCGTTGTTCAGGACGCTCTTCTCTCTCAAGGAGCCAAGGACCTGCCAGCATCAGATGGGAACAGCTTGGCAGGGATTTGAGTTAACTGCAGCCTGGACCAGAAGGACTCTGCTTTTCAGAAGTTTTGTTTTGTTGTTTTTTGCTAGTTTTTAGTTATTGCTCTGAGTATTGATCTCTTCTTGCCTCCTACACTACAAATTGTCTTCAAAACTTAAAGTGAATAATTTTCACCTGATATGTGTCTACATTTCAGTTGATTCAGCAAGCACTGAATTGGCTGTGAGTAAAATGTGCATGTGACGTCAGTATTCTTTTTTTTTTTTGAGATGGAGTCTCACTGTATTGCCCAGGCTGGAGTGCAGTGGCCCAACCTTGGCTCACTGCAACCTTTGCCTCATGGGTTCAAGTGATTCTCCTGTCTCAGCCTCCTGAGTACCTGGGACTACAGGCGGCCGCCACCATGCCCGGCTTATTTTTGTATTTTTAGTAGAGAAGGGTTTCACCATGTTGGCCAGGCTGGTCTCAAACTCCTGACCTTGGCCTCAAGTGATCCGCCTGCCTTGGCCTCCCAAAGTGCTGGGATTACAGGCATGAGCCACCGCGCCCAGCTGACGTCAGTATTCTTGATGGAACAAGAATGATTTAATAGTTGTAAAATATTAATATTTAAATTAAAGTTGCCATGTTTACTCTGTTGAGTAAGAGCATGGGTTTAGGAAGCCCACAACTGGGGTTCATATTTCAGCCTAGTCATTCCTAGCCATGTGACCTTGGGCAAGTTATTTAACCTCTCTGGGCTTTATTTCCTTGTGTATAACAATGAGGCTAATAATAATTGTACCCATTTCATAGGGTTTTTTGAGGTTTATTTTATTTATTTATTTTTGAGACGGAGTTTTGCCCTTGTTGCCCAGGCTGGAGTGCAATGATGCGATCTCGGCTCACCGCAACTTCCACCTCCTGGATTCAAGCGATTCTCCTGCCTCAGCTTCCTGAGTAGCTGGGATTACAGACATGTGCCACCACGCCTGGCTAATTTTGTATTTTTAGTAGAGACAGGGTTTCTCCATGTTAGTCAGACTGACCTCAAACTCCCGACCTCAGGTGATCTGCCCACCTCGGCCTCCCAAAGTGCTGGGATTACAGGCGTGAGCCACCGTGCCCGGCCATGAGGTTTAAATGAGATAGTAATGTAAGACACTTAGCCTGCTGTGTGACACATTGTAACCATTTGATAAGTGTTCATAAATAAAGAAACAGAAAGAGGCCAAATGACCCTTAAAGCTGCTTGACACCCAGGGCTCTCCTGTGAAATGAGCTTTGGTATAGCAGAGCAAGGCTGCAGAGTGCGGTTGGAACACTCTTGGACTGAACCTGGATCCAGTTCTGTTTCTGCCCTTGACTAATTGTGGGACTCTACACAAGTCACTTAATCTGCCTGTATATCAATTTTCTAATCTTTAAAATGATATATGACATCATGATGATGATAGCTAATAGGTAATGAGTGCCAGGCACTGTGCTAAGTGCTTTGCATGGCTTATCTAATTGAATCCTCATAACTACCTTGGGGGCAGATACTATTAGTATCCCTGTGTTACAGATGGTAAACCAAAGCTCAACAGTTTGGTTACTTGTCCAGGGTCATCTCACCAGTAAAAGTAAAGCTAGTCTCATTTGGTAGTCTGTGATTCTCTGTGTGTCAGATGTTAGTAGTTGCATACATTAGCTGCCTTCTTTTGCATTTGATTTTTCTGATCATAATTACATTTTGGCTGATGCTTCATGGGTTGTCTTAAGGAAAACATTTGGGAGTAAGTTTGGGATTTGAGGCTAAATTGTAGTTAATAAGCATTTAAAGGCCAGGTGTGGTGGGTGGCTCACACCCATAATCCCAGCACTTTGCGGGGCTGAGGCGGGAGGATTGCATGAACTCAGGAGTTCAAGGCCAGCCTGGGCAACATAGTGAGACCATCATCTCTACAAAAAAAAAAAAAAAAAAAAAAAAAACACAAAAAATTAGCCAGGCGTCCTGGTGCATGTCTGTGGTCCTGACTACTTGGGAGGCTGAGGTGGGAGGATCACCTGAGCTTGGGGAGTTCGGGACTGCAGTGAGCTGCAGTTGCACCACTACATTCCAGCATGGGTGACAGAGCAAGACTTGTCTCAAGGAAAGAAAAAAAAGTATGGAGTGTCTAGGTATTCCTGGGGAGGAGTGGATTCCCCTGCCCCACCCTAACATTCTTATTAAATAAAATCTTATCTGAGGTGGTTTGAACTTGTGCATAGCAAAGCTGTGTGTAAATACTACAGTGTAGAGGCTTTTCTCGGCAGACCTCTTGAATGGGCACCTCTGCTGCCAAACGTTTGGGTGGAAAAACAGGTGTGTTTTGCAGCTGGCTACAGGCCTTTCTGAAGCATGCTCTGAAGTGATGTTCAGGTGTTTCAGGGCACTGGCAGCCTCCATATTTGTTAGTGCTAGGGAGCAACAGGGTTGAGATTCTGAAAACTGGAGTCACAAGTCTTGGGTTGGTGTTTGCTCTTTTAGCTAACTCTTCAAGTTGGTTTCCCAAAGCCCACTTTCAGCTGTAGTATGGTGTAGGTCAGTTTTCCATGTTACAGTGTTTGGGAGACTGACCCAAATAAAGACTTTGGTCTTTGACTTGGCAAGAGCAGCCTTTGGCTTTGCTTTGCTGGCCTTGAGCTGTACAGGTGTTCTGGCCTTTACATTTGGGGGAAAGGTGATGTAGTGATAGACAACTTGGGTGGCTGCTTAGATAATTTACTTTCTTTTAGGGAGTTAAAGTGCTGGTTTCAGAAGGCATATGAATATCAAAAAGGGCAATAGTGTGCAGTTTTTCCTCTATGGAGGACTCGAGAAGAAGTCCCTGGCTGGGTTTATAACCAAGGGCTCATATTTTCCTCCTGCCTGTGGAAGTGATATAATAAGGAAGGCATTCTCCGTGCTGTTGTATTTTTTTATAGCAGAAGCTGTTGTGGGCCATTCTCCCTCTCCAACCCCAGAGTTAGAATGTGAATCAGCAAAATCGGAGCTACAGCTCTGTCTAATCATCTGTGTATCCTTTAACCACTAAGATTTATATTTTGTGACTAATGATCTTGTGCTGGAAGTGCCATCTCCCACACAAGTCCCCAAAGAAAACTGGCTTTAAGGGCTCTGACTTAGAA
The DNA here is from genome assembly GCF_000001405.40 of Homo sapiens. Taxonomy (NCBI): domain Eukaryota; kingdom Metazoa; phylum Chordata; class Mammalia; order Primates; family Hominidae; genus Homo; species Homo sapiens. Next base: position 44,116,661 of record NC_000006.12, on the reverse strand, counting down.
ACCAATTTTTCCCCCTCTCGTTTTTCCTGCAGGATCTATCTTGGGATCCCATGGCTTTCTTTACTGGGCTCTGGGGCCCCTTCACCTGTGTAAGCAGAGTGCTGAGCCATCACTGTTTCAGGTAACTTTTCCCATTAAGTTCTTAAAACTGTGTCTTTGTGTAAGCTTCCTATCAGGGCTGGGTATTACGGTGACTAGAACAGGAGTAAAAACTCAGGGAGGTGGGCATGGGGTTGGGGAAAGCTAAAGTGATCAGGCTGAGCTGGCCTGGTTGGTCTGGTCACAGGATGGGGGATAGGTAAAGAGGTGATGTTGCTGTTAGAAGTGTGATGGGGAATGGCATATGGCGGAAGCTTTTACTCTTCAGTCCTTGCAAGACTCTTACAGTGAATCTGACATCTCTCAACCCTATCATTCCCCTAGAGCATTAAAATCCTTTTAAAAACGGAATTTTTTTAATTACAAAAATAATACATGCTTATTACCAAGAACTTGAGCATGATAGAAGTGTGACACCCTCCCCTCCTTGTAGATGCTAAGCCAGGAGAGCACAGGAGGCACGCTTGTTGGCAGACATGCCTCCTGGCCCCGTCATGCCCTCATCCCACAGGCATTTCCTGAGCACCGCACCTGGGGTTGGCCATACAGAGATGAAAGAGAGTTGCTTTCTGTCCTGAAAGAATTCTCACTGTCAGCCACAGGAGCAAACTTGAAAATAAGTAACTCTAAGAAAATGTGATAGAATATTATAATAGAGGATTGTACAGTGCTTTGGAAGGCGTCATATAGGAGCTGCTAGTGGAGGAAGAGGAGGAGAAAGAGTGGAGGCAGTCTTCTCAAAAGGGAGATGGGGGCAGATCCTGTCTAGGCCTCCAGGGAGAATTGGGAGGCAGGGTGTGCTTGGGGAAGTGGTTCCTGGTTCTCCTGCCCAGAGTGGTAGGATGTGTAGCCTTAGAAGGTAGGTAAATTGGGACAAGGTTGTTGACAGTGTAGATGGTGGGGAGTAGCATCACTTTTATATTCTAAAGAGAGCTCTTTGTTGGCAAAGTGAAGTGCAATGGGAACCAACTAGGACACTAATGTCACAGTCTTGGTGTAGGAGAGTGAGCTGCTAAATGAAGGAAGTTGTTGGCGGGATTGGAGAGAAAGGACATAGGTGCTTAGGGGGTGATATTAACAGGACTTGGTGGCCAGTTCATGTTGGTGGAGAGAGGTTTATGGCTTGGCTTCTGGTACTGCTGGAGAAGCCATCGTCTAGATAAGTGTAGCAGCAGGCGGAGGTTTGCAAGGGGAGGCAGTGAGATGAGTTTGGGACCTACTGAGTTTGCAGTATCTATAGAGCATGTTGTAGGGAGTTGAGGAGAGTGGAAATATATAGAACTAGAATATAGAAGAGAGGCGGGGCTGGAGATGGAATTTACTAGTTGGCAGCAATGCTAATGGGTAAGATTGCCCAGAGTAGGCATAAAAAACGAGAGAAGAGGTCCTAGGATTACCCTGCGGAAACACCAGCATCAGGTGCTAGCATCAGGAAAATAGGAATCCCACTGTAATCAGCTTGCTTAATAATACCTTGTCTGCCTTCAATAAGTACTCTCTAAAATTTTTTTTTCTAATGAGAAAAAATGTATTAAAACAGAAGATTGTTACCTTGACTTATTACCAGTTTCTGGTATGTTGTGTCAGAGAATTCCCTTAGTAAACTTACCCATATCTTCTAGTTCCCAGCAACATGTAAATAAGAAAATTAGGGGACCGGGCGCGGTGGCTCACGCCTGTAATCTCAGCCCTTTGGGAGGCCGAGGCGGGCGGATCATGAGGTCAGGAGATCGAGACCATCCTGGCTAACACGGTGAAACCCTGTCTCTACTAAAAAATACAAAAAATTAGCTGGGCATGGCAGCAGGCGCATGTATTCCTAGCTACTTGGGAGGCTGAGGCAGGAGAATGGTGTGAACCCGGGAGGTGGAGCTTGCAGTGAGCTGAGATGGCGCCACCGCACTCTAGCCTGGGCGACAGAGCGAGACTCCGTCTCAAAAAAAAAGAAAATTAGGGAATGGTGTATTCTGGGGAAGCAGGTTTTTCAGGATAGGCAGTGGGTGAGGCCTAGCCCATAAGGGATTCCTTTAAGTCCTTAGAGTCCTTTTGGAAAGCAAAGGCTTTAAGTTATGGCTGCTGTGAAGTTCATTGTCACAGAAAAATTGGGTTCTCTTTAAAACCCATCCAAATTGAGACCTTGACACAACAGCAGAAGCTCTCAATTGTGAGGAAACTGTTGTGGGTACAGATAAGTCTTCACAAAGTCCTGACTTTCTGTTGCTGCTCCTGGACAGCACTCTGCTCTGTGTGTGTTGCTGACATGTACATTCTCCCTAGCCTTGACCTCTCAGAGGCCTGTGCACCCTGACCATAAGAGATACAGACTGCAGACTTTTTTTTTTCCTCCCACCAGCACCACTGGGAGTCTGAGTGCGATTCAGAAGATGACGCGGGTACGAGTGGTGGACAACAGTGCCCTGGGGAACAGCCCATACCATCGGGCTCCTCGCTGCATCCATGTCTATAAGAAGAATGGAGTGGGCAAGGTGGGCGACCAGATACTACTGGCCATCAAGGGACAGAAGAAAAAGGCGCTCATTGTGGGGCACTGCATGCCTGGCCCCCGAATGACCCCCAGATTCGACTCCAACAACGTGGTCCTCATTGAGGACAACGGGAACCCTGTGGGGACACGAATTAAGACACCCATCCCCACCAGCCTGCGCAAGCGGGAAGGCGAGTATTCCAAGGTGCTGGCCATTGCTCAGAACTTTGTGTGAGTTGAGCCCAGGCCTCTGGTTGCAGGACTCGTGAATGGAGCAGTTCTGAGAACCACCCTTTTGCTAAGGGAGCTTGGGAGCCACATGGCTGCTCCCTTCACACTGGGTAACAGTGTAGTATCCTGTGAGAGAATAAATGTATTCATTTATGTGTTTTTCCAGAGCTTTCTGGGATGTGGGAAAATAAATTACACTGAAGCAGTTGAAAGGTGGCTTACCCGAGTCTGGCCACACGGGGTAGCATTCTTTACATGGAGCAGCCTTGGTGCCAGGGTCTGAGCCCTTGCTTTTCTGGTTTGGACCCTATAAGTTCATCCAGGACTGTCAGGCCCTGGAAAACTGAGGTACACACCAAATGCCAATTTATAAATGTACCATGGCTCTAACCAAAAGATATTTGTTTTTATTTTTCTCATCCAAAATATCCTCTTCCTGTATTAGTGGGCTTGAGGCTTTAAATGGTTATAAAGATGACCGGGTTAGCATGGAATAAGAGCAGAGAGGCTGATTTAATCTAGTGAACATTTCTTTTAGGCAGCAGTAAAGCCCAGACAGTAATCCTTTCTTTATTCTCGATAGTCTGCCGGAACACTCCTCTGTGCCCAGTAGCAGAGCTTCCTTCCTGGACTGCTGGAGAAATGGATACATTCTTAAATTTTGCAGATGACATAATCTTGGGCCTGTGCAGGTGATTCAGTGACAGTTATCTTTCGTTCATCTGTTGGTCTGCATGGGAAGATTTAGAGGCTCCCTTAGTTTCTTTAGTGGAACCTCATCAACTTATTTGTAAATTCTTTTTTTTTTTTTTTTTTTCGTTTTTGAGACGGAGTCTCGCTCTGTCACCCAGGCTGGAGTGCAGTGGCACGATCTTGGCTCACTGCAACCTCCGCCTCCCGGGTTCAAGCAATTCTCCTGCCTCAGCCTCCTGAGTAGCTGGGATTACAGGTATGCAGCACCACACCCGGCTAATTTTTGTATTTTTAGTAGAGACAGGGTTTCACCATGTTGGTTAGGCTGTTCTTGAACTCCTGACCTTGTGATCCACCTGCCTGGGCTTCCCAAAGTGCTGGGATTACAGGTGTGACCCACTATGCCCGGCCCTTTTTTATTTATTTATTTAGAATACCTTAGGTAGTTAACTCATTAAATGAGTAACTAATCACAGTGGCTTCTGAGAGTCAGAGTAGGATAATAGTTAGGAACACAGGCTCTTGTAGCCAGACTGTAAGGGTTTGAATCCTGACTCTACCACTTAATGACTGTAGGCAAATTATTTTACTTTTCTGTGGCTCAGTTTCCTTACCTGTAAAAGGGGGATGTAATAATGGTCCTTCTTGATAGAATTGATGTGAAGATTAAATGAGTTTGTACCTGTAAGTGCTTAGAATGATAACCTGGCAATAATAAGCACTCAGGTTGGGCATGGTGGCCCATGCTTGTAGTCTCAGCTCCTCAGGAAGCTGAATTAGGAGGAGCACTTGAGCCCAAGAGTTGAATCCAGCCTTAGCAACATGGCAAGACCTGTCTCTTTAAAAAAAAAAAAAAACACAAAACACTCAATAGATACTTTTAGAAATAGGAATTAGCTATTTCCTATTGTCACGACTGCATGGGTCAGCACTGAGAAAACAAAGGTGAGTAAAAGCAGGTGCGGCCCCTGCCTTCCTGGAGCTTATAGAGTCCCAGGGGAAACTAACATGAATCAATTCCTCAAACAAGTGCAAAGTCCCAAGTGTAGCAAGGGTCTGTGATAAAGGAGCTAAGAGTTTTTCAATGGGATCAGAGGCAGCTCCCTGAGGAAGGATTGCATCAGCTGCAGTCCGAATAGGTACAGTGATAGAAGTCAGTAGTGGTTACCTGGTGGGTAGGGAAGGTGTAGACTGGAAAGGGGAAAGAGGGAAACTTCTGGGTCTCAGGAATGTTCTAAATCTAGATCTGTGTGGGAGTTCCATGAAGATAGACATCTGTAAATACTTACTGAGCTGTATACTTTAGTGCACTTCACTCACAGTGAAATAAATGAATAGGCATTAGCTAGGTGAGAGAAGAGGAGGAGATGTTGCTGGTAGAAGGAAGGGCATGTGCACAAACCCTGTGACAGGAGGGAATGGGATAAATGCCAGGTCTAGAAGAAAAAGCCAGTGTGGCTGGAGCCACAAGAGGGAACATGGTGTGGGTTGAAGCCAAAAGAGGAGTGGGGCCTTACGAGCCCTCGGAAGATTTTCCTCATACTGGGGGCACTGGGATGTTGTTGGAGAGTAATTTAGCAAGTGGGATAAAGCTGGTGGGAGGGGAGACATGGTTAGATTTGCTCTGCAGAGAGCTCCTCAGGGAGGCCAGAATGGGTGAGTGTGTGCTTTGCAATAGACTATATGCGAGGTGATAATATGGACCAGGATGGTGGTGGAGGGCAGTGGGCATCTTTAGGAGGTGGAGTTGACTTGGTAATGGGTTAGTAATGGGGAATACTAATGGGGAAAGGCCAGGGATGGGTCTGAGGTTTCCGGCTTCTATGCCTGGATGGTTGGTTGTGTTGAACTTGGAGCTAGGCTGGAGGATTAGGGAGGAAGAGCAGTTGTGGGCAAGCTGAATGGAGGTGCCTTTGAGACATTGAAGAGATGTCGAGTAGGTAGCTGGATATAAATCTCTTAAATTGGAATAACACTGAGGACACTGAGTTTCAGAGGTAAGAGGTGATTTCTCAAGGTTCTACAGTTATGAAGTGGTAAAGCTGGTCTCAGAGCTGGATCCTGTGACTTCCAACCCAGGGTCCTCCCACAACATCATTGGGTCTTCCTTTCGTAATTGATGAGTCTACTCCATCTTGACCTGATTCTTACTAGCTGTGATTCTAGAGGCTGATGTTCTGATTTTCCTGAGTTCTGTGGGCACACCTTGGAGTCCGTTGCCCACTGAACGTTGACTGCAATGAGGCAGAGGCTCTTAGTTTTACATCTTCCATTGGAGGAGCACATCGCTCCCCAGGGCTCCTCTGACTAAGCCTGATTCAAGGTACTCTGGGTATTTTAGGAGCTAATATCCTTTCCTTCTGGCCCTCTGGAAGGACATGCTCTGCTGCAGTGGTTGGATGTGGCCAAGGAGGAGGAATCATCGAAACCAGGGCCTGCTTTGCCAGTGGTGGTTCTCTCCAGTGGCAGGAGCTGGTGCTCAGCAGGTTCTGAATGTCCCTGCTTTCTGTGCTACTTCCTAAAGGCTGTGGGAGGTAGAGAACCCTGGCCTGAGGCAAAGGGAGGGTGGAATTGTTCTTAGCCTGGCACCACTTGCTCAAGGGCTGGACCTTTGCTCTCACTGGGGCAGCTTGACCCAAGCTGCCTTCTGGCTTCTCAGGTGGCTTGCTTTCTGGGGTCAGCCTCACTTCTTCCTCTGCCCTTAGTCAGCAGGAAGTGTCTTCCTTTCACGTGCTTGCAGGGTGCTGCCTCCCCTCACCTGCCTCCCTGCTGTTGAGGTTCACCAGAGTCATTCAGATGACTCTCCTCTGTCCTCGCTGTCCCCTCCTCTGGTCTTCATGGACTTAAACCCTCTCCCCAAGGTGTTCTGTGCTGACCGCTGGAAGGCTGTGGTTTCAACAAAGACTGTGGCCAGGGCCTGTGACGCAGGCCCTCGCAGCACAGCCCAGAATAGCCTCGGCTTTGCTGCTTTTCCAGCTGCCCTATCACTTTGCAGGCTGGAATCTAATTTGCTGTCCACCCTCTCCACCCCAGTCTCTCAGCCAGTGCTGCTTTCTTTGCCCATAAAATATTTATAATCACAGATTATGTTTCCCTGTGAATATAAACTTGCTTTTGTTGTTTTTCCCCTTCTGTGCCCTTAAGAATCTGCCCCTGACAGGCCAAAGGGCTTTATTCTCTGGGTTCATGGACTTCATCACACTTTCTTTGCTGAAGTGGCTAGCTCCGCTCATGATCCTACTCCCTCTGCTAGATAACTGCTGAAGAAATGTGAGGAAAGAGCTCTAGGTTAGTTACTGTAGTCAGAGACCTGGGTTCCAGATGGAACCCTGCTGCTAACTAGCCACAGCCTCTGGAGGAGTTGGGAGCTTATTGCTTGAGGGCTTGGTGCTCAGGACCTCTGGCCAGTGGGTGTGACTCCTAAGGACCAGCCACATTGAGGGATGTGCTCTTGGCTGTTGATGAGGTGAGGGGGACCTGACCAAAGCATGTGCAGAGAGGCCTTGCCACCATCGGCACTCCTGAAGCTAGTCATCTCTGGCACAGATGTCCAGTCCGCTTTCTGTGTGCCTTTGGGAAGTAGCACAGAAAGCAGGGAAATTAAGAGCCACTAAGTACCAGCTGCTGCAGCTGAGGAGAAGCACTCACTACTGAGTTTCTCCCCTGAAATTCTCAAGCCCAGCCTTGCACTTAGGAGGGCAGCAGCCACCGTGAGGCAGAATTCACTGGAGGCGTGCCTCCTCCTGTGTCAAGAGTGTGGAGGAGGGCCAGGGCCGGGGTCAATCCGGGGGTGAGATCCTACTGTGCAGGTGGGAGCCCAAGGCCGTTCCGCTCCAACCTCCCCGTGCGCAGCCTCCTCAGTGTCCTTGCTCGGGCCTCTCATTGCCTTTCTTGGCCTCTTCTCATGGTCTTTCATTTTCTTTCTCAGTGGCTGAGAAATCTTGTTTTTGACAAAAATTGTATGATACTGGACTCAAATGCTTAACTGAAATTCGAATCTGTACCAGCAGCTGCATGTCTTTTCTTCCTCTAATTTTGTAATTCATACTTAAAATCATGGGACTTCTGTTTCATTCTTTCCCACCGGGAGAATGGTAACGGATCACAATTAAGTTCTTTCCAGCATTTTCGACACCTTCTTGCTGAATTATTTTGCCAAATATTAGTAATTTTCTGAATTATTTGGGCTTCCTGGGCTGAAAGTGGTGATGAGTTTGCTTCTCAACTTTCAGTATAAAGATGGTGATTCCCAGCTAGATTTGGGAACAGTAATCTGTTGTCATTTGCTTGATATTATGGCAGGCTGTTTCATAAGACATGCTGCAGGCATTTTTTAAATGAAAATTAAACTTATTTTATTTTGGTAGTTTCACAAGAACTCTTGAATAATTGTGATACCTTTGGATATTATGAAACCTTGATTGGCAACTGATTTGAGGCCAAGTGTTTACATGCTCAGTAGAGACAGTTCTTGGCCGATCTTGACTGATGATCCAGTGTGTGATCACAGCTGCTCTCCCTGCTCCCCACTGAGCTCCCTGTTGATTGGCACCACTTCTCAGGGGGCTGCCCAGCACAGGAAGAGGAGAGAAAGAGAGACCTTTGGGTGCTGGCCTTCTCAAGGGATACTATACCTGGCCTCCAGTGGGTTTCCCAGGCAGGGAGTGGGCTGTGCTGCCCCATCCCCACAGGCTAACCCAGCGCCCTTCCTGGCTGGCCATGGCTGATGTCTGCAAAGAGGCAGGTACACATGGGTCAGGGAGCAGGGCTTTCATTTGTCCGTGTGTCTACTAGCATCCTGTCAACCAACTGCATTAACTCATCAGTTACACTGCCAGGTCTGGTAAAAGGTTTGCAGGTAAAGAAGGATGAAATCCTTGTCTGAAATTAGGTTTCAAGGTTATCTCTGGATTTTGTTTCTCCAGGCTGGGTCCCCATAATTGAGGGCAAGGCTTTGTTGGAGTTAACTCACCTATAGCTTCAGAACAGTTTATTTCAAAACAAAGCTGAAGTGGATTCCCACCATTGTGGTTTAGACCATTCATGATGACCATGTCGACTTGGGGAGCTGAGGAGCCAACCACATTTCACATATGAGAGTAACAGATTTGGGACTAGAACTTGAGTTTTCTCATGCCCAGTCCAGCTCTTTTCACTGCATCTAACTGTGACATAAGACACCGTTTCACTCTGTTGCCCAGGCTGGAGTGCAATGGCGTGATCTTAGGTCACTGTAACCTCCACCTCCCAGGTTCAAGTGATTCTCCTGCCTCAGCCTCCCAAGTAGTTGGGATTACAGGCGCCCACCACCATGCCCAGCTAATTTTTGTGTTATTAGTAGAGATGGGGTTTCTTTTTTTTTTTTTTGAGATGGAGTTTTGCTCTTTCGCCCAGGCTGGAGTGCAGTGGCACTATCTTGGCTCACTGCAAGCTCCGCCTCCCAGGTTCACACCATTCTCCTGCCTCAGCCTCCTGAGTAGCTGGGACTACAGGTGCTCGTCACCACGCCCAGCTAATTTTTTGTGTTTTTTTAGTAGAGACGGGGTTTCACCGTGTTAGCCAGGATGGTCTCGATCTCCTGACCTTGTGATCCACCCGCCTCGGCCTCCCAAAGTGCTGGGATTACAGGCGTGAGCCACCGTGCCTGGCTGAGATGGGGTTTCAACATGTTGGTCAGGCTGGTCTCAAACTCCTGATCTCAAGTGATCTGCCTACCTTGGCCTCCCAAAATGCTGGGATTACAGGCGTGAGCCACCATGCCTGGCCCGAAAAATACTTTTGAATGGGGCCATACCTGTCCCGCCTGAGGGGCAGGAAGCAGCATTGCTTGTGAGGAGTTGAGAGAATTTCAGCTGCGCTGAGGAGCAGGACTTCCCAAGGCATGTGGACCAGGTGGTTGGAGTATGTGGTGCTGATGGGTCAGAGGGAGGCAGGATGTTTGTGAGCTGTGGTCTGAAACCTCTCCGACCCCTGCATTCCTCACTGGGTCTGAAAGCTTCAGAGCCCACCTCACTGCTTTTTCTTCTGAGTAGGTGCTTCCTCACTGGGATCCATGTGATTTCTGAACCCCCCTGGCAGACCTCTACCTCTATGCAGCACTTTCCAGTTTGCAGTGCCTTCACCTTTTAGTCCTAGAAAGTTTCTTCCAGCCTAGAACTTCTGTGACTCCAGGCCTTGGTGACAACTCTGAGTAGTAGGTAGGGCTGGTGTCCCTGTTTTAAAGATAGGAAACAGTAAGTAAGTGGTAGAGTTGGGCCAGTGTTCTCCTTCCTCTGTGGGGCCCAGGCTGAGCCCTGTTGGTCCTCAGCATAGCACTTCTTACAGCACTTTGAAACTGGGCAAGCCCATGGGCTCAGGAGCAGTCTCTGTCTTGTTCATAGTTCTATCGCTGATGCTTAGTAGATGCACAAAAATATGAGAGCTGAAAAGTTAAAATTTGTATTCTCAATTTAGGAGTCTGCATATAGACATCTAGTATAGGGGTTGGTAAAAATTAAGACATTATGGAGTGTCTACAAGGACCCATGGTGGACAGAGTTGCCTGTCTCCACATAGATCCTTATCCCAAGGGCTTCACCCACACTGGCCAGATGCCCAGTGTTTTCTGTTTCCCCATTAAACTCCAGTTTATGACTCCAGTTTAAGATATTCTATGATGTCTATAACTGCTTAAGCTGGCACGTATTTTTACTCTTCATGTTTAGGGGGAAAAAAAAGGCTGTACAAGAGATAAGGCAGTGGTTCTCAGCTGGGGACATTTGGCAATGTCTGGAGATAGTGTTGGTTGTCACAACTGGGGGCAGCATCTAGTGGGTAGAGTCCAGGGATGCTGCTGGCCATGCTACAATGTGCAGGACTGCCCGCACAACAAAGAACTCCCTGGCCCCAAGGGTTGACAGTCTTAAGGGTGAGACTAGGTGGGACCTGTTGTGTATAAGGAGGACAGAGAGCATCTGGGAGTCATAGTGAGCCAATGGTTCATAAATAGTGGTGTAGAATTACAGGAATGAAGCCACATTGCAATCCATGGAGATATGCACTTGATCACTGTTTATCTGCTGATTGCCATGATTTGGGCCCTAAAGCTGGAGTAGGTGTTGGAAAATGTAGAAAGGCTGCAGTTTACTGAAGGGTTGAGGCCAGCAGTCAAGGCCATCGGAGGATTGGGGCCATTTGGCTCACAGAGTGAGGTGGGGAGAACTGGTCCACATGATTGCATGTGCAGTGCTCTGGGTGGGGGGTTGAGGCCAAAGCTTTAGCTTGGGCTCAGCCACTGGCTCGCATCTCAGGTCACTTTAGCTGGTCACATTTCTCAGAGCTTTGGTTTCTGCCTCTGCCCTTACCTCTCAGGACTGTCTTAGCAGTGGCACCAGCAACCTTCCTGCCTTACAAATCTTACAACTTTGGAGTCACTTTTGGGTTTGTCCTACTTTTCTCTTTTCTTTTTTTTTTGGAGACGGAGTTTCACTCTTGTTGCCCAGGCTGGAGTGCAGTGGCACGATCTCGGCTCACCACAACCTCCACCTCCCGGGTTCAAGTGATTCCCCTGCCTCAGCCTCCCGAGTAGCTGGGATTACAGGCATGCGCCACCACACCTGGCTAATTTTGTATTTTTAGTAGAGACGGGGTTTCTCCATGTTGGTCATGCTGCTCTCAAACTCCAGACCTCAGGTGATCCACCTGCCTTGGCCTCCCAAAGTGCTAGGATTACAGGCGTGAGCCACCGCGCCTAGCCTCATTTTTGTTTTTTACGAAGTCCTGTCCATTCTCCTACAGCAGCAGTGCTGTTCCTTTTCCTTCTGGAACTTCACATTTCAATCCAGGGCTCTGACCTGGTCTTGGCATGCTGCCAACTTCTTGCGACAATCTGGCTGCCCACCGAGGTAGAAACCACATCTCTTTCAGCCTTGGTCTGTGGCATATGGTAGTAGGAACAGACAAGAGAAACCAATTTATTGAGGGCTTGCTTTATGCCAGTTTTGTGCTGGACACTTTGCATATTCTCTTCCAAGTCTTCACAATGATGCCGTGTGATTATTGTATCTGATTTATGTGTGAGAAAACCCAGGCTGAGAAGAGTTAAGGGACTTGTAGTCAAGTGGCAGGCTGAGATTTGAAGTCAGGACCACCTGACCACATTTCTTCTGCTTTTTCTGCTGCACTGACCTGTGGTGGAAATATTTCTTGGTAATGTGCCTTCCCTCAGCTATTAAAATAGTTTTCCGGAAGCATCTGTTGGATGACCATTGTGGATACTTGTAGTTACTTCCAGTTGCCTCTTAGGTCAGCACCTTCCGGCCCAAGCTGAGGTCAGTGCTTCCTGCTGGAGGTTGGCTCCTGGCCTTATTTAACACCACTGTTTCCTGTCACTCCACAGCTTGGTCATCTACTCTGCCAAGGAAATGGGCCAGTCTTCATTCTCTGCACTTAGCCAACTGGGGGCTTCCTGGGTCTTGGCTCACCCTGGAGCTGTTAACACCCATTTTCAAGTGGGTTCCTAATGTTTGCTGAGTGAGTTATCAAGTGAAGAAAGAGTGTGGGTTCTTCCCCATCCCCACAAAGGGCCACCACTCACCTCCAGACCCAGTTCCTCATCTGGAAAACCCAAGCTAAGGAAGTCCCTTGCAGCCTGGCGGAGGAACTCTGCTCACTTGGTGCTCTCAACCTGGAGGCGGGGGTTTGTCCCACTTGGAGACCTCGACTTTGCTCATTGCTTCTCCAACCCTGTCGGTACTGTTGCTGCCTTTACACCGGCATAAGCCATGCTGACCCCACAGGTGAGCCTTGGCACATCTTTGGCCTGGAATGTTGTTTTCTCCTTGGAGAAGTGGTCGGTCTGTGGAACCCTGCTCAGGGTGTCTCATCAGTGAAGTTCTGTTCAATTGACATTGGTTGAGCCCTGGGTTGGACATCTTAATCTGTCCCTCGGGGTCCCTCTCACCCTTTTCCACCCTGCCCTGTGCCCCAGGAGGCTGACCTGTATGGACTGCATCAGCGGGCTCCCATTCCTGCAGGGCTGACCACACTCTTCAGTCATATGTCACAGCCCCTCAGGCAGTGCTCTACACTCTTGGGGCCTTGGCGTCAGGGCACTACAGCACCCACTGTACTGGTCCACACCTTTGTAAACAGTCCCTTTGTTAAATTCTCCTCACATTATCCCAATTCAAGTGGCCCCTTGTTGCCTGCTTGGACGCTGACTGATGCAAACATTTACTGTGTGTGCCCAGATGGGCAAAATATGGATCTTGCCCTGGAGAAGCTCTCAGAAGGGAGACAGATCCATGAGCAGTTTCTGCCTCCTGCAGCAGGTGACAGGAGCCCATGTGCTGTGGCAACACTGACCCAGGAGGGTCAGAAAGGCTTCCTGAGGAGATGCCCAGAGCCTGGAAGCTGGACAGTCAGAGTTAGTCAAGTGACAGGCTGAAGTGGGAATACCCTTTCATCCCAGCCAAAACCAGAGGTGTGATGCCGGGTGGGATGTGCCGGGACCTGCCAGCTGTTTGAGGTACCTAGAGGGTTGCAGTGGGGCTGAGGTAGCTGACGGGCCAGGCCAGGGAAGGCTACATAGGTTGCACTAGGTGCTGGGACTTTAACCCTGTCACTGCCCTGCTTTAACTGGCCAGTGGCTCCCCATCCCAGATGGACATTTATTAAGATCACTCAGCTGCTGTGCAAAGAACCCCTCTAAAAGGGTTGGTATGAAGGACCAGGAAGGGAGCAGGGAATTCAGTAAATTCAAGAGATGGCCAGGCGCGGTGGCTCACGCCTGTAATTCCTGCACTTTGGGAGGCCGAGGCGGGTAGATCATCTGAGGTCAGGAGTTTGAGACCAGTCTGGCCAGCGTGGCGAAACTATCTCTACCAAAAATACGAAAATTAGCTGGGCGTGGTGGCATGCACCTGTAATCCCGGCTACTCGGGAGGCTGACACAGGAGAATCGCTTAAACCCGGGAGGCGGAGGTTGAGTGAGCTGAGATCGTGCCACTGCACTCCAGCCTGGGTGACAGAGCAAGACTTCGTCTCAAAAAAAAAAAAAAAAAAAGGAAAACAAAACAAAACAACATAATACTCTGGTAAGGCAAGGCAGGGATGGAGGACAGGAGTTAAGAAAGATTTGAGGGAAAATAGCTATTTAGTAGGTAGAAGTAGCTTGGCATAGAGAAAGGACCATGCTGGGAAACAGGGCAGGGAGTTCAGAAATTCAAGTTAGCACTATCAAATTATCTTGGGATAGGTTATTGAGAGGTGGGCTTTGTATTCAGAGGAACTTCATAGTGAAGGAGAATGGGGTAGGGGGTTGGGGGTGAGCACAGGGCAAGCTGCAGGCTGTTCCTGTGGAGGGGAGCTGGGCCAGCTCAGCTGCTGACTGGTGGAGGCCTGGGCTGAGGCAGGGAGGGGAGATGCCTGCAGCAGCCAATGCACAGCTGGGGGTCTGGTGAGACTGTGTGTGATCTGGGCTACAGGGCTTTCTCTCCTGCTGGCCTGTGCTGCCTCTCGCCCTGCCCTTGTGCTCTGGAGCTGCCCCTCCTCTGAGCCATGTCCAAGAAATAAAGCGCATCCATGCCTCCCTGCACCTGCAGTCTTAAACCTGTTGGGCTACTCAATTGATAAACTTCCCCTGAGGTGGAATAGGCAGGATCTGGTGAAAGTTTGGAGGTGGATGGAGGTGAGGGTACCTTCTAGGGCTCTGACTTGGTGGAATGGATGGGGCTCTTTATGGAGTTCAGGATCTTAGGAGGGGAGAGAGGAGAAGGCAGGGAATTCTTTTCTGCTTGTTTAGTTGCAAGTGTTTTGTTGACAGTACGGTACACCAAACATAAGGTCGGGGGTGAGAATAGAGGGAGAGAGACTTGAGAGGCTTCAGAAATGCACGGTGCTTCTAATCATGAGGTCACCCAACGAGAGGCTGGGGAGAGAGGCGCAGTAAGCCAGGGTGGAGCGCTGGAGAAGCCGATGTTTAGGAGGCAGGTGGGCAGGAAGAAGCTGGGTGGGGAGTCAAGAAGACAGTCAAGGAGATGGGAGGAGGACTGGGGAAGTGGAGTCCTGGAAGCCAGGGAGGTGATGTTCCAAGAGGAAGTGGTCAACCTCAACAGATGAAGTGAGGCCTGTGGAGGGACAGGTGGAGTGGCTACAGGCCATCACTGGTGAAGCAGTGGGGTCAGGCAGCCTGTGGTGGGGTGAGAAGGGGGAAGTGCAGGTGACTTCTGCAAGAAGCTTGGCTGAGAAGGGAAGGAGAGAGATGGGCTGTAACTGGAGGTCGACATAAGGATTTTAGGATGGGAGACACCTGAGCAACTCTTCTTGTAGACAGGTGGTTCTCCCCTTGTTTCGAGGGGGTCTTTGGTAAGAATATGTTGGCACAGTAAGTTACTAAGAGATCAATATCATCAAGAGAAGGCCCACTAGTATGATCTGCATTTTACCCTGAAGGCTGTCCGGTGACGCCCAGACCCAGGGAATTGGGATCAGGCTGCCTGATGGAGAGCCTAGGCTCTGCATGGAGACCCCTGGGGGGACCCCTGGGGCTTATCTGACTTGGACGAAGGTTGATTTGATGGGGAAAGTAAACAACTATTTGATGCCATCCCTGGACTCTATTTCTGACCATCTACTAGAGGCTTTGTGCCCTTCAGATACTGTGGGTGCTGTCAGGGGCTTACAGCAGCAGTGATCACATTCACTAAACACTTCCTAGCCCAGTCCTAAGCATTTTATGTGCCCAGTATAATCTTATCTTCCCAGCGGCCTCATGAGGTAGGTTCTGTCAGCATCACTGGGTTTCGCCCTGTGCTACAGGCACAGGAACCAAAGCTCAGAGAGGTGGGGTAACTTGTCTAAGGTCCCAGGCCTGGGAAACGGTGACGCTGGGCTGCCTAACCGCGCTGCAGTGCCACTG
This sequence comes from Homo sapiens, assembly GCF_000001405.40. Taxonomy (NCBI): domain Eukaryota; kingdom Metazoa; phylum Chordata; class Mammalia; order Primates; family Hominidae; genus Homo; species Homo sapiens. The sequence continues at coordinate 44,101,254 of NC_000006.12, read as the reverse complement.
CACCATAGTTGGTGGTTGTTTGTGAGTGGAAGTCGGGGTGGGGGTCAGTGGTGACTGATAGAAGGAGACCCCAGCAGAGCAGGAAGCAGGAGAATCTGAGCAAGTGAAAGGGCACCTCATTCCCTGAGCGTGGTGGGGGGACTGGGTGCTCAGAGAGGTAAGCTTGTATGTTAGTTGGGAAAGGGGGGTTGTCTACTGGGAGTGAGGGGAAGGGTGGGAGGGGAAAGGTGGGGCCAGCTGCCAGAGGGAAGGTGAGGATGGAGAAAGGGTTATCAGTGTACTGAGGGCGCTACGCCCCGTGATCTCCCCCGACAGAGAAGAGTTCTGTCCAGCATTGCTTGGTGGCCAAGTGAGGGAGGAGAGAAGGTGGCTGGAGATATTTTGGGTCTGAGTCTGCAGGGCAGGGTAGGGGATGTGGCCCCTCTCAAAGGGTTTGCTGCCCAGGACAGGGTCAACTATGCCTTTCTCCACGATTTCTGGTCTTGAGCACAGCTCTTCCTGGGTGCCCTGTACAGGGCTCTACTCACTGAAGTGCCACCGACTCCAGGGGTGTGTCGTGTCTGACCTTGGTGGAGGGCAAGGAATGTGTCTTTTTGTATCCCCAGTGCCTAGAACAATGCTGGCACCTGGAAATATTGCTTGAACCTAACTGTCTTGTTTTTGTCTTCCTGTGAGTTCAAGGACAGGAGCAGTGCTTAACACACAGTAGGTAATGGAATATTTGTTCCAGCAGCCTGGACACTCAAGGGGAGAAGCCAGGGCTGCTGCTGCCTCTCTGGAAACCCTGTCTTCCCTTTGGTTTCTGCCTCTCCCAACCCACGTGTACACACATACACATGCCAACACATACACACTCAGACACAGGCTCATACTCAGACATGCATACTCATTCACACACTTAACATATATGAGCACACAACACATGCACACTTGCATGCACACACTATTTTAGTCAGAGCTGCTCCTGCAGAGTCTCTCCAGTCCCAGGGCCTGTCCTGCAGCCTCCTAGTGGCACTGCTGTGGTATGACCTGGAGAGCCTGGACAAGGACTCTTCTCAGTGTATTCACTCCTAATTTGTCCATGACAGATTTAGGCTCAGAGCTCAAGGGGGTTGCAGACTCTGGGTGAGCCTTTGTCCCTGCCCTTGAGAAGGTCCCAGTTGCCTAAAGCTCTTGGCCAGAACTTAAGGAAACCAAGGGCACAGGTGCATAGCAGTACCTACTGTGCCTGCTAGATGCTTGGCGCAAGGGATTTTGTTTACTCCTTACAACAACTCTATGAAGCAGGTTTTACTCACCTCAGTTTGTGTTGTGGACACTGAAGCTTGGTTGTTAATTAATTGCCCCAAATTGCATAGTAATGGATGGAGCCAGGATTTAGGCCTGGGTCTGACTCCAGAGGTCCTTTCTTTCAGCACTAGATGGAATCCTTGTTGGCAGAACAAGGGGGAGAAGAGGCTTTATGTTGCCCAGCTTGTCCTTTTGAGCACATAACATCGTATATGAGCCAGAACATAAAGGTATGAAAGTTAATACAGGTCGGTACTTCTTAGCTTTTATGGGCCCTTCGAAAACCTGAAACTTGCTAAGGGTTGTGGACCCTTTCCCCAGATAGTGCATATATGCAGAGGCATACATAGGTTACTCTGGGTACAATTTCAGGGATTTGAGGTCCCCCTGAAACCTCCAGTGGTTCCCAAGTTGAGAACCCCTGTGAGAGGTGTTTGCTAACAATGTGACAGATGAGAAGAGATGACTGTCCATGCCCTGCACAGAGCACATACCACAGTGCCCAGAGAGGTCTGTACATACTCGTTTCAGCCTGTTTTTAATAGAATTGGAAACAATCTGAATAGCCATCAGTAGGGGCCTGGGTAAATAAGCAAAGTCCATGTGTGCCATGGAGTAGCACACAACTGTTCCAAGAAAGGATGGTGTAGGTATAGATAGATGTAGCTCTCCAAGACATATTGTTGAATGGAAAAAAGCCTGTTGAAGAGTGATATACCTCACACATTATTGTGGGTTTTTTGTTTTTTTTTTTTTTTAAGACAGGGTCTCACTCTGTCACCCAGGCTGGAGTGCAGTGGTGCAATCTCAGCTCACTTCTGCCTCCATACGCCGGGTTCAAGGTGTCTCAACCTCCTGCATAGCTGGGATCACAGGCCACCATGCCCAGATAATTTTTGTGTTTTTAGTAGAGACGCGTTTTCGCCATGTTGACCAGGCCGGTCCCGAACTCCTGGTCTCAAGTGATTCACCCGCCTCGTTCTCCCAAAGTGCCGGGATTACAAGCATGAACCACTGTGCCCGGCCCCACACACATTATTTATGTAAAATCACTTAACAACGTTATTTCCTACAAATACAGAAAAATTTATGGGACTGGGTGCAGTGGCTCACACCTATAATCCCAGCACTTTGGGAGGCTGAGGTGGGTGGTCACTCGAGACCAGGAGTTCGAGACCAGCCTGGCCAACATGGTGAAACCCCGTCTCTACTAAAAATACAAAAATTAGCTGGGCCTGGTGGTGTGCACCTGTAATCCCAGCCACTTGGGAGGCTGAGCATGAAGATCACCTGAACCTGGGAGGCAGAGGTTGTGGTGAGCTGTGATATCACACCACTACATTCCCTGCACTCCAGCCTGGGCACCAGAGCAAGATACCCTGTCTCAAAAAAAAAAAAAAAAAAAGGCAAAAAAGCACAAGAATGATACCCAAGACAGTGCTAATAGTGGGAGTTCCTTTGGGGAGGAGGGAGGTAGAAGGTTCCTGGTCAAAGGTGACACAGCTCTGTAGTGCTTTAATTTTTTAATAAAGAGACTATATCCCTCTATTATTTGTGTACTTAAAATCACAAATAATTTTAAAATGCAATGCACATACCATGTGTATGGGGGAATGAGGGCAAGAGGAAGGGATTCTGAAGGAGGTGGTGTGGGGTAGAGCTTTTATATCAGACAAGCCTGTATTCCAGTCCTGACCTTGACAATTACCTGCCAGTGACTTCAGGCAAGTCACCTTACTCTCTGAGTCTCAGCCTCCTCATTTGAGAAGTCAGGATGACAATGTCTGCCTTCCAGGGCTCTTGTGTGGATATGGAGTAGGCCGTAGAATTCTTGGCACATAGTAGGTGCTCAGCGTATCAATCATAGCCATTATTGTTATTTCAAATTTCAGCCAAAAATAATCACTTGAGCTCTTAGTAGGTGACAGTTGGATTAAGGACATTGGGACTGTATCTGGTTCAATCAGGGATGACTTCCTGGGGGAGGAGGGGCTTGAGCTACTTAAATATATGTGGGAAGTGGGGCAGCATTGAGTTAGAGAGAGGGCTGTGTGCAGAGGCCAGGGAGGGATTATGCCTGTGTGCCTATTATTAGTAATGATATTACTTATTTCCATATTATAGACAAAGAGGGAGAGTCCAAGTAACTTGTCCACAGACACATAGCTAGTAAGTGTAGGGTGTTCACATGGAAGGGATGGGCAGAGGAAGAGAAATGGGAAAATGCAGGAAACTGGGATAGTTCTGTGGGAGGAGAAGGGAGAAAAAGAATGGGCTTTGTAATCAGAAAGGCTCCTGAAGAGAGGGATGTGGGGGATTTAACAGGCCAGCCATTGCCCTTTACTTAAAAAAAAAAATGCCCAGGGGAGATGTAGGACCTTAAGGTCTTACCTTTGCAAGACGCTCTTGACAGAGGCCACTGGCTCTCCATCTCCCTTGGGCCCAAGCAGAAAGGATTGGGGCCCCTCCCCACAGGAAGGGGTGCTAGGCTGACTAGTCCTAGGAGGCTGGGCGTCTTTTCCCCAGGAACCCTCCAAGAACTGGGTGGGTTGAGAGCTGGCTGGCAGTACTGTGCCAAATGAAGTCGCTGCATGCCCTGTAACCTGGCAATTCCGCTTCTTAGGTTTTCAGGCCGAGCCGTAACGGTTCCTGTCAAGGACGGTCATGGCAGGGTTGCTGGGGTGTTGGAGGGAACTTGGGTGCCTGTCGCCCTCAGAGTGGGTAAATAAATGTGGAAGGTGCCCACCAGAAACTAAATGTGCTCACAGCAACATGAATGAGGTTTAAAAATACAGTGCTGAGCGAAAACAATTAAGAAATATATCTATAATGTGTGTGTGTGTTTTTTATATATATATATATATATATATATATATATATTACTAATTGTGAAACTAAAAAATACATGCACTTGTTTTGCAAGGACACATACAAATGGTTGGCTATGGGTTAGGATGAGGAATGAGAATAAAAATGAGATAAATGCAGAGTGTGGTGAAATCCAGTTCCTCTGCAGGTGGAAAGGGTGGCCAAGCGGTCAACCCACATTTCTGTGCACATTGTGCCATCTAGTGGGCAAAGGGGCGTTCAGCTGCCCTGGTCCTGGAGCTGGTGCAACTATGGCACCATGACATCCTGGGCAGGTGCTGCCTCAGCTGGGCCCCCAGAGCAGAGGTGAGAGGTGAGTGCTGCCTGTCAAGTGGGGGCCAGGCACAGCCTGCTGTAGGCCTGGCCAGTGGGGCTGGTAGCCATTTCTGTTGCAGCAGGGAGGAGGGTTCAGACAGGCCTGCCTGCCTCCAGGAGCTGTCTGATGTCAGGGCTGGCTCTTCACCGCCTGCTATGGCAGGCAGGCAGGTGGTTCCTGAGAAGGGAGTGGCTGAGACTCTGATGCCAGATTTTCACATGTAGCCCTCCCTTCTGGCAGGAAAGAGAGCATCTGGCAGGATCATTGTGAAAGCAAAGAGGAGAGAGGAGAGCAGGTAGAGACACTCAGAGTCTAGAGAGAGCAATGACTACCTTGAGGTGGAGTACGGAGGACAGACCCTGGCACCAGACTGCCAGGGTTCACATCCCTTGGGCAAGTCCCCTGTGCATCAGTTTCCCCTCCTTGGAATGTAATAGTACGTACCTTGTAGGGTTGAAGTGAGTCAAAATAAGGCACTTAAAACAGGTCCCCTTTCCGGGTCAGGGCTGTGTAAGTGTTGTCCACTCTCAGTATCTGAGGTTCACCCAACTCCTGTAAAGCCAGCACCCTGCTCTCATCCTTCATGAGAGTCATGGGGCATGAACAGAATGCCCTGGGCTGATGGGGGTCACTGCAGCAGGGCCTGGGGCTATAGGCTAGGAAGGGACTCCAGCCATGGACCCAGGCCAAACTGTGGAGGGAGGTGGGGTGAAGCAGGGCGGGGCCTGGGGCTGGGGACACTGCATTCTTTTTTTGTTTTTTGAGACGGAGTTTCGCTCTCGTCACCCAGATTGGAGTGCAATGGCGCCATCTCGGGTTCAAGCGATTCTCCTGCCTCAGCCTCCCAAGTAGCTGGGATTACGGGCTCCTCCCACCACGCCCAGCTAATTTTTTGTATTTTTAGTAGAGACAGGGTTTCACCATGCTGGCCAGGCTGGTCTCGAACTCCTGACCTCAGGTGATCCGCCAACCTTGGCCTCCCAAAGTACTGGGATTTTACAGGCATGAGCCACCACGCCCAGCTGGACACCCCATTCTTGGGGTCTGTAAAAATACTTTCTTGGCCGGGTGTGGTAGCTCATTCCTGTAATCCTAGCACTTTGGGAGGCTAAGGAGGGTGGGTCACCTGAGATCAGGAGTTCGAGACCAGCTGGCCAACATGGTGAAAACCTGTCTCTACTAAAAATACAAAAATTAGCTGGGTGTGGTGGCACACGCCTGTAGTTTCAGCTACTCAGGAGGCTGAGGCAGGAAAATCGCTTGAACTCGGGAGGCAGAGGTTGCAGTGAGCCAAGATCGCACCATTGCACTCCAGCCTGGGCAACAAGAGTGAAACTCCTTCTCAGTCTTGGTTACCTCTGGGGCTTGACGGGCCCTGTCCTGCCCCACCTCTCTCTACAGCCTCTGGCCATTTATTTTAGCTGCCCCTCCCCACACACCAGCCTCTCCAGGCCCCTGCATCACAGTCATCTTTCTAAAGCACAGTACAGCTCAGCCTGTTGAAGAACCTGCCTTGGCTCCTCGTTGCCCAGAAATTCAATGTAGACATCCTTGGTAGGCATTCAGGGTCCCTTCTGGTCTGGCCCACCCTGCCTTCCACGCCCATCTCCCGCCAGTTCTACTCTCAGCAACTCCATTGCCTCTCAGCTCCCACCAGGCCTCATGTTCCACATCCCTGGCCTTGCTCAAGTTATTCTCCTTGTTTTGAGCGCTCGTCCTCCCCACTTTTCCACCTGGCAAAATCCTCCTCATTCTTAGGGACCCAGTTAGTTCCTCCATGAAGACTTCCCCGGCAAACTGTGTCCCCCCACCCCAGGCTTCTGTCATAAACCACTTGTCATTAATCACTTAACAGTTATCACATTTTGTCACAGCCAGCCAGTTCCTGTTCAGTGAGTAGAGGAAAGAAAACATGGACTTTGTTACCAGACTATATGATGGAATCTCAGCTTGGCTACTCACCAGCTATGCGACCCTGGGCAAGTTACTTAACCTCTGAGCTTTGGTTTTCTCATCTACTAAATGGGGATAATGCTCATATTTAACCCGGATTCCTCACCAGGCCTGCAAAGCCTTGCCTGCCTCCTGTCTCCTGTTGCTCTCCACATCTCACCCACATCAACGTCCCTGCCCCTCCTTGAACATTCTCAGTCCTTTCTTGCGTCCCTGCCTTTGCACCTGCCCTTCTCTACCTGGAATGTTTCCTTCTCATTCCATTCTCCACCTCATTTCCAATGTCACCTCCTCAGAGAGGCCCTCTGCAACCACCTTCTCTAAATCCCCCGCCTGGTTTTGCTTCATCTTACTTTCTGTTTATTTTCTTCTAGGGCTTATCCCAACCTGAAATTTCCCTACTTTCTGGCTTGCTTGTCAGCTCCGTGAGTGTGGGGCTCTTTTCTCTGGGAACTCAGAAGATGAACAGACTTGATACGTGTTAGTCCTGGCCTCTCCTCTTCCTCCAAGCCACACCTGCTCATCTGTGAGCCCCTTCAGGGCAGGGCATCATGTCCTCCTCATTTTTGCTTTCTTGACCCTGAGCAGTATGCCTGGTCCATAGTGAACCCTTAGCCTGTATTTGCTGCCTGCCTGCCTGTCATTGTCTTCCCCAACCTTTTCCCTTAGCAGCCCTTGGTGATCTCCTGATGGTTTCTAACACATGCTGCAGGTTACATGTGGAGCTGAGCCTGATATCTCCCAGAGTGGGAATGTCCAGGGGTGGCCTCATGTTTCTGCCACTTACTTTGCTTTCCAGCCCAGGACAGGATTTTGAGTGGAGAGTTTGGGGTATATTACTGGCTGTAGCATTAGGGACCTTGGCCACGCCCTTTGCATTACCCTGCGTGGTAGGACAATACCTAGAATGGTCTGGTCAAACCCGAGAGACTTACAGAAGGTCAAGAGGACACAGCGATGCTCATAGGCCCCTCTCAGTGGGGAGATTGGGCTGTGACTTGTTCAGGCGGAGTGGGGTCCACACAGTCTGATGAAGCTTCATTTGGTTCAGAGGAAAATTGCTCTCTGAACACAGACCATCCCTTCTTTTTTTTTTTTTTTTTTTTTTTGAGATGGAGTTTTGCTCTTGTTGCCCAGGTTGGAGTGCAGTGGCATGATCTCGGCTCACCACAACCTCTGCCTCCTGGGTTCAAGTGATTCTCCTGCCTCGGCCTCCCGAGTAGCTGGGATTACAGGCATGCGCCACCATGGCTGGCTAATTTTTTGTAATTTTAGTAGAGACGGGGTTTCTCCGTGTTGGTCAGGCTGGTCTTGAACTCCTGATCTCAGGTGACCCACCCTCCTTGGCCTCCCAAAGTGCTGGGGTTATAGGTGTGAGCCACTGCGCCCGGACTCCATCCCTTCTTAAGCTGACCCAGGGGTCTGGTAATTGAGTGAGTGTGATGGCTCAATGTTACCCACCTCCTCTGGCATCAGGATGTAGGGACCAGTCCGTTGGTATGCAGAGGTTGTGGTACCCAGCCTGGCATCAGCGATGCTGGGAAGAGGGAATGCTGTTGCCTGTCTGCTGCTGTGGGAATGACAGAGAGGGCTGGAAGGAGTGGCCTGGCAGGGATGGACCCCAGGGCCCGTGCCTTCCTTGTGCTCACTGAGCAAATGAAGCAGGATTCACTCCCTGCTGGGAGAGGGAGATTAGGGTTAGGGAGCACAGTGTTGTGCTCTCAGATTTGAGGATTTATCAATAAAAATTCAAAAAGTCATTTTGGGAACTGGCATAAAGGTTCGTGGCATCTTATTTTGTCAAGTAAGGACACAGGATAGGTAAAAAATTAGTTTCCTACTATTGTATCCTAAAAAATGAATATTTTAATACCAAAAATTGAAAACAAGAATAGTTCTTCCCTAGAAAGGCCGAACAGCATTCTTATGCTGACATTTTGAGCTATGGACAGGGGAGAACAAGGTCAGAAACCAGCTCCTGGGAATTGTTGGGTAAGGAGTTTGGAGAGCGTGTGCGTGTGAAGGGAGATAGTGTTGAAGCAGGTTGCTGGCCTGGTGGCATGATTGGAGGGAAAGGGCCTGAATATTTCCTGGATTAGTCCAGAATATTTCCTGGATTAGTTTAGAAATTCTTCAGTCCCCTCTATCACTTAGGCTTCCTGTGGATTAACTCGTTTTCTCTTTGAAAGTGTAAACATCCCATGGGCAGGGTCCATCAGAGAACCTCGACAAGTGTTGCTCTGTGTACAACCTCCCGGGAGGGTGTCTGTACAGGTGAAATCTGGCTGGGATAAATGTCAAGGACATGTGTGGGGAAAGGAGAGGGAGGAAAGAAACCAACCCTTGCTGGTCCTTACTGTGTTCCTGCACTACACTTAGGGCTTTTTCATGAGTTAACAAAGAGCTGCTGCTTATCTCCATTTTACAGATGAGAAAACTGAGGCCCAGAAAGACTCAGTGATTTGCCCAAGGTCACACAGCCAGTGTTGGAACCAGCATTTACATTCAGGCCTATGTGAACTCAAGTTCAGAGCTTTTATTTCTCCAGCAGGCCAAGGCACAAAAAATTTTAAAAACAACTTGAGTCCCATCTTCCTGTTGGCATAGTGTCTGGCAGACATCTTTTTGATTCGTTCTGTCCATCTGGAAACACTGTGGCTGACTCTGTGTTGGCAGCTCCCAGGCCCTTGGAGGGGAGGTTCAAAACTCACATTTTTTTTTAACTTAAGAGAATTCTGGCAGAGTACACATAAAAGTTGCCATTTTAACCATTTTAAAATGTTTTATTTATTTAGGAGACAGTCTCACTCTGTCACCCAGGCTGCAGTGTAGTGGTGCAATCTCGGCTCACTGCAACCTCTGCCTCCTGTGTTCAAGTGATTCTCCTGTCTCAGCCTCGCAAGTAGCTGGGATTACAGGTGTGTGCCAACACGCCTGCCTAATTTTTTGTGTTTTTAGTAGAGATGGGGTCTCACCATGTTGCCCAGGCTGGTCACAAACTCCTGAGCTCAGGCAATCCGCCCACCTTGGCCTCCCAAAGTTCTGGGATTACAGGCGTGAGCCCTGCACCTGGCCTTAAAAAGTGTATAATTTAGCAGCATTTAGTACATTGAAAATGCTGTGCAGGCTGGGCACGGTGGCTCATGCCTGTAATCCCAACACTTTGGGAGGCTGAGGCGGGTGGATTGCTTGAGCCCAGGAGTTCAAAACCAGCCTGGGCAACATGGGGAGACCCTGTATCTACAAAAAAAAAATACAAAAATGAGTTCTTGTGATGGTGTGCCCATGTAGTTAGCTACTTGGGAGGCTGAGGTGGGAGGACTGCTTGAGCTCAGGAGGTTGAGGCTGTGGTGAGCGGAGATCATGCCACTGTACTCCAACCTGGGTGACAGAGTGAGACCCTATCTCAAAAAAAAAAAGAAAAGAAAAGAAAAAAAAAGAAAATGCTTCTTGACTGTCACCACCCCCCAGTTCCACACCGCTCCTCAGTCCCTGACTCCCAGCCCCTGGCAGCCAGCAATCTGCATTCTGTCTCTAAAAATCTCCCCATTCTGAACATTTCCTATAAATGGGATTGTACACTATATGGCCTTTTGTGTCTGGCTTCTTCTACTCAGCATAATGTTTTCAAGGTTCATCCATGTTGTAGCATGTGTCGGTATTTTGTTTCTTTTTATGAGACTGAATAATATTCCATTGTATGGATATACCCACATTTTGTTTATCCATTCATCAGTGGTGGACATAGGGGTTGTTTCCACTGTTGGGGTTGTGAATAGTGCTGCTGTGAACATTCTTGTGCAAGCTTTTGTCTGAACAAGTGTATTTAATTTGTTTTAGTCTATACTAAGAGTGGAATTTCAGGGTCCTGTCGTGCTTCTGTGTTTAGCTTAAGGTGGAACTGCCAAACTTCCACGGCAGCTGTACCCTTTTACATTCCCACTAGCAATGTGTGAGGGATCTCATTTCTCCACATCTTCACCAACACTTATATTTCATTAAAGATTTTTTATTATAACCACCCTAGTGGGTGTGAAATGATAGCTCATTGTGGTTTTTATTTGCATTTCTTAATGACATCAATCATCTTTGCCCTTCACTCTTTGGGGGGTCACAGGAAGGCCTCTCTATGCTATGCCTCCATGCCTCAGAGTCATCTGTCTAGGGGTGGTGTGAGGGTTAAATGAGAAAATCATGTGAAGAACTCAGCATCTACGCCAGGCACATAGTAGGGGCTCTTAAGACCAACTCAGGCAGTCCCAGGCCTGCCCCTGTCAGCTGGTAGGGAGGCTGGCCACTCAAAGGACCTCCCGGCTCTGACCAACGCGTAAGTTAGAGCTGCTCCCACGGCCTGGCAGTCCCCTCTGCCCACTCTGCCTCCACTGTCCTGGACTTCCTGGGGAACTGTGATCTTTCAGAGGCTGGGATGACATTTATGGAAGGTGGCAGGTCCCCTCCAGCCCTTTTCCATTTTCATGGACCCTCCTGGCCCCTGGGTGCCTTCCCTTCTAGGTGGTCTCTCAGCACTGCCCTCTGCTACTGGAGCATGATGGGAAGTGCCTGGAAATCTATCCCCTCCATGGTGGCCCTTAGCCAATGACTGAGGTGCAGGAGAGTGAGGTCCCAGCTCCCTTGCCTGGGGCGAGGACAACCCTGAGGTGTAATTTACACTCCCAAGTTCCCCTGCGAGATCAGGCAGAAGTCACCCTCTGCAGAATTTTGCCTGAATCTGCACCCTTCTTGGCCTCTTACTTTCTTGTCTTGCTCCCCGAGTCCCTCTCCAGTTTCCCTGGGAGCACTCCCAAATCATTTAGCTATGAATCCTCATCTCAGGATCTGCTTCTGGGGAACCTGATCTAAGACATGGAGCACCTACTGTGTGCCAAGCCCATGGCAAATGCTCAAATAGACAAAGATAAATAAGATGCAGTTCCTTCCCCCAAAAGAGCGCATGACTTGGTTGGGGTGGTCCTGATCACAGTAGTAATGCTAATAGCCCATGTTGTGCACCTTCTATGTGCCAGGCCCTAGGCTGAATGCTTTACATACATTAGTTCATTTAAACTTTCTAGCTTTTTCCGGTTCTAGGTGCTTTAGCAGCTGCGGCTTAAGGTGCAGACATGGCAACGTCAAGAACCACAACACACACAACCAGTCCCCAAAATGGCACAGAAATGGCATCAGGAAACCCCGATCACAAAGATACAAATGTCTTAATGGGGTGGACCTCAAGTTCCTAAGGAGCATGCACCTTGCCAAGAAGCACAACAAGAAGGGCCTAAAAAAGATGCAGGCCAACAATGCCGAGGCCATGAGGGCACGTGCTGAGGCTATCAAGGTCCTCGAAAGCCCAAGGAGGTTAAGCCCAAGATCCCAAAGGGTGTCAGCCGCAAGCTCGATTGACTTGCCTACATTGCCCACCCCAAGCTTGGGAAGCGTGCTCGTGCCTGCATTGCCAAGGGGCTCAGGCTGTGCCGGCCAAAGGCCAAGGCCAAGGACCAAACCAAGGCCCAGGCTGCAGCTCCAGCTTCAGTTCTAGCTCAGGCTCCCAAAGCTGTCCAGGCCCCTACAAAGGTTTCAGAGTAGAGATCTCTGTCCGCCAACATAAGGACAGAAGGACTAGTATGACCCCCCTGGGCTGCCATCTGCATGGGGCTGGTGTCCTCCTCTGCCATTTGTACAAATAAACCTGAGGCAGGAAAACAAAAAAAAAAGCAAAACAAAAAACAAAAAACAAACTTCTAACAACTTTGCAAGGAGATGCTATTATCACCCCACTTTACGGATGGGAAAACTGAGGCCCAGAGAGGTGAACTAATCTGTGGTCCAGGGTTTTACAGCTTGGAAGTGGCAGCACCCACCCTGAGACCTGTGCTCTTATCCACTCCTCTTTCAGCATGTTTCAGCTGGGAGCGGATGCCCCAGCTGCTTGCATTCAGTAGACCAAAGAGATTCTCCAGGGCCTTGCTGTGACTGGTTGTAAGGGTGTTTCATGACTACTTTGTTGCCGATCTTGGATAACTTTCTTTTGTTTTTTTGAGACAGGGTCTCACTCTGTTGCCTAGGCTGGAGTGGCTGGAGTACAGTGGCACAATCTCGGCTCACTGCAACCTCTGCCTCCCTGGCTCAAGCAATCCTCCCACCTCAGCCTCCTGAGTAGCTGGGACCACAAGTGTGCCACGATGCCCTGCTAATTTTTTTTGTATATATATTTTTGAGCCACTGCACTTGGCCCAGATCTTGGTTAACTTTTTATGAGTGATTTAAATGAAGAAGGAGGCTGGGCACGGTGGCTCATGCCTGTAATCCCAGCACTTTGGGAGGCAGAGGCAGGCGGATTGCTTGAGGCCAGGAGTTTGAGACCAGCCTGAGCAACATGGAGAAACCCCATCTCTACAAAAAATACAAAAATTAGCCAGGTGCAGTGGCATGCACCTGTAGTCCCAGCTACTCAGAAGGCTGAGGCAGGAGAACCACTTGATCCCAGGAGTCGGAGGTTGCAGTAAGCCAAGATTGTGGCATTGCACTCCAGCCTGGGTGATGGGAGTGACACCCTATCTCAACAACAACAACAAAAAAGAAGAAGAGAAAATAATGAGTTAAAAACCCATCCCTCTGATAGCGTTATTCCCGCTTACCTTCTGCTCTGCTTTCCCGAGTAAGAGACAAGGTGGGAGTGCTGCCCGGGTACTAGCACTGCCACCCCTGGGTGAAGCTCCCATCCCAGGTGTTGTGGTATAAACAGGGTATCAGCTGTTATACCCCAGGGGGAATCAGAAGCGCTGGCTCAGGAAAAGCCAGGCCATGCTGTCTGAGAGTGCGCTGGGGTGGGTAAGAGCACAAACTCAAGGCAGGCTGGCTGGGGCCAAATCCTAGCTCTGCTGTGTGCAAGCTGAGTGACTTTGGGAAAGTTACTTACCCTCTCTTTGCCTAGGTTTCCCCATCTGTAAAATGAAGACAATAATAGCATTGGCCTCTTAGGGTTGTTGTGAGAATTAAATGAGATAATACACCTAAAGCAGAACACTGCCTTGTACACAGTAGGAGGTATACAAATGTTGACTATTATTATTGTTAATTAAAGGAAAGGCCAGGCAAGGCTAAGACTCCTGACTTAGGAGTCACCCAGCAGTCTCCTGGTAGAGTCCCTGAGTCTGGGTGCACCCTCCCAGACTGATGTACCTGGATACCTCTGTGTTCCGGGAGGGCAGGATAGAGGCTTCTGCCTCCTTCTTCCCCAGCCCTGTCCTTCCTGGCTTGCATCTGGCCCACGCAGGCTTCCTGGTGCTCTCCTGAGTCAGAGGCTCCTGGAATGGGAGTTGGGGCTGGAGGGCAGGGTCTCAGGGACACGGCCTCAGACTCTGAAAGAAGACATGCTGTCCACTGGCCTGAAGGCCTCATGGTGGGGGATGGGAGTGGCAGCTGGCACGGTGCCCTGCTCCCGTGAAGAACCCAGTTTTGCCACTAGCTGGCTGTATGACCCTGGCCAGCTCCCTCCCCTGGTCCTGGCAGCTCTGTCTGAGTGCACACTGAGCATTGCCTCATTTAATTTGCAAACTTGCCTGGTGATTCCAGTCCTCATCATACAGACGTGGAGGCAGAGGCAGTGAGAGGAGCAGCCACAGTAAGAGCAGGAGGACTTTCTCACTGATAATGACCCAGGACTTGGATCCAGGCAGGTGTGGTTCAGGTGAGGTGCCTCAGGCTACGTGCAAGGTGGAGCTGGAACCAGAACCAGGTCTGCTCAGATGTGGCTCCAGTGCCTGACCCTTGGCTTCAGTGATAAGGCCAGGTCCGAGGCTGAGCATTTGTCAGGACCCCCATGGCTGTGTCCTACAATGCGGCCCCTGGCCAGCCGAGGCAGGCTAAGAAGATGCAGGGCAGGGGTTGTGTGTCCCCTGGCAGACTGGGTGGGGTTCCCTGAGGTCAGGGGCTAGTCCCCTCACATGGGAGAGTTTCTTACTGGGAAGTTTTTCTTTTTGAAGTTTTTATTATGGAAACTCTGAAACACGTGCACAAATAGAGAATAAGGTATAATGAACCCCACGCACTCATTCCCAGACTCAGCAGCTATCAATTTATCACCAAGCTGGTTTCATCCACCTACTTGCCCCCTCTCCCCTGCCACCACACCTAGATTTTGAAGCACATTTATAACATTATATCATTTCACAGATTTTTCTAAATGTGTGTCTAAAGATAAAGACTCTCCTTAAAGAAAAAAAAAATTACCTGAATTCCAGGAATTTTTTTTTAAAAAGTTGAGACAGGGTCTTACTCTGTCACACAGGCTGGAGTGCAGTGGTGTGATCATAGCTCACTGCAGCCTGGACCTCCTGGGCTCAAATCAACCTCCTGCCTCAGCCTCCTGAGTAACTGAGACTACAGACGCAAGCCACCATATCCAGCTAATTAAAAAAAAAATGTTTTTAGAGATGGGGGTCTCAATATGCTGGCCAGGCTGGTCTTGAGCTCCTGGCCTCAAGCAATCCTCTTGCCTTTGCCCCCAAAAGTGCTGGGATTACAGGCATGAGCCACTGCGCCTGACCTCCCAGGAACTTTTGTAAGAGTGAGGACTTGCTTCCCATTTTCTCCTGGCACCCAGCTCAGGGCAGAATCACTGCTCTAGTTTGAGGTCTGTCCTCTTCCACTTCCAGGGCATAAAAGGGGCCCAAGGTGGGTGCGACCCTGCGTGTACAGCAGCTTGACTTTGGCCAAGAGCCTCCTCTGCTGTGGAGGGTGCGGGGAGGGGCAAGCTCTGAGGTTAGGCCCAGATCTGACCCTCATGGAAGCGGCTCCTGGCTCCACCTGAGCCTGCGCTGAGGACCTTGGGGACTGTTCCTCCCTGTGGACCTCAGATGTGGTCCTCATTGTGGACCGGGGGTGTGGCTAGTGTTACTCAGGCCATGGCAGGCTCACTGGCATCACTGACCTTTCTCGTTTGGTGTTTATTCCTTTCCTCCCTTCCTCACACCCTTCTTTTGTTTCCCCATTTTACTGTCTTTGATGCCTTTGTTTGTATGGTTCCTGCAGGTGGGCATTACTCTTTTGTAAGCACGTATTTTTCTTTTTACTTTGATAAATGTCATTGTGTTATAGATCTCATTGAGTCAACACTGTATAAAATCTAGCCTTGAGCTGGGCATGGTGATGTACAACTGTAGTCCCAGCTACTTGAGAGGCTGAGGCGGGAGGATCACTTAAGCCCAGGAGTTGGAGGCTGCAGTGAGCTATGATTATGCTACTGCACTCCAGCCTGGGTGACGGAGTGCAGTCAATCAATCAATCAAAATAAAATCTAGCCTTGTTGCTTCCAACTGCTACATGGAACCCTATGATGTGCAGCCACACATTTTCCTGTCCACCCACTCTATGAATGAGCTGCCAAATTCCCCTAGTACATGCCCTGTGGGGATGGGGCTGTCACTCACATCCCCACCAATGCTGGGCTTTATCCAGCTTTCGAATTTTTCCCATCTACTAGAGGTAGAGTGATGTATAATGATTTTCAGCATCTTTTCTTTTCTTTTTTTTTTTTTTTTTTTTGAGACAGGATCTCACTCTGTCACCCAGGCTGGAGTGCTATGGTGTGATCATAGCTCACTGTAGCCTTCAACTTCTGCTCAAGTGATCCTCCCACCTCAGTCTCCTCAGTAGTTAGGACTATAGGCACACACTACCCTACCTTGCCCAGCTAATTTTAACATTTTTTTAAAGAGGCAGATTCTCACTATGTTGCCCAGTCTGGTCTCGAACTCCTGGCCTCAATTGTTTAATTGTCTGTTTATCTCTCATGTCCATTTCTGGGGTAGGGTTGCTGTCCTCTGGCTGCTCTGCAGCTGTTTCTTATATTGTCTAGTCTGGATATGGCTCCTTGGGCGGTTTGAGGTGGTGAGCATTGCCGTCATTGTGACATCTTCAGAGCCCTTTGAAATATGACTCCTCTCCTTCTTGCTGGCCTTTCCAGCCCCTTTGTGAGTGGATGGCACAGGGGAGGCCCTTCTCACTGTCTCTGCCCTTTTGGTAAATGCCACGTGTCTGGGACAGGGTACAGCTTGCAACAGGAACTTGCTCTTAGCATAGGGCTCAGGCATGGGGCAGGGATAGGCCAGGGCAGGATGGCTATGCCCCAGGGCCCTGTGCCTACTCCTGGGGCCCTTGCCCTGGCAGGTCTCAGCCCAGCATGGTCAGGATTCCTTCATTCCACGCACAAAAGCACTGGGCTGGGTCATGGTGTTGGATCTGAGGCCTCAAACTTGACTAGGACCCTGTCTCTGGCCTCAGAACCTTGAAGCTCAGCATGGGGAAATAACAGGTCCACGAACCAGGGTGGGGGCCAAGTCAAAGCCTCAAAAGAGGCCCCAGGCCCTGGCAGCTGGTCTGGCACGTCCCGACATGGCCAGCCCGAAGGGTATGAGCCTGTCCTGGCAGAATGCAGCTTGGCCATCTGGCAGGACAGCCATCACCGGTCAGCGTAGGCTTTCCAGAGGAGGTGTCTTCGGTCTGGGCTTTAGAGGAAGCACGCGAGTTCTCCAGGCCTCAGCAAGGTCTTAGTCAAAGCCTTGGATGGGAACAGGAGCAGAGTCTTGCATCTCTATTCCCAGGGAATGTGGTTTCTAGGTCTTTGGCCCCTGGCTTCTCTTTCTGAGCAGGGGCAGGGAAAAGGAAGTTGACTAGGGCTTAGCAGGCCTACCTCTATCCTCACTCTCTGAGTTACCGTGGGCAAGTCTCTTCTCTGTGGCCCTTGGCCCCCTCATCTGAATGATGCAGGCATGGGGTGGAGAAAAGCTCCCCAGGACCCTCACAATTTCCCTGGAAAGACCCCAGCAGGGCAGCAGTGGCTGTCTTTACCTCTTCACCCTGTCATACCCTTCAAAGACAAGAGTGACAAGGACAGAGGCTGCCCTGGTCCCTGGCCCCAGCCCCTCTGCTGCCTCTCACCCATGTGGACCCCCTTTCTAACAGCCCACAGGGTAGGCTGTGGCTCACTTCTCAGGGTTTTCTCTCAGAGCCTCTGTACTTTCCAAAGAACAGCTACCGTGAATTGAGCAGGCTCTGTGTGCCGGACACAACGCTTAGCATTTTACACCGAGGACCTCGTTTTCTTCTCACAATCTGTGAGCTGGGTGCTATTAGTATGCCCATTTTGCAGATGACATGGAGGGGCTCAGAGAGGGTAAGCCACCTGCCCAACGTCACCCGGCTTATAAGTGGCAGGGCCAGGATCCAAACCCAGTGCTGCCTGCTCTAGAGCCCATTTCCTAATCTCTTCCCAGGTCACACGGGTCTTCTCTTTCTTAAATTCCAACTACCCAGTTAGCACTCCTCGGCCAAGCCCTCTCCATGCATCTCTATTACCTCTACCCTTCCCAGATTCACCCCCTTTCCTGCTGGAGCCCTGCTGGCCCCACCTCAGCCTCTGCTTGTTTCTCTGCATCTCCTCAGAGTATGCCCACTCTCCCCAGGACTCCAGCAGGGGCTGGGTGCCCACAGGAAGCTGGGGGGCTCCCTGAGGCTTCTCATTAAACCCTACCTTGCATGGACACTGACTCCGCAGAGGGTTTGGGTGGGGTCTCACATCCCTCACATCCCGGAGAGTTATCATCCTTCCTGAGGTTGAACAGGGTCAGCTATGGAGAAAGTCACCTTCTAGAGCCCAGCAGGCCTGAGGTTCTGGGCCCTGGCAGCTGGTCTGGCACGTGCCTGACATGGCCAGCCTGAAGGGTACGTGTCTGTCCTGCTGGAAGCTGCTGGGTTATCAGAGGGGAATGAAGGGGGTGGGACACATCTCCTGGGACGTGCAGGGACTCATGCATGCATGTGTGTGCGTGCGTGTGTGTCTGCATGTGCAGCTGTGCCAGCCAAGGGCATTGTGAGCCTGGCCCCGAGGAGGGGTGGGGGGTTCTGTGGGCAACACTTGACACCTGTGCATTTAGCAAAATCAGCACAGCACTGAGACCAGCAGGCCTCTGATCCATCTTCACTGTTATTATTTTTATAATTAGGGGCCAAAATCAAATTTTCATTCCCCCGGGGGAAATCCTGTTTCCACATGAAACCCAAGCTGGTGGAGGGCTGGGAGTGGGTGTGTAAAATGAATCTGGGGCTGGGAGCTTAGCTGCCTGGGCCAAGTCCTGGCCCTACCTTTCTTCCAGCTGCAAGACCATTTCACCTGCTCAGCCTCAGCTTCCCATCTGCCAGTGAGGGACAACCTGTCTGGAATGGTGGCTGAGTCTGAAATGAACATCACCTGGTGATGTGCAAGCCAGGTGAGAATGCCACCGTGCAACATAAAAGTGGGTGGCCGTTGCTGATCAGCACCTTTTACTTCCACTTAGCACCATGTTAGGCCCAGGAGAGGAAATGGATGGACCCTTGACTCTATTTGGTAAGGATTTAGTCTGTGCCTTGAGAATGGATTGGGTTGCCTGGGCTGCGGAGATGTAGAAGATAGTTGGGCAAGGTTCATTGGATGGATGACTGAATGACTAAATATATGAAGAGATGCCTGTTTCTGCAGTGTTGAGAAGTTCAGTGCCTCCCAACTGGGAGGCACGAGGGACTGGACCAGATGACCTTAAATTTTTTTTTTTTAATATTAAAAAAATACACAGAGAGACAAGGTTTTGCTATGTTGCCCAGGCTGGTCTTCGACTCCTGGCCTTGAGCAATCCTCCAGCCTCAGTTTCACCAAAGTGTTGAGACGACAGGTGTGAGCCACCATGCTCATCCCAGATGACATTTGAAGCGGCTTTCCACTGAAGGTCCTTCCCAGGTTCTGTGACTTGAGCTGAGTTCTGCCCCCTTTCCAAGAGCCCCTGCTTATCCCCAGGCCTCCCTGTGATTGGTGCTGGGTTGGGCACAGGACCTTTTTGTCCCACATGGTCCTGCCCACAACGGTTCCCAGGTTAAGGTATGGGGAGAGCCCATGGCCAGGAGAACTGAGGCCCATGCGGGACCTACATGATGAGTCAGAGTGAGGCTGGGGGAGAGGACAGCCTTCGAGAGCCAAGGCTGTGTTGTGGGAGGGAAGTATTGCCAGCTTTTTGGGGGTTAGCCGGGAAGGCTTCCTGGAATTGGCGTTGATTCTCAACGTGGGAGCCACTAGGTTGGCCCCTAGTCCCAGCCGTCACAAGCTTGTGTGGACTAGTATGCATCTGCCTTCTGCTTACCTTGCCATGTCTAGCCCATGACCCTGGAGGGCAAGAGGGAGGGGTGTCCTGCTGCGGGGCAGAGGGATTCTGGCCTAGGTGTGTGTGGGAACTCCTGAGGCTGCAGGCTTCAGTTTTTGCCGGCTCACTGAAGCAGTCTCTGGGGAAGCCGGGGCTTCTGGGAGTGGTTCTGGTGCTGCGTGGTCTTGGCTAGTTTTCATCTCTTGGAATATTTCCTCCCCTGCAAAATGAGTGGCTGGCAAAGGTGATCATCCAAATCCCCCTGCACTGGGATTCATGGCAGGAGTCTGCGGGGGGACACCTGGACAACCCAGGATGAGACCCTGTGCCCTGGGGTGAGCTGGATGACAGGCTCAGGGAGTCATGGGGGCAGGGGGGTTCTCTCTGTGCAGCTGCCTCCTGGAGGGCCTTTTGGGGGCTAAAAGTACCACCCTGCAAGCTTCCCTCCCTGGCTTCTGCCCCCCTCCCCTGCCCCATTTTGTCCCCTTTGTTACATTCCACAGTGGAAAGCGATCCCTCTCTCAAGGCCTGAGGATTACAGTCAGGAGAAAAGCCTGGGTCGCCCTGGGAACACTCACGTAGCCTTTTCCCACCGGTGCCCTCCTCCTCCTGACAAAGGCTGGGGTAGGGGGATGATCCTGATGCACCCCAGCCTGAGGGAGCAGTAGGGTCTCTGGGGTTGGGGGGCTGGTCAGCCTTTCCCTCCCTCCCTGGGGTTCAGCAACCCCAGGGAGGGAGTGAACTGTGTTGAGAAGCCCCCAGTGGGCCCTCTCAGGATGCAATTGGGGCCTAGGTCCTGGGTTTCCATGTGCCTGGGCTCCCCCTGCCCCCTCACTTCTGCCCTGAACCCTCCCGCAGGCTGCAGTGCCACTCCCCATCCCTACTAAGCTGGGGATTTCCGCAGGCTGAGCCAACCGCCTGACCCTAATTATGGCGCCTTCATCCTGTTGAGGTTAAGCTCCCTATGACTTTCTCTCCCCCCACCCCAGAGGCCAGGCTGGGGGTCAGAGACTCAAGAGTCTCAAGCCTACTGTGCCCCCTCTGGAAAGGGTTGATGGGCCTGTGTCCCCTTGGGTGGTTGGGAGGCAGCTTCTTGTGGGTCTGGGTAGACAAGCTAAGATAGTTTCTCTGGGCCGGGTGCGGTGGCTCACGCCTGTAATCCCAGCACTTTGGAAGGCTGAGGCAGGCGGATCATGAGGTCAAGAGATTGAGACCATCCTGGCTAACACGGTGAGACCCCGCCTCTACTAAAAAAAAACAAAAAAAATTAGCCACGTGTGGTGGCAGGCACCTGTAGTCTCAGCTACTCAGGAGGCTGAGGGAGGAGAATGGCGTGAACCCGGGAGGCGGAGCTTGCAGTGAGCTGAGATTGCGCTACTGCACTCCAGCCTGGGCAACAGAGCGAGACTCCGTCTCAAAAAAAAAAAAAAGTTTATCTGGAGAGCCCTTAGGACAGAGGGGAGCCCTGGGGAGCTGACCTCTAGAGGGCTGGGAAGTCTGAAGATGGGGAACTCCTAGAGGACCCATTCTCAACCCTGGCTGCCTATAGAATCACCTAGAAATATTTTCTTAAAATTACCTTTGTCTTAGCCAACCCCTACCAATTTTGATTTCCTTAGTCAGGGCTGGGCAAACATGGGTATTTGAAAAATCCTCCCAGTGATTCCCATGTACAGCCAATCTGAGAATCCTGCTCTGTCCTCCGCCCCATGATGCCATCGAGGAGGCTGAGGCTCAGTGAGCAGAGGCCCTTGATGGAGGCCACCCCACTAGTTGGGGCAAGGTCGGGTCAGAATCTGAGGCTTCTAACCCCATGGCAGGCTCCTTCCTATAGGCCTCTTCTGTCCCCCAGGGGCTGGTCTGGTGTCCCACTGAGTGTCACCTGTATTCATTTCACCATTTGGGCACTGAGGAGCTGTGTGACCCTTGGCAAGTTGCTTAACCTTGGTTTCTTCTTTGTGATAATGGGCTCCAGTGATAAGAATTGGACAAAATGATGCCTGCAAAGTGTTCAGTGGCACTTGAGGGAAGAGTAGCCACTGTCCTGCTTTTTGCCTGGGGCAGGCCTGGTGCTGCAGGATCTGGGCAGAGGCCTCCTTGATCGTCCCCACCCATCAGGCAAGTGAAGCCCTTAGAGGTGGAACTTCGGAGGGTGGAGTCCCCGGGGAGTGGCCACCCCTGAGGCTCCCCAGGGCCCTGACAGGGAGTTGGGAGGTGTAGGGAAAGTGTGAAGAATGGCTTCCTTGCACACTCGACTTCATGCACTTCCAGGTGGCGGTGACAATGGTCAGGATTCTGCAGTTATATGAATGGCCACCAGGAGTCACCCTCAGCTCATGCTTGAAGTGAAGGCAGCACAGAAAAAGGGAAAGGAGCTGTAAGGGAGAAAAGGAGGAGGACACCCCACCACAGAGTGGATGAGCCTGGAGGGGACCCAAGGCTGCCAGAGTGGCTGCTTCATTTCTGCAGGAAGGTGCAGGACAGAACTCAGACTGGTGGGCACCGTGCCAGCAGGCAGAGGAGGGAGCAAAGGCTCATTTGTCTGCCTTCGGAATTCTCCTTCCCATGCTGATGTCAAATCACAATTCAACAGATTCTTCATGGGGCACCTGCTGCACACAGAGGGACAGGAATCTTACTGAACACCTAGTATATGCCAGAGCCTACACACACAGTGGGCTACTCAACATTCACAACAACTCTGTACAGTAAGTACAAATATTGGTCCCAAGATACAGATTGGGAAACTGAGGCTTATACCAGTTATGTGTTGTGCCCAAGGTCACCAAGCTGGATGAGGACTGACGCCTGTCTGGAGCCTAAATTCTTTCTCCTACACCAGATTGACTTCCAGAGAGTTCTAGGATACAAAGCTGGCAACAGACTTTCTGCCACGTAGAGGGATATGGCAGGTGACAACCCTGTCTGGCTCTGCTAATCAGGATCCAGTAAGAAGCTCAAGACAGGTGGCCACTCTGCTGGTAGGCAGAGGAGGGAGCTGTGCTCCCTGGGGTGGGTAGAAGTAAGGTTTGTGTGGGTGCTGGGTGTTGGACACGGGCAGGCTGCAGACATAGCAGCAATGAGGGGAGACTCTCTCAACCTGCCCATGTCCTCCTCTGAGCAATCTCCCCGCCCCAGAATTATTTCAGTTTCCTCATCTGTCAGTTCTAGGGGTGGACTTCATTCATTCAATACTGTGTCCCTGACCTCTGCTCCCTGCCAGGCTCTGAACTAGTCATGTGTCAGGCTGGATACTTAGATGGACAAGACAAGCCATCCCCTGCCCACAGCTGCCCCACCTGAAGTCTAGGCCAGTGACCTCCGAAGTTTTTTTGATCATGTGCCCTTAGCAATAAAAAAGATTGTTGAGTACGCACCCGTCAGATGAGTATGTTTTTATATAGTTTACCTTGTAAAACACACTCACACTAAATGAAAAAAGGATTCGATGAAAAATAAATAGGCATTCTAAAACTTTCTTCCAGTACCCCTGAACCACGCACACATATGGCACTTGGAACCCAACTGCTCCAGGAGCTGGGAGGGTAGGGTCAGTCCAGCCATACTCAGGACGGATGTGTGGTCAGTGTTCCAGAACATCCTTGCCCACCCCTTTATGCCCTAGCAAAGGAAGGGAGAAACTTCAGATACAGCAGGTGGGAGTGTGGGCAGATGGGAAGCGTAAGCAGGTTTATGTCTGAGGAGGCAGACAAGAGGCAGGTTTTTATTTTAGACTGTGATGTTGAAAATTTTGTGATCACTTTTTACACTGTCCCAGGACATACAGAACCAAGACATAGTGTCCCAAGTAGTATCTAATTTCATATACTTTAGGTAGTTCTATTCCATTTCCAAAGGTTTAGAATACCGCCCCACCTCAACCCCCAGGAAACTGGGGAGCACTCCCTCCACTACACACACTTGGGACACGAAGGACAGACCCTGGTTGGGGAGGCACTTAGGTGTCCCTTCCTTAGGGGCTTTATCTCTCACTTCCCCTCCTGGGTTGGAGGCTCCTGTGACCCCCTCGCCTGGGCAGGTCCCCATGCAGGGTAGAGCACTTGGAGGCCTCTGTAAACATGGGTTACAGGAGAGAGGGGGCAAGAGGCCACAGCTGGGGTACATAAGGAAACCCCTCTGTGGGCCCCCTTACTCAGAGAAGTCTCAGGAGAAACCCTTTCCCCCACCCCCAGTCCTGGCACCAAGCTGGAGAAAGACAAAATGGCTTGTGAAGGCATCTGTCTGCCCTCCAGGGTGGCTGCCAGGGGGGCAGCCATGATGGCTGGCCTGGTGTGGGTGCCTTTGTGTGCCATGACTGGGTGTCTGTTTCTGCAGTCACTAGGCGCTTGTTCTGTGGGGTGAGGGGTGTGGGGGTGGGGGCACGGCCTATGGCAGGGCACGTACGTGAGGCTGGGCACGAAAAGCCTCACCCACCTCCTGCCAGGTACAACCAGCTGCTGGGGCCAACTGCCGACCGCCTCCTCCCTTCCCTGGGCACGGCCAGGCCGGGGGGCAAATGACTTGGCAGGCACCTCCCCTCAGTTGGACCCACTAGGGCAGGGCCGGCTCACCTGGGGCACAGGCAGGGCTCCTGGCTGGGTGGGTGTTCTGCCAATCCCTTCCCCAACTCCTAAAGTGGGAGGGTGGTGGTGAGGCCAGGGAAGGGGCGCAGGTCAGAGATATGCCCCCTCTCCTCTCCCAGACTGTGCATGGGTAAAGCAGGGCAGAGAGGGGCTGGTGGAGGGGCGGGAAGTTTCTCTGTTTAGGGCCAGGAAATGATTTCCATGCAAATGAGATGCAAACTCCTTAATGAGTTTGCAATTAGGAGACCAAGGCTGCCAGGCCGGGCAGCGCCTGCAGGTTTTATGAATGGGCCAGCGTAGGCGGGGGGGAGGGGGCGCGCCGGCCCGCCCCCACATTTCCCTGCCGCGGCGCCCGCGACATGCCGCGCCGCACGTTGCTGCCTCCAGGCCCCGCCGCGACCTGGCCCACCGCCAGCGGGTCAGCTGCTCCGGACGGCGCGGGAGGCTGCCGGCCAGAGTCCCCGCCACGCCGCCGGCCGGCGACGCAAAGGAGCCGACGACACTCCCCCTGGGGCCCGGCAGGGGCTCTGTCCTCGGGCCCCCTTTTTTCCCGGTTATTGGAATGATTTCCCGAAGCAGGAAGGCCAGAAGTTAGCCTTCAGGCCCCGTTGTATTTAAAATGGGCTGCCCTGGGACTTCACTGACCAAAGGAGGGGGCTGGGCCCCTAACTTGGGTGACAGCAATGACCTTGGGAGGGATGGAATTATACGTGACAGGAGAGGGACCAGTTCCCATCCCAGAGCTCCTTGCACCTCTCCAATTCCCTCATGCCAGTCCACACCTCCCTAACCTCAAAAGGCCTGTTCCCACCACCCCAGGGCACCTGCTTTTTCTGCAGAGCCACCCTAGTCCACTTTGGGTCTTGCTCTGACCTGGGGCCCAGGAGAGGGTCTCCTAAGTGGGTGGGTACACACAGGTTTGCTGTGGTCCAGAAGGAGGCTGACCAGAGTTTGAGAGTTTGAGCCCAGTTAGGTCACAGCCCCCTACCTCCTCCCCTCCCCTCTCCTCCCCCTGTCCCCGCCCTGCCCCATTGCTTTCAGAGTAAATTAACTAATTACCTCCAATTAAAGCACCTGGCTCTCTGTATCCTCCTAGGCCTTCAATCACTGCTTCTGGGAGTCCTCTTCATCCAGGCAGGGTCTGGAAGGGGGCCTGACCAGTAAGTTGGAAGTCAGTGAATCAATGAAGTGGGGCGGGGAAGACAGGATGGAGGAAGCCCACAGTGCCATTTACTGCTTGGGAGTGGTCCAGGCAGCCAGGACCTCTGACTTGGCCAGCTTGCAGACTGAGGTTGGGTCTGGGGACTTGGGCCCTAGGGGGGCCTGTGAAGGCTGGGAGCAGGAGCTGCCTTTGGAGGTTAAGTCCCTGGTGAAGGGCCTGTGCAGATGTGTGCAGATGTCAAGGCCCTGAGGGTGACCCTAGAAGCCCCTCAGCAGGAGAAGCAACTTGAGGGTCAGGTCCTAGAAGCTAGCAGTTCTTGGCACCTGCTGCCTCCCTCACCCAGCAGGCAGGGAGAGACTCCAAATGCCTGTAGGCCCAACCAGTCCCTCCTGTCTTTAACCCCAGCTGGCTCCTCCTGCTGCTCAGGAAGTGAAAACCCCTCCATTCTTTTCTCCGGGCCCCCTTGGTGGCCCCCAGGCACAGGCCCAACACTAGCTCTGCCCAGCACTGTCCTGGCCCACCCCACGTGTAGGACGTGATGGGGAGGATACCTGGTGGCAGGAGGCAGACTGATGGATTGTTGACCTGGGTCTCACCTCTGGACGAGCTGGCCATTCCTGGGGACTGGGCAGGGTCACGCCAGGCTGTGACTCAGGCCCCTGCCCCACCATGCCAGGGACCTGGGCTTGGGCCATCCTCTGTGTATGTGGGGTGGGGTGGAGCAGAGGTTTGTCAATTGGAGGCTTCTCTTTGGGGACACCTCTCACAGCCCCAGGGAGCCAGACTATGACTAGAAGGATCAGGGTTTCCATGGCTGCTCCTCCCCACCCACCACCCCAATAGAGGCTGACAGGAAGGACTCCCAAGCAGGGCACAGCAGCCATATGAGTTAGTGGGTGTATGAGCCATCCAGGACAGGGGTAGGGCTCAGCACACAGGAAGGGCCACTCCTGGGGTGTCCTGAGCCCCTATCTGCCAGCTCGGCTTGTCTCCCTAGGCCCATGGAAAGCTGGCTCAAAACTCCCCACCTCCAGGAAGGCGTCACCATGCCTCGCTTGTTTGTGGCCAGCCCAGCGCTGCTCTCAGCTCCCACTTTTCACTTGTTTCTCTGCCTCTTGTCCCCTTTCCCAGATCCACCAAGCGTCTATGGGCAGACTGTTTTTTCCTGCACTTCCTAGTGGCCAGCAGAGGGCGCCGCCAAAAGACTGAGGCCACCACGGAGGGAACAGGAGAATCGGCTTTTTGGGGTCTAGCCACTGTGCAGAGCCCAGGCGCGTGGGTCGGTGTCGGGTGTGTGTGTACGTCTGTGTGTGTAATGAAACTGGACGCCTTCCTTCCCGGCGATCTTGACTTAACCTGTCAGCAGAGGGCTTGAGGTTAGACCACAGGTTGAACCTAGGTGGCTGCTGGAGAGGTAAGCCCAGGTGGCTCTTGGCAGGAAGAGGAGGATGAGTGAGTTGCTCCCTTCTAGCAACCCAAATGGGAAGGGACAACGGAGGTTGCCAGCTTTCCTCCCTGACCCTGGAAGAAGGGTTGGGAGGGGTTGCACAGAATAGCTGGTGTCCCACCCTGTGGGAGGAACTGCTATGGACATCTGGGCCACATCTGGTTTCCTGGCAAGGCAGGGAGCTGGTCTGTTTGGAATTCTTGGTCCACCGCTTGGTGGTCCCTCACCATTACATTCTAGGAGGACCCTTTACAAACAGGTGTATAGGGCGCAGCCCTGTAATGCGAGTGAGTCCACAGCAACCTAGTCGTGGTCACACTCCTTTGGAAGTGGCCCTAGGGGCCTGGGCAGCAGCCTGCTCCTCTGCGCCACTCGACCTTTCTGTGGCCATGTTGGAGTCTGCATGCTGAGATGCTGCCCTTTCCCCTTGGAAATGCTGGGAAATGTGCTCTGGTGTCCATCCTGGCCATGCCTCTTCCTCCAGGTGGGGTAAGAGATGAAAAGAGGAGTTAGTCTGCAGTACCTCTTAGGGACCCCACCCCATGAAAGGCGGAGTGGGGAAGTGCTTGCTGTTGGGTCACCTCCACGAAAGCTTGGGAATGCGGTTGGGACGGGTAGCGGGAGGAGGGGTCAGCAGGAGTGGTTCTTTCTTGGGTCTGGATTCTGGGTTTTGGGGACGAGACAACACGGAGGAAACCCCTCTTGGTCGGCTTGGTTCCAGGAGGCTCAGGCCGGGAGATGGCCGTAATGGCCTCGCAGAAAGAAGCGGGAGCGGGGGAGGGGGAAGGCTGAGCATCGAGCCCACCCGGACTCTCCCTCTGTCCTCCCCGCTGCGGGGGCCCACCCCTTCGCCCCCACCCCTCTATCTCCAGGGCCGCCGCGGCCCCTCCCCGAGACCTGGGCGCCGCCTCCCCCTCCCCTCCTCCTCCCCCTCCCACCCAGCGCTGCAGCTGCTGCCGACGGACCATTCTGCACGTAGCGAATGGAGGAGACGCACAAGGGAGGCCTCAAGTGCGCGCGCGCGGGAGCCGGAGCGGCGCGGGCGGGGGAGCGGCTGCGGGCGCGCGTGCGCGTGCGGCGCCGGCTTTGATCGCGCGCGCCGAGCTCCGGAGCGCGCTGCTCTTCTGAGCGCCGGGGTTGGGGATGCTGGGCGGTGAGCCTCCGTACCCTCTCCACTCCGCGCACGCTCTGTTACCCCTCCAGCAAACCCCGCCTCCAGCCAGGACCCTTTTCAGTTGCCACCCCAATAGTACTGTCCTCTGCGCGTAGTAGGGTCTTCTGTTACGGTGTGCCGGGTGACGGATTGTACAGTCAGCCAGGTCCTGGGCTAGGGTTTCACAGAGTTCAGAACATGCCCGTGTTCATGACCATATAGTTTCACTTTTGCCCCAGGATCTCTCAGCCTGGAGGCCCTCACCCGCCTGCCTCTGCTGCACCTCAAACCTAGGCAAGCCCCATAAAGCCCCTTATAAGGGCTTGGGAAGAAAAAACAAAGGAGTGCTTTGACTTTTATTTCCTCTGGGATGGGGAACTCCCAAGGGAGTTCATTTCCCTTTCACCCCCTCCTATGTTACCTGCACAGCTCCTACTCCCTGGGGTGTCCAGGACTCTGCTGGGCCCTGCCCACACCACTGACAAAGGTGTGGTATGGTAAGCACAGAGTCTGCGTCCTGGGACAACCCAGGGAGTACAGGGAGGCTGTGTCAGGCTATGGCAGGCAGGGCCTTCATCTTGGAGGTGTCTCCTGACTTCCAGGGGCACTCTCTTCACTTCCTGAATCCCTGATCAGGAAGGGGATTGGCAAGTGGCTGGCCTGCCACCTGGGCCACTGGCAAGTGGGTGGCCGGGGGGGGGGGGCTGTCTTCCTTCCCTGGATGGGCTACGTTGGCACCTCATTCCACCTTCCTCACTGTGCATCCTGGCTCTCCTGGCTAGGTGGGCATTGGGCAAGACAGGTGACAGGGCCTTGCAAAGGGATGTCTGAATAGGGTCGGTGGTGTTTTGAACCTCCCTGTGGGAGTGAACTGAAGGGGACTGGTCTGTGGAATGTGCAGGTGGAGGTAGCTGAGAGCTCTTTGTCACGTACTAACTTAAACTGGCCCCAGTTGTTTGACCCCTCTGAGCCTCAGTTTTCTGTGTAATGGGAGTACAGCATTCACCCAGCGGGGCTGTTGAGGATTAAAATATAATCTGCCTATAACATGCCTCATATGTTGGAGGCATGTATGAGGTAAACCTTTTTTTATTATTGTGTTTGAACTGGCTGAAAGTCTGGGGACATTTCCCTCAGCTTTGTTTCCATGGATAGAGTGAATTCAAATCCCGGAGCTGGCAGCTCCTTGGAATTTGAAGGTGGGCTTTGAGAAAACTGTAAAGAGGCCAGTAACATGTCATGTTTATGTCACCATCCAAGAATGAACCATTTCATACTAGTTTTCCAGACATTAATATCTGAAACCTTAAAAAGAGATATTTTGGATAGGAATCACTAGTGGATATTACACGCTTTCCGGGCTTTTAATCAGAGGTTACAGAACATGTGAGTCTTCATGACTCAGGGTTGTGGTTACAAGGGTCCATCAGTATCCTGGTTGTAATACAGTGAAAATCCAAGGCCTTTTTTGGCCCCACACCAACGGCTCATTCCATGAAGGCTACATTTTCGTAGTTCTTGTGTCTACTTTTATAGTACTTTATCACTTCATCAACTCTCTCCGTATAAACTATCACTTCTGTTACCATCACTTTGCCTGCCTCCAGGGCAGACCACCAAACCCACCCTATTCTCAACTTGTTTCTGTTTGGCTGTGGGCTGAGATGTCCGAAAATCACATCTGTTGGAAGATGTGAAAAACAACGAGATCTTTTGAACTTGACAAATTATATTAAAGTTCATCTGGAGAAATAAACATGCAAAAAGAGCTTGGAAAATCCTGAAAAAGAAGTATTATAAGGGACGACTAGTGCTACTAAAATGTTGTAGAAAGCTCCAATAATAAAATAGTTGGGTACTGGCACAAGAACAGACAGGCAGATCAAAGGAGCAGAGTAGAGGCCAGACACACACCCGTGAACAAATGGAAATTAAATATATGATAAAATGACATTTTAGATCAGAGGAGAAAAGATGAATTATTCAATCAAATTGGACAACTGGTTAGCTGTTAAGGGGGAAAAAAAAGAAATCCAGCTCCCCACTTCATCTCTTATTCTGAAATAAATCCCGATGGAGTGAAGATTTAAATGTAAAAAGGAAACCATAAAATTACTAGAAGAAAACATCTGAAAGTCTAAAAGTGTATGTTCTTGGATTGGGGAAAGTTTGACACAAAACCTAGGAGTCACAAAGGGAAAGAATTTTTTAAAATTGGCTGTATTAAAATATGACGTAGGGTGTTGTGTTACATGCCTGTAGTCCCAGCTCCTTGGGAGGCTGAGGTGGGAGGATAACTTGAGCCCAGGAATTTGAGGCCAGCCTGGGCACCACAGTGAGACTCCATCTCTGAAAAAAAAATGTGTTTTTAATGTAATATCCTGAATTCTAAAGACAACCGTCTGGAAAAAATATTTTTAACATAGATGACCGATGAGTTTTTACAAGTCAATAAGGAAAATAAAAACGAATAGAAAAATGGGCAAAGCACATAAACCGGTAAGGGGATACTAATGGTTAACAAGCAGGTGAAAATGCTCACCCTCAGTCAAAATAGAAGAAATCAAAATGAAGACATGAGAAGATTCTCTTTTCGCCAATTTGATTGACAACAACTAAAATGGGCAACCCCTCACTGTGTGGACACAGACATCCTCAGAGCTGGGGGGGAGGACAGTTGCACCTGTGAAGGGGATTGGCAGTATACATGAGAAGAATTAATTCACAAACCATGGACTCGAGGGTTCCATATCTAGGAATTTATCAGATGCACTGTTATAAATGTCACAAGTGTTCAAAGTATACATACAAGTGTGTTCATTGCAGTTTTGCTTCCAAACCTGAAAAACTGGAAGCAACATTAAGTCCATTAATAGGGCACGGATTGGATATGTTATGATGCCTCCAAACACCAATAGTATGCAGTGGTTGAAAAGAGTGAGGTTGAGGTTGTGTGTTGATATTCACTAAGTAGAAAAGCAAGTGGCAAGACATTCCTTGGGTGGTGCTACTCCATGAAGGGTGTGCCCTCTGCCAGCATGGGCATGGAGCCTATTAGAAATCCAGAATCTTCAGCCAGTTGCAGTGGCTCATGCCTGTAATCCCAGCACTTTGGGAGGCCAAGGCAGAAGGATTGCTTGAGCCCAGGAGTTCAAGACCAGCCTGGGCAGCATGGCAAAACCTCTCTACAAAAAATTAGCCTGTAGTCCCAGCTACTAGGGATGCTGAGGCAGGAGGATCGCTTGAGCCTGAGAGGTGGAGGTTTCAGGGAGCCAAGATGGTGCCACTGCACTCCAGCCCAGGTGACAGAGAGAGACCCTGTCTGAAAAAACAAACAAAAAAGAAACCTGGAATCTTGGGCCACCGTAGAACTACGGGATCAGAAACACTAGGGCTGGAGCCCAGCAGTCTGTGGTTTTAACATGTTCTCTGTATGATTCTGATGCATACTCGTGTTTGAGAAGTACTGATGAGGAGTATGTCACTATATGTGTAAAAAATGGATAAAAACCAGTTAGCCCTTCTGCCTCTAAAATTTCAGAGTCACCAGAAAGGGCTTTCCATGACCAGAGTGAGAAGGGATGGAAAAGTCCACTTTTCACTTTATGTGTTTCTGAACTGTTCAGACTTTTTGCCACGAGAATATATTACTTTGGTTTTTTTAAAAAGTAGTTAACTCTGGAGACTGAGGCAGGAGAATCGCTTGAACCTGGGTAGCGGAGGTTGCAGTAAGCCGGGATCAAGCCACTGTGCTCCAGCCCGGGTGACAGAGCGAGACTCCGTCTCAAAAAAAAAAAAAAAAAAGTAGTTAATAAATAAAAAAAGCTACCCAAATGGAGAAAGAAAATGTGGTACATACATACAATGGAATATTATTAAGCCTTAAAAAGGAAGAAAATTGTGACACATGCTGTAACAGGGATGAACTTTAAGGACATTGTGCTAAGTGAAATCAGCAAATCACAAAAGGACAAATATTGTATAATTCCACTTTAATGAGGTAACTAAGGTAGTTAGATTCATAGAGACAGAAAGTAGAATGGTGGTTGCCAGGGGCTGGAGAGATGGGGAGTTAGTGTTCAATGAGCAGAGTTTCTGTTTTGTAAAATGAAAAGAATTCTGGAGATGGATGGTGTTGATGGTTGCACAACAATGTGAACATATGTAATGTGAACGTATGTAATGTGAATGTATTTAATGCCACTGAAATGTACACTTAAATGTGGTTAAAATGGTAAATGTTCTGCGTATTTTATCACAAATTTTTTAAAGTTTAAAAAGCTACCTTTAGGTGTGTAAAGCAGGGTTAGTGATTGCCTCTGGCAGGTTCTGTGAGAGCCTCCATCTAGGTTACAGAGTATGTATTTGAGGGTTGGGCTTCTTGAGAACTCTCTCCTGCCGAGCCCAGTTGGAGCAAGTCTTGGCTTCCAGTAAGAGTGAGGCCGCGTGTTTGCCCACACAGTGGGAAGCCAACCTAAGAACTTGCTGCCTTGAGGGATGGGATAGGCTGACAATAGGGACAGATAGGAGAGTGGTTTGGTGACTTGCTGGAAGACAGAGGCATGCTAGGTTACTGGGGAAGCTGGATCCTTGCCCCTTCCCTGCTGCCTCTGCTGAGACCCTTCCCTGGCCTGGGGAGGGGCTTGCTCTCCTAGAGGGTCAAAGCTCTGCAGGAAGTGTGGTGAGCCAGTGGCCCTGGGGAGATGGCTCCTATGGGGACAGGAGGGAGAGAGGGCAGGATGAGTAGAGATTGTGGGGCAGGGCATGGGTTTCTTGGGAACAAGACTGTGCTCAGACATCTGGCTGGAGCAAAGACTGTACTTGAAAAAGGGATCAGGCCAGGGTGGGGTGAGGGGGAGGGGGCACTGGATGTGGGAGAACCTGCCCAAGCTGGGCCTAGCTCAGCCAACTGACTGTGACCCAGAAGCGGGGGACAGCAGGTGGGCTTCCACCTGTCCTTCTGCCAGCTGGGGGAGCGGGCTCCTGCACCAGGCCCTGGGGACTTCTCCAGGTGGCCCATTCTGGCCTGGATGCACAGCTGCCCATGCCACCCTAGACCCTCCCTCCCCAGGCACCGAAAGTCTGGGTTCCAGGAACTAACTAGGGAGACCTGTGGTCAAGGAAGGGTCCAGAGGTGAGGAGGCCCTGCAGCTAAACTGGCTAGGCTGATGGGGACACAGAACCCCACCCCAGGACCAGCACAGGTCAGTACATAGCAAGCCCTCATTCAATCCTACCCAGCAAACCCCTTTCAGGAAGCTGGGGACCAGTCCCTGAGCTCAGGGAGCTCACAGTCTGGCCGAGAGAGGAGCTACCCTGACTCAGGCAGAGTGGGTATTGACCACAAGCCTGGCTGCATCACCTCCAAGACATGATCTGTCCTGACTCTGTGACAGCCTCAGACTTCAGTCTGCCCATCTGTGTAATGGGGTTGATATCTTAGGGTGCCCTCAGCCATGGCAATGCCCAATTGTCAGTGTTAGGTGGGAGGCACCGACTCTGATCCTGCCAGCCTGGAGATGGGGTTGCCAACGGAAAAAGGAGAGCACAGAAGTCCAGCCCCAATCTCCACATGGCTCTGTGTTTTATTTCCCTGAAAAAGGCACAGGAGGTCAAGAGGAGGCAGGGAGGAGTAGGGGATAGAGGGCTGGGAAAGCCCAGCTCCTCGTATTGAAAGGTGACTAGGGAGTGGGGAGGGATTCCCAGGCCTGTCCAGCTGTTTCCTGCTTCCTTCACTACCAAATGTATACACTGTAAGGTCGGGCTGCCCCCTCACAGGGACCCACTGGGGTAGGAGGCCTCTCCCTCTGCTAATCCAGGTGGCTACAGCATAGGATAAGGGAAAGCTAATGGTGTTGGGACCCACTTCCTGTGCTGATTTGGACTCATGGAAGCAGGAACCTGCCAAGCTTGGCTTCCTCAGGCCACTGGTATAGCTGCCCAGGCTTGTCTGCCCACTCCCCATGCTCAAATGGTCCTGAAGAGCCCCTAGCTGAGGGCAGTGGGCATGAGATCATGCTACAAAATGCCTGTGCTCTCAGCTATACACCCCCCACCAGGTCCAGGCAGGCCCTGCCCACACATCCTGTGGGTCTCGCCTGCCCAGCTACCCATGGTGATTTAACGTGAGAGACTGGGGCTAGACTGTGGGAGAGACCACCCAGAGGGGTGAGTGGGTGAACTGGGAACAGGCTGCTCACTGAGGAAGCCCCTGCCAGTAAGCATGATTGTCCTTCCTCAGGAGGGTGGCCTGGTGGGAAGTAGATGCCCCACCCCACCCAGTCTGAAAACCCCCAGATGATGTTGGGGATGGTGGATGAGTTGCCTGTTTTAGATGCTAAAGGAGATCTAGTTCTGACCTAGTTTGATGGGATTGACACAGTGCCTGTCTTCATGGAATTCAGTCTGAGGGAGACACAGCCCTGTCCACAGGGAACCCCAGTCCGAGGAGAGACGCAGTCCCATCCTCAGGGAGCCCCAGTCTGAGGGAGACACAGCCCTGTACTCAGGGAGCCCCAGTCTGAGGCGGGAGACAGCCCTGACTCAGGGAGCCCCAGTCTGAGGGGAGACACAATCCGGTCCTCAGGGTGCCCCAGTCTGAGGGAAGACGCAGCTCTGACTCAGGGAGCCCCAGTCTGAGGGGGGAGACAGCCCTGACTCAGGGAGCCCCAGTCTGAGGGGGGAGACAGCCCTGACTCAGGGAGCCCCAGTCTGAGGGGAGACACAGTCCCATCCTCAGGGTGCCCCAGTCTGAGGAAGACACAGCCCCATCCTCAGGGAGCCCCAGTCTGAGGGAGACACAGCCCTGTACTCAGGGATCCCCAGTCTGAGGGGGGAGACAGCCCTGACTCAGGGACCCCCAGTCTGAGGGGAGACACAGCCGTGACTCAGGGACCCCCAGTCTGAGGGGAGATGCAGCTCTGACTCAGGGAGCCCCAGTCTGAGGGGAGACACAGCCGTGACTCAGGGACCCCCAGTCTGAGGCGGGAAACAGCCCTGACTCAGGGAGCCCCAGTCTGAGGGGAGACACAATCCAGTCCTCAGGGTGCCCCAGTCTGAGGGGAGACGCAGCTCTGACTCAGGGACCCCCAGTCTGAGGGAGACGCAGCCCTGACTCAAGGAGCCCCAGTCTGAGGGGAGACACAGCCCCGTCCTCAGGGTGCCCCAGTCTAAGGGGAGACACAACCCAGTCCTCAGGGTGCCCCAGTCTAAGGGGAGACACAACCCAGTCCTCAGGGTGCCCCAGTCTGAGGGGAGACACAGCCCTGCCCTCGGGGAACTCCCACTTGAGGGGAAATGCCCTGTGCTCCCTGCTTCCTCCCTTGCATGTTATTTTCCCACCCAGCCCCATCCTCTGCTCTCCTGAAGGTTTCCTGCCCTAGGAAGGAATTGAGTGGGTGAACTGGAGCTCCCGACTTGTTGTGGGCCTCCTCCCCGCTGACTCCCAGTCTGCTCACTGTCCCTTCATGGAGACTGTGAACCGAGTATGAGGGTTCCAGGTGGGGAGACCGAGTCATAGTGACTCGGGGTGGACTGGTCACTCCCCTCCCATCACCCAGAGTGGGTGTGTGAAAGGCAACATGAGGGCCACGGGGAGGAAAAGAAGAGGCTCCTTTGAGCTCCAAGCCCCAGCCACCCTCTCCCATGTGCTGGAGCCGCGCATACGTGTGGGAGATACCATGTACCGCGTCTCAGCGGACATGTGAGGCTGGGGTGTATCAGGGATCAGGAGTTGGAGATGAGGAAGGCAGATGCAGCTCAGCTGTTCAGGACAGTGAGCCCAGCCACCCTAGATGTGGTAGCACTTCTGTCTCCCCCACCCTCTGTCTTCTAGGCTCCCAGAAGCCCCTCTGTGGAAGCCCCCTTAGCCTGGGCTCGAACAAGGATTCTCCTTCCTTACTTTGAGGAGTTCTCAGGTGGGCATGGTGGGGAGTGGTGCCTGAGAGGGCTAGAGCAGGGCCTGCATGCATTCCCATGTGCACACACATGCATGCTTAACCTGAGTGCCCGTGGGGGCAGACAGGGCTCCCTGAGGACAGAGGGCAGGAGCTAAGTCTCCCCCTTCATTTTAGTGGCCGCCTGATGTGGGGACTATGTCTCCCCCATCTTACAGGAGCTCCTTAAGAGCAGAGCTGTGTCTCTCCCATCAGATTGGAGGGTCTGAAGGAAGCCAGGAAGGGTGTCAACACACAAATGCACAGCGCTCACTCAGGCACCTGCTCCCTCAGACATAGACACCTCAAGCTGGGGTTCCCTGCGAACAGAGGCTGAGTCCCCAGTCACAGTTGTAATTCCCTTAAGGCAGAAAGTGATAAAACTTCCCTGTCAGATTGGGAGTTCCCTGAAGGCAGAGCTCCTTTCTCTCCTGAGACAAAAGAATGTCTCCCCTGTCAGACTGGGAGCTCACTGAAGGCAGCAGCTGTGTCTGCTACCCCATCAGCTCAGGGTCCCTCTGAGGGCAGGGGCTGAGCCTTGCCTCTCAGGCTACTTCCTCTAGAGTCCCTGCAGCTCCCTTTCTTGTCCTGTTTGGCCACCTCCCTCCTGTGATCTCCTGTGATCCGCCTGTGGTCACTTCATTGTCAGTGGCTGGGAAGGCAGCAGATTAGACACAGCCAGTGACTCAGCCCCCATGGCCTTTCTTCCCCTGCCTGTGCAGCCTCATCATGGTGGGGAAACCCCTCTGCTTCCTGCCTTCTCTGACGTCTATGTCCATTTCGCCTGTCCTCCCAGCCAGATCCCTTCCCTGCCCACACACGCTGTAGTCCTAATCTGCTAGCAGAAATCACGAGGAAGTTTTCTGGGAGGGGTGTGTCCCAGATGTGGCTTCACTGTGTCTTTACCAGCCGGGATGTAGATGTCCATTTGACATATGAGGAAACAGCCCCCGTGACGTGAAAGGACCTGTACAGAGCCACACAGCTCTGGTAGCCAACTGAGACTGGGCCCAGGGTCCAAGCTCCTTGAATAAGGCCTGACTGTACATGTGTGCACATACCAGGGAGGCAGGGGCTCATCCGGCCCCATCCTCCCCTGGCCCCACAGCGGGCACTCACGGTCTTCCTCGGGGGGAAGACAGGGAGAACCCAGTGCCTGTGGAAGGTTAAACAGTGCGTGGGCTGAGCAAGCGTGCCGGGGCTACCTGGCCGGGCATGCTAGGGGCTTGCAGCAGACCTCAAGTGCCAGGGAATGGAGCCGCTCTGTAGGTTTGGACAGAGGAAGTGGAGGCTGGGATGGTGGGCTTCAGGCGGCGAGGCAGAAGACATTCTAATTATTCAGTCAAAGGAGGCTTTGAGCTCTGCTGGGTGAAGGGGAGGAGGATTTGTGCAGCAGCTTCCACCAGTGAGGCACATGTGGCTGTACCTTCCTCACTGCATCACTGCACCCATTTCACAGGTAAGGAAACATTGGCCCAGAGAGGGCCTTCACTGGCCCTAGAGCATGCATTTCCAGGCCTGAGCCCATGTCTGTCTGACCCCAAAGCCATCATTTCTGTGGGGTAGAGGGCTGAGCACCAGCCAGTCACGACCCTGCTTTGTTGAGGAGTGGTTTAGCTGTGGAGTCGGTCTGCTCGGATTTGAATCCTGACTCTGTCCCTACCAGCTGTATGGTTGTGGGTAAGTCACTCAACCTCTCTGTGCCTGTTTCCCCAGACAGTAATAAGCATAGTATAGTACTACTTCTTGTATAAGCTTGTTAAGAGGAACAGTTGGTATTTGTGAACTGGTGACCTAGAACATTCAAATGAAGCTGTTGGCCTCTTTCTTTCTTCTCTTCCACCCAACCCCTTCATTCCAAGGGGAGAACAGTTGTTGAGAGTTGGGACTTGGCGAGATGCGGCTAAGATCTCTCTGAGAACGAGAGACTCATCAAGGGGTACTCAGGACCTGCTCAAGCCCCTCCTTGGGAATGGGATGCAGGGAAACAGGAAGCCTAACTTCCCACTGGTCCCATTCCTCCTGGGCCCACAGTCCCCTCCCCACTGTGGAGTGTGGGCATGTGGAACTCTGGCACGTACCCGGTGATAAGGGCCACCCAGCAGGCAGGACGTGGGCTACGTGAGGGACCAATGGAGGCGGCTGCTTTGGCCAGCGGCTGCCTGCCCAGCTCAAGGGGCCAAGGCCAGGAGGCTGGGCCGTGGGGTCCATTGTCTGCCTGCCGCCCCCACCCCTCTGGCGAGCACAAGCTCAGCAACAGCCGGCAGCGGGCCCTTGGCAGAAGCTCGGTCCTGTTCCCCCCACACAGGCACGCCCTGGCCTGCACGTCTTCGCCTGGGCCTCCAGCCATGATGGCGCTGCCCGCTGTGCTGATCAGTGCTGCCACTGGCCTCTAGGGGGCACTGCTTGGGCACTTAGGAAGTCCTTGCAGGGTGAGCCAGGGCCTGGAGCCCTCATCATGGGGTTGTCAGAAGCTCAGCCCATTGGGGTAGGGCAGACTGGGGAGAGGGCAGAGGCAAGATGGGTCACCTGGACAGAGGGTGGAGCAAGGTGACCCCCAGGATGTGGCCTTGGAGAGTTATAGAAATGTCCTTGTCAAACTCCAGGTCTACAACAGGTGGGCAAGGGGGTAGGAAGCTAGTGTTGACCAGCAGTGTGACTTTGGGCCTCCTCCCTCAGGTCTCAGTTTCCTTATCTGTATAACGCAGGGACTGGAGAGGACCCATCTCTAGGTTTAATGTTCTGTGATTCGTGGCACATTTGCTCTTCCTGGCTGGGTTCAGCCCCAGTTGAAACCAGTGGGCAAGATGGGGCATGTCTTGATCTGTGTCTCCCTTTCCCACTTCTCCATCAAAGTGGTAGAAGGGCTGGGGTTTCTGCAGCCCAATACCCTTGGGAGTCATTGAGGTGAGGCCTGACAACTCACATGCCCCTCAGAGCCCTTAGTCCCAGGACCCCCAGGGGCAGAGCTGTGGCCTCTAATCAGCAGGTTAAAAATAACACCCATGGGCTCTTCTCCCTCCACAGGAATGGTGTTTTTGTTGGCATCTGTGGCCCCTCTGGCCCTGCCAACTTGCACAGCATGTGACATTGTCAGGGGAATGTAGGTGTGAGGAAGGAGTTAGCCGGAGGGGCTTGCACTGCCCTGCTCCAGGTGAAGGTGCAGAGCAGAGGTCAGGGACAGCTGGCAGGGCCACCTGTGGCCACAAGGCTGCCCATGAGGCTGAGGGCACATGATGGGCAAGGCAAAGTCCACTGGTAGAAATAAAATGGTGCAGACTATAGGCTGGGCTATGTCCAGGTGCTGGGCCTGGGCCCTGCAGGGCAGAGCTGTGCAACCAACTCATCCCAGTCCTCAGACCCCAGAAGCAGAATCAGTGAGTCACAGGATTGTGGAATCAAGGCATTCTAGACTTGAAAAGAACTCAAGAGATACTGTCCAATCCCTGCCCAGACAGGAGAAAAATAGCCCCACTGGAGAATATTTATGGAGCTCGTCCTGGGTGCCAGGCTCTAAGCTGGCATCCACTGAATTAATCTTCCCAGCAACCCTCTGCACCCAGTTCTGTTTTTTTTTTTTCTTCCAAACAGAGGAAGAAACAAAGGACAGAGAAGTTAGGTAACTTGTCCAAAGTGCCTTCAAACTGATCTCTGTATGATTCCTAAATCCCTATCCATAATCGTTACCTTGTCTGATTTAACACAGGTGGGAACAGAAGCCCAGAACTTGGAGGCTGTGCTGGGGTTTCAGGACAGGCCACTGAAGCTGTGTGCCCTATTCAGTTCTGGACTCAGTCCACAGCTCCTTGCACACAGAGAGCTCATGTCATGGGCAGTCAGAATTCTCCCTTAGGTCATCCGGAATCGTGTTTACTTTAATGTAAGATCATTTCTTCTCCTTCACTTCTCCAGAGAGAAATGACAGCTCCTTAGTTCTCCTCTTAAAGTCCCTGCTCATTGTTAACAGTGGTCACACTCGTAATTTTTTGAGGGTACAAATCTGCCAACACACTCATCATTTAACCCCCAACTTTCTCTGGGGAACTTCAGGAAAAGCATCCCTGGGCATTAACTCATCTAACTGCTTATCATGGCGTTGATGTCACCCCTGAGCCTGCTCTTGCCCAGGCAGAACAAGCCCGATTTTTTCCCCCTTTCCGTCGGGCCTGTGTTTGCCCTCTCCATGGCATCTGCGGCCCTGTCTGGCCTCTTGCCAGCTTCTTGTGACCAAATGTGGACCTGGCCTGGCCAAGGAGGAGAGCTTGGGGGTCAGGGCCTGACCTGACAGCTGTCCCTCCAGGGGTCCCAGGCAGTGGTACCAAAATTTAAGCCTTGGCTGCCCCCACCCTGCCAGGTCTCCCTACTACCCCCATTCCATCTTATGCCGTCAGGATCCTGATGTGTGTTTATGGTGTGGTGCTCCCAAGGCATTACCTGGTCCTTTAGGTCCCCAAAGCGCTGGAGATATTATTCTGGAGTGAGGAGTCCAGGTTTCTTTCCCTAACTCATGCCACAGACCAATCAAGTGGCAGCTTCTTGTTCCTCACACCCCAGGGCAGGATTTCAACAGCAGCAATAATAGCACTGACTGCTTACTGAGCACTTGCCTTGTGCCAGACACTGTGATGAGCACATTACAGTAGCCCTTTCGCTGAATACTCACAACAGCCAGGTGAGGTGGGGTCCACGGGTATCCTTACTTTATAGGAATCCCAGGCACAGAGAAGGGTTTTGTCTGGGCTGACAACGGATTTAATGCTACACTGATTCTCTGTTTAGTTTTGGTTTGGTTTTTGAATCACTTCACGCTGGCCCTGAGTGAGGCGATAAGGCCCATTCCCAAAGCACAGGTGGGAAAACTGAGAGTCCGACTTGGGCAGTGAGTCAGGTAGGCCATCCTGTTCTGCTATCCCCACACCCCTAGCCTGGCTCTCTGTCATCTGAAGTGTTTTCCCAGGGTATTTCCTCCTTCTAGGTATTTCTCCTCATCTCATGCATTTACCTGGGCTCTTCCCTCCTTTCCATCCATCTATCTATCCATCCATCCATCCATCCATCCATCCATCCATCCATCCATCCATCCTCCTGGAGCCAAGTCCTCCCAACAGGGTTCCTCCTGACCTCACAGGGCAAGTAGGAGGAAGTGCTCCTGGATGGGGACATCACACCCCTGGTAACTCTTCTCTTCTAGACACCTCATCCATCCTACTCTGCCCAGCCACACATGAGTCGAGATTATTTCACCAGAGGAGAAGCTTGTATCAGTTAAATTTTGGTTTACACAAGATAAATAGTGAATTTTTTGCTCATGTAAAATATTTCTGGGATGTGGTCAGAGACTCCTTCTATCTTTCTGACCTGCTAGGTGTGGTTTCCATTTCCAGGGTCACCTCATTGCCCAAGATGGCTGCTGGAGCCCCAGCCAGCAGGAAGGAAGAAGAAAGCCTGAAGAAGGACATGCCCCTTCCCTTCAAGGAAGCTTCCTAGAAGTCACACTTATATTCCATTGGCCAGAACTCAGTCATCTAGCCATACCTAGCTGCAAGGGAAGCTAGGTAGTCTAGTCTTTATTCCATGGGGGTCTGGCTAAAAGTTGGGAAATAAACGAGGAATGGATATTAGGAGACAGGATCTGCCACAAAGCCTCTTTGTTCCTTTTAGATTGCAACTGCCAGAGGGTAAGTGGGGCCTTCCCAACGCCCTGCCTCAAGCAATCCTGGTTCTCTCCCTTCTCTGAGGTCTCAGTTCTTCCCTGATACTCAGTAGTTACTGCCTGGAGCTGCTAAAGGCAGCAGCACAATGCCACATCCGGCTGCCGTTGGCTGTTGTCCACCGTCTGCAGATCCAGGCCAGTGCACTCACTTATCTCACAACAGCTCAACAGGCAGCTAGTCTTAGTCCCATTTTATAGTTGAGAAATTGAGGCCTAAAGAGGTTAAGTAACTTGCCCAAGAGCACGCAGCTGGGCTCTGAGCCCAGTTCCTGTGTGTTTCTTTCTTTCCTGTTGAGCCTTCCCTGTAGGGGTGGATGCCCTGGGCCTTCTCAGGGTCTGACAAGAGGAACTGGAATGGTCTGAGCCCTAGGAGGGGCCTGTCTGGGAGGAGAGGGCAGGCAGGGGCGTGACCTGGGTCCTCAGGTGTCTCCTCAGCACTTACTCAGTGCCATGGTCAGCGAACGCGTCTGAACAGAGTCTACTGACGGGCTTGGGGATTTCTGCTGGCGCCAGCAACTGGCCACTGCAGCCACATCCTCAGACGCCACTTTCCCCAGAATAAGTGTCCTAGACCCAGCAGTGAGGAAGGACAGGGATAGGGCAGCTTTTGTCACTTCCCTTTCTTTCCTCCAGCCCTCCCCAGGGAGGCGGGGGAGAGGGGGACTGTTTACTCTGCTTTCACCCGGGGGAGGCAGCAGCAGGGGACTCAGCACCTACCCCAGGTGGGCTGCTTGGAGGGGAAGGTGGGGAGAATGTGACCAGCGCTGAGGGGAAGAGGCCAGACGCTGGGCTTCTCTGGAAGACCAGGGC
Source organism: Homo sapiens (assembly GCF_000001405.40). Taxonomy (NCBI): domain Eukaryota; kingdom Metazoa; phylum Chordata; class Mammalia; order Primates; family Hominidae; genus Homo; species Homo sapiens. The sequence goes on along the minus strand of NC_000006.12, from coordinate 44,058,853 downwards.
CATGTGGGCCATCCCCCTGCCTCCGGGCAGGACTGTCCGTGCTTGCTGCCGAACATGAGTGTGAGGTCATTGCTCTGGTCTCAGGGGTGGGGGGAGGTGCTCTGAGCGTAAGTACGGTCACCGCCTCTACTTGTGGTTAGTAATGTTACTGTAATATCTACTCCACGATCTCTGGCCAAGAGGAAAGGCTCAGGAGTTGTGAGTCACAGCTGGCTGTCGACAGTGGGGCAGGTCATGCGCAGCTTGAATGGGGGTGTGCTGGGGATGGCCCTGAGACCCAGACGTAACCTCTGTCCTCAGGAGTTCCTGCCAGAAACAGATGATGAACTGGAAGAACAGATGTGAGGCTGAAAGTCCCCAGTCCATGTCCTCCTCCACCAGGAAGTCTTCCTTGATGAACTGCCTTGGGATTGCTCTGGGATTGACCTTGAATTCCTAGCTGTGGCAAGATGGGCTTCTTTTTACTTTGCCATCCTGCCAAATCTGAGCACTGAGCACCTACAGGTTGTGTGCTAGGGGCAAGGGCATGAATAGGAATGTGGTGCTTTCATTCAAATCATTCATTCAGTCATCAAATATGCCAGGTGCTCAAGATACACGGGTGAAGCCATGGACTCAGCTACTCTTATAGAGCCTGGAAAAGGAGAGTCTTAAAGCAAGTAGTCACACCAAAAAGAATTACAAACTGTAATGTGTGCCAAGAGGGAAAATTACATGGGGCTCTGGGAGAATATCCTAGGGACTTAGTTTAGATGGGGGTGTGGCCTGATATTTAAGCTCAGTTCCTGTCTTGCTCTAACAAAGTCCCAGCCTAGCTGGGGACACACACGCACGCGCGCGCACACACACACGCAGAAATGTCTGGGAAAAGATGATGTTTAACTGACAGTTCACTGTATCTTCTTGGTCCGTCCTAATGTTCCTGAACTGGAAGCTCCCTGCATGCCTGGATCATGTCATGTTTGCATGATCAAGGTCCTGCCACCAGGCCTCTGGTACAGGTGGTGCCTAGGAAATATGAGTTCTTTGCATGCCATTAGGAATTATCTGTCCACCACCAAATTAACTGCTCTAAGAGTGCCAGGGTGGAGGATTGGAGCTGTGTGGTCATCCAGGAAGGCTCTGAGGATGAGGAGGGCAGTGATTTGAGTCTGGAAGGACTGAGATCAGGATGAAAGGGATGACAGAAGAGTGTTAGCCCTGTTTGGAGACAATGAGGAGACTGGGAGGTTGATGTTCTGGAAGGGAGTGGCTACGTCTCTGCCCTCAGACTGGCAGATCCCAGACAGCAGGAAGTGTCTCCTCCTTCAGACTGTGAGCTCCCTCAACTCTATGGGACCTGGCTTCTTGTAGACTGAGGCATTATTTGGGTGTGGGTGGACGTGGGAGTTGATAGTGGGTCTTCTATCCCCCCCCAACAGCCCTTGGGCCTCTGGGGAGAAGTCTGTGGACTGGCCCAGAGCCAAGGGACTCCTCTCTCCCTCTCCTCCCTAACATCTCCAGGAAGCAGGGTCCAGAGCCTCAGAGCTTCCGGTCACCTGAATGTGATTAGTGGGAGGCCTCTCCCTCTGGGATCGAGCCCTTGGTTGTGGCCTGAGGTCCCCAGCATGGCCCAGCCTGGAATTCATCTCCCAGCCCCAGTGCCCTTCTCCCTTTTCCCTTCCTCAGCCCAGCTCTGGTTGGGCCCAGGCAAGGCAGGAACTAGGGATGGTCCGGGGGGCTTCCTGGGGCTGTGCCACTCCTGATAGGCAGTGATTCCCCTGGAAGCCCCTCCCTTGCCGCCTGTGAAGGCTCTGCAGGGAGACAGCTCACCAACACGGTGGCATGCTGCCCACCAATGGGGGCCGTGCCAAGTGTGATGTGATGTATGCTGATCCCTCTCCACTCCTCACTGAGGACCAAGCGTCTGCTGCCCCCGCAGCACAGAGTGCCTGGGGCGGCTGTCCAATCACATCCATGGGGGTTTGGGGGAGATGTAGGAGTGGACAGAGGGTCTTCCTCGTGCTGCAGGCAGCAGGGCCAGTCTGAAAGAACCTCCCCCACCCCCAGAACTGGTCTTCCGCCCCCAGTTGATGGAGCCCCTGGGTACTGTCCAGGGTATCAGTCCCTCCGCATTTCACTTGTATCCCTCAATGGACAGAGGAGGTAGGCCCCATTGACCCTCTTGCTCCTCTCACCCACCGTGCTTTGGAAAACATATTGGAGATGTTTCCTTGCCCTCCTTTGTCCCACTCTGCCTGTTGGGGCCCAAGCACCAGGAGAGAGCGAGGGATCCTGGGGATGAAGGGGGCACAGAAGTGGTGTTGCATCCATCCCCTTGGAGGTAAGCGTGCAGATTGACTGGGCTCCATCTCCTTTCTCCTTCTTCAGGGTCCAGTTGTCTGCAATAGGGGCTGTGTTAGGTTAAAGGAGGTCCAAGGCCAGAGGCAGCTATTTTATTCAGGGGTAGACTCTTGGATCCCACCCAGAGACTCTGCTTCTCTAGCTCTAGGGAGGGTCTTAGGATGCTGCATTAAGAAAAAGCCCCCCCAGTGTTTGTGACATTAACGGCCAAGGAGCACACCCTGCTCCTGAGGAAAGATCACAGATTCTGAGGGATGGGAGTCTTGAATTCCAACCCGAGCTTCTCTGTTTGCTCTCTGGGTGACTTTGGACACTCATCTCTAGGCCTCAGCTTTCTTATCTGTGTAATGGGAGAGCGATACCTACCTTGAAGACTAAATGGGGCAAGTGCAGATAAAACATCAGCATCAGGCCTGGCACACAGCAGGTGCCCAATAATTACTGTCCTCAGAATGCAGCTGTCTCAGCCGGGCACAGTGGCTCACACCTGTAATCCCAGCACTTTGGGAGGCCGAGGCGGGCAGATCACAAGGTCAGGAGATCGAGGCCATCATGGCCAACACAGTGAAACCCCATCTCTACTGAAAAATACAAAAAATTAACTGGGTGTGGTGGCACACTTCTGTAGTCCCAGCTACTCAGGAGGCTGGGGCAGGAGAATTGCTTGAACCCGGGAGGCAGAGGTTGCAGTGAGCCAAGATCGCATCCCTGCACTCCAACTTGGGCGACAGAGCGAGACTCCGTCTCAAAAAAATAAATAAATAAAAATAAAAATAAAAAATAAAAGAATGCATCTGGCGCATTCACTTTCTGGGCAGGGTTGGGTTGGACCCCTTGTCCCTCCCATCACTTGGGGATGCTGGCGGGGTGAGGGAGGTGATTCAGAGGTTGGGAAGGATGGTTATGCAAGGAGACACTTCCAAGAGACTCTGCTGTTGCTGGTGACAGGGAGGAGTGAGTATCCCCCACATTTCACCGACACAGAGACCCTTGCCTTAAGAATAATAACCTAAATGGAACACATAGCACTATGTGCCAGGTGCTGCTCTGAGTTCATTAACGACTGCAATTATCTAGGGGGATTGTTATCCCATTTCACAGGTAGGGAAACTGAGGCACAGAGGGATTGAGGCAGTAGCCTAGCATCACATAGCTAGTGATTGGCAAAACCAGGGCTTGAACCCAGATAGCCTGGCTCTTAACCACTGCCTCTCTCTAGCATGGGGCCCCCTGGAGAGAGGGATGGCTGTGCCTTCCCTTCATGTCCCTCTGTGGGGTTCTGGGGCTGGGCTATCTGAGTCAGGCTCTGGTACTCTGGCGGGAAGAGGCAGGCCCCAGATTTGCCTCTAGGGCATTCTCTGACTCCAGCAGCTCCTGCCCACCCTTCCCTGGGCTTCTTTGCCTCCTCCGCAGTTGCTGCCTTCACCCGGCCCCACACTGCCACCCCAGTCAATGTTCACTTTCTCCAGCTGTGAGCATCTGGACCCCCCAGGAGTTGTCACTGGGCTCTGCCTTGGGCTCAGGGAGAGGCTGGACTCCAGCCTGATCCCATTGCCCAAGACCAGTGGCCTTGTCCACTACTCCCTCAGTCCTTGGGGAGCATCAGGGCACCTGCCCCCTCGAGCCACTGTTTATGACCTGGTATATCACTCATTGTCCCCACCCTCAGCCTTAATGAGGACCAGAGCCCGCTAAGACATCCCAATTAACCACACCATCTGTTTTCCTTTAGCAGAAACAGTGTGGTGGGTGAGCAAGAACCCAGAGTAGGGATGTCGTGGGGTGGGCTCAGGGCTTGTTTTCTTCCCTGAAAAATGGCTTACCACCCACTCTGACCTCTGCAGTGCCCAGGAGATGGCTGCCTTCCCTCAAAGGGGAGCCTGAGAGCCCCTCAAAGGGCACAATTTTCTGTCCCACCCAGCAGCTAGCTTCTGCAGCAGGCCAGATTTGGGTTCAGTGGTGACTCAGATGGGATGCAGGGTGCCCCATTGCGTGCAGGCTTCCTGGAGATTTGGGAAGCCAAATGTCAGTGTCAACAAAGGTATCTGAGTACGGGAATAGGCAGGAAGCAAGGATGGGAAAAGGGAAGCCAGTGGTTGGTGAGGTCACTCCCAAACTTCTGAGTATCCTCTCACTGATCCACAGGCTTATCAAGCGCTTACTGAGTGCCCAGCACTGATTGGGCACCAGAGACAGTGAGCAAGACCACAGAGGGAGGGCCTGTGGAGAGCCTGAGAGGTCAGGAATGTTCCTGGAGGGGGTTGCACTTACTTTAGTTCAAGGAATCAGTCCCTATCAGCTTCAGCTCTTTCCTGAGGTCAGCTCCCAAGAGATCAGAACCCCGGTGGGCGTGACAGTTAGTGTGAACCTGGAGCACAGGGTAGGGGACTATAAGAGTTGGAGAGAGCTTACGTTGGGGAAAAGGAATCAGGAAGCTCTGGAAATAGTTGATAAAATGCGCCAGTGAACAAATGCTGAGTTGGGGAAATTGGTGAGTGGTATCAGGAACCTTTGGGGTGGCATTAGGGCCAGAAGCTGTCTGGGGAGTGTATGGCTAGATGAATCCCAGTCTGCCTTAAGCAGGAAGCACCTTTGTTCATTTCTCCCTCAAATATGTAAGCGATCACACAGCATGCACATTGTCAATATCCGCTTCTGCACCCACGGCAGGCATCACTAGCCAATCCTAGCACTTTCCCCTTCCGAGTCCAGAAGTAGCCTCACACTTTTTCTCATATACTGGTCCAGGTCGTCACTACTAACTGATCAGAGTTGAGAGATGAAATGAGAATCTATTTACCTTCCTTGGATGGAATTCAGACATGCATAAGATCTAAAGAAACTCCCAGAAAAGAACTTATTCAAAGGGAAGAGAGAGTCAGGTGGACAGTCGTAGGACAAGGGCCGTTTTAAGCCAGGCTGATGATTGTGACTGGATTTGCTCTGGCCCAGCTCCCTGGTGGACTCATATCTGGGTCTGAAAGAGAGCAGGCCACAGGAAGCCCACCATCCCAGCCTCCACTTCCTCTGTCCAAACCTACAGATCGGCTCCATTCCCTGGCACTTGAACTCTGCTCCAAGCCCCTAGCATGCCTAGCCAGGTAGCCCTGGCATGCTTGCTCAGCCCACACACTGCTGTTTAAACTTCCACAGGCATTGGGTTCTCCCTGTCTTCTCCTCAGGAATTCTGTGAGTGCCCGCTGTGGGGCCAGGGGAGGATGGGGCCGGATGAGCCCCCTGCCTCCCTGGTACGTGCACACATGCACAGTCAGGCCTTATTCAAGGAGCTTGGACCCTGGGCCCAGTCTCAGTCTGCTACCAAGAGCTGTGTGGCTCTGTATAGGACTAGGATATAAAGCATTGTGTGTCCATCAGGATTCTGTTGCAGAGAACAGAATCTGCTCTGACTGGTTTAAGTGAAAGGGACTTATCACAGAGTATGAAATGGCTACACAACTATTGGCAGGGTCGAAGACATAGGCTTAAGGTGGAGCTTTCAGGAACAGCTCTCAAAGTCACACTGCAGAACTGGGCCACCAAGGGAGCTGCTGCCTCTTTGGCAATCATGAGGTCACCAGCCCCAGAACCACACTGCAGTGTGATCAGGAGGCTGCCACTGCTGCCAGCTCCACACTGCACCTGCTGGGGTCCATGCTAGGAGCCAGACACACTGTGTCTCTCCTCTTGACCCCCTCTGCCCGTACTGCAGCAAAACAACAACAACAACAACAACAACAACAACAACAACACACACCCCTTCTTATTCCCAGAAAGCAGCTGGCGCTGCAGAAGCACAGCCTTCCAAATTTCATGCACGTGCATCTGATTGGCTAAACCTGAATTATATCCCAATCCCAACAGCAGGGGAGGAGACTGGGAAATGTAGTTTTTTGGCTCTTCCTGTCTCTGCAGGCCAGTAAGGCACACAGCAGGGGGTGGAATGATGTTGAAATCAGTCCCCACACTGACCACACACTGTCTTCTAACCTTCTAAAAGATGCCGGGCACAGCAGCTCTGTTTTGGATGTTCTCAGAGAGGAACAGAAGGGGAGTAAGAAGCCTTCTCTGCTTTTTACCACACACCACTATACAGCTTTGAGGCACCCTGAAGGCTCAGGCACATCAGTGGTGCCATTTGCGTGTGGTCCTTGGGGAGTGTGATACCAGGTCATTGTAGCAGGTCATTGTACTAGGCAGAGAGCCTCCTTGACCTGTCCAGGAATAGTTGGGACTTTGTCAGCAGCTGGGACCAGCAAATATTGGTTATTAGGGTCTGAGTGGTTTTATCTAACTCCTGGCTGGATCCGTCTTTGGAAACGCTATCACGAGCGCATCCTATGGGCCAGGCGCTGCTCTGACTGTTAGGGGACAGAAAAGGATGAAATAGAGTCCCGGCTGCTCTTTGCAGCTCCCTGTCTAACAAGGAAGAGGTGTGGGCCTATGCAGCCAAGGGTGCGAAAAGGTGAACAGGGGACTTTCCAGGGTGGAAGATATTTGAGCTGAGTCCCGAAGGGCCCAAGGATGCTTAGAGGAGGTCTGGGTGAGAGACAAGGTAAAAATGAGAAATGCACCACAATCTCAGTGAGCCGGGCAAGGAGGGAGCTGGGAGGTGGGGGTGGGGAAGAGACAGTGTTTGGGAAACCAAAGCCGGGATTTCTGAAGATCCAAGATTCAGTCTTCCCATCCAGACCAGGCTGGATGCTCCTGTGCTGGGCACCTGCATCTGGCCAGTCATGCAGTTTGTCCCAGGCTCTCTGCAGGCTGTGGGATGGGGTTTGCTGCCTTGGCTCATGCAGACTGCTGGGAATGACTCATGGCTGAGGAGGGGTTCGGGAGAGCCACGGACTGCTGCCCAGGCTGGAGGCTATAAGGAGGCCTCTCCCTGGGTCTGGTGGCAGCAAAAGAAACTAGCCCATGTGGGAAGGGCAGCCCATGTCACCCCACCCTGGGCTTCCAGGCTACAGGGCCAGGTGGCCAGAGGGAGTCTCTGGCACCCCAGCCCCCACCGTCCCCTCCCACCCCAGGCCCCAGTGTCCCCTCCTACCCCAGGCCCCACTGTCTCCTCCTACCCCAAGTCCCAGCATCCCCTCCTACCCCAGGCCTCACCGTCTCCTCCTACCCCAGGTCCCAGGGCCTCAGGCCCCAGCGTCCCCTCCCTTGTACTCTGCTTCCTCCCCATGGCAGTGCTGCCCATTCCCTCCCTGCATCCCACTCCATCCTAATGCCAGCCCTCCCTGGCTCAGGCGGCTGGGAATACCCGTGGTGGGTCATTACAGGACACCACTGCCTGAGGGTCAGAATGCAGGAGGCCTAGCTGTGAGCTGGAACCCATCAGAGGCCAATCTAAGTCCTGGCAGCAGTCAGGACAGGAAGGGCTGGCTGATGAGAAAGGTGTTCCTGAGAACTGCAGTTTCCAAGCTCTGTCTTAACCCTTCCCACTCTGACATGAGGGTGTGTCCTGACATTTTCCAATGGTGACAGGTGGCTGCAGGTCTCTGGTTCCTCAACCCAGGTTGGTGAGGTGAGGTTGATTTCATAGAGAAACCACGCCCCTGCCTCAGGGAGTCCTAGTCTGAGGGAGACACAGCCCCGTCCTCAGGGAGCCCCAGTCTAAGGGGAGACACAGCCCTGTCCCCAGGGATCCCCCTCAGAGAGGGAGACACAGCCCTGCTTACAAGTGGCGCAGGGTCAGATATGTGGGAGATTTTGTCTGATTATTAAACTGATAATCAATATCATGGCATTACTTTTGAATTTCCATGTGCACTTGTGGGAAATCAGCAGCTTGAACACACATTCGTTGCTCTTAAGCTCCAGGAATCATGCGGCTGCAGATGGAGAGAGTTCTTAGCGGATGGTTTTGTTCTGGTTGCCCTCTTGGGGTCAGCTGCCCGCTTTTTTGAGACCCCTCCTTGCCTCACAAACCACTCAGCAAGTGGGTAATTTTCAACAGCTTGTTCCAACTCCTTCTTTGGTATCCCCATAACTTATATAACTCCCAGCTTTCAATTAACAATTAAACTTGGTGAGCAAGAACACAAAAGGAAACATGTCTGTGTGCAACTGGCCCTTCTTCAACTGTGTGGTTTAGATGTCTCTGATTTATTTTCCACAATTAGTGGCTGGCCTTCTCCCAACCTCTCTCCCTGTTCTCTTTGAAGGGGCTGCTGCTGGCTGGGCACAGCAGCCTAGCAAAGCTGTCTGAGGGCACCCTTTTCTCTGGGGCTGAGATCACCAAAGAGCTCAGGCCTCTTGGTTCCTGGGCTACATGGGGGTGACTATCAAGCTCTCCAAGGGGGAGGAGGGGGCCCGTGCCCACCTACAGGGTGAGGAGGAAAGGCCCAGAAATGCTGGCACCTTTGCAAGCCTTTTCTGTGCTCTTCATCTTCCAGCAAGTCATTCCAACTCCAGTGCCTCACCTTCCTTATCTGTTAAATGGGAGTGAATAATTGGGTTAGGTGCTTCCTAGAGCTCCTTGCACTCAGACTTTGAGAGTTATTCCTGCTTCCCTCCCCACCCTGCTCAGGGCTCTCCTGACACCCTGTCATGACCACAGAGGGTGGGTTAATCTCTGACCCTGTCCAGCAGCCAACTTGGTCACCAAGTGTGCTACCAGACAGCCTCGTGCTGCTGGCCCAAGGGTTGCAGCCCTATCTCTTCCAGCCTTAGTCTGGCACTCTGATGCATGAGGACATGTATGGATATGCAGGTGAGTGGAGCCATTTGGCCACGTTTCCTGGGACCCCTCTGAGCCAGCCACTGGGCCTTGCCTTTAAGAGACTCCCAGGACAGTGAGATGACTGTGCACAGGAGGCTTGAGGAATGAGTGCTGAAGCCAGCAAATATTTACTGAGCACCTGCTCCAAGCCAGGCCCTGGGCTGGGCAGGGGACAGCAAAACTGAATAAATAGACATGGTGCAGTTCCTCATGATTAGAGGCACATACGAGTTCCAAAGTCAGCTGATCAGGTTCAAGCCCTGGTCTGATGCTCTTTTGGGCAAGGTATTTAGCCTTTCTACACCTTGATTTTTTCTATCTGGAAAATGGGGATGCTAATAGTACACAACCATGGGGTTGTAGTAAGGATGAAATGAGTCAGTGTTTAGAGTGCAGGGCGTGGTCATTGCAACTTTCATTTTGTGAGCACTAACTCTGTGCCAGAAAGTGTCATGGCATTTGATGAAAACCACGTCCCTTACAGAGAAGGAGAGAGCACTTCTGGCTGAGCTGAGAGAGAGGCTTCATGGAAGAGCTGGTGCCACAGTTTGGTCTTGAAAGATGGAGTTAAATTCCATAGGTGGCAATGGGGGAGGGCGTTCCAGGAGGGGGAACAGCATGGACAAAGGCATGGAGGCAGAAAGACAAAAAATGTGCTGGGGGAACTCCAAAAGGACCAGTGAGACTAAAAGGCAAGGGAGATAAAACTGGAAAGTAGGCTTAGGCCAGATGAACATCTAGACCACAGAATGTGGCCTTTGTCCTGTAGGCAAAGGGGAGCCGTGATGGTTGCTGAGCAAGGGGATCTCGAAGGGAGATGAAACTGCTGATTTCAATAAGGCAGCAGAGTTAGTTTCCTTAGATGATAATAACAACAAGAATGATAATCAGAAACATTTCATTTTGTAGATTCTAAAGTTCGCTGAGCATTTTCATGGGCACAACCTCATCTGATCATTATGGCAACACTGTGGGGTGAGTTGAGCAGGGATTATTGCACCCACTTTACAGAGAGGAGGATGGGGCTTATCTGAGGTTACCTAGCAGGTTGATGGCAAAGTCAGAAGCTAACGTGGGTCTCCTGGCCAGCATCAGCATGGATGGCCCAGTGTGAGTGAGGGACATAGGTCCCCATCTCATGGCTGCCCAGGGGAAATGGACCACCTTCTCAAGCCCCATCCTTAAGCTTGAAAATGTGTTTGTGTGTGGAGGGGGTCGTAAGGATGTCTGTGCAGAGAGCCTTCCAGTCACGCCAGCACCAAATCTTCTGTACTTCTGGCCCATTGCCAGGGGCCAGCACGCACTAGGCCAGCACGCATCTAACCTCTGCTGATTGGTACCGAGAGCATTGGTGATTTGGGCAGGGGGTTGGCTGCACCACTGCCAAGAGGCTGGTGAACTGCTGCAGGGGTTTGGGGAAGACATACACATAGCCCTACGCTTTTAGTGAGTCCTTCACCTCTGTAGAAGCCTCTCCCAGCTGAGCAGCAGCCAAGGCAGATGGAGGGAAGCTTCCCATTCACCTTCTCTTCTGCTGGGACTGTTCCCTGACCCCCCTGGGTTCCTGCCCCAGGACTGGGAGTCTGGCTTCTGATGGCCCAATCTTAGCTCTTCCCTCTCCTTGGATTCTGCCTGCTGGCTGATACCCTTCCACACTGAGGCCTTCCTCCTCTGATGTTCATTTCCAGGTCCTGGTCCCCAGCAGGGCCTAGGGTGAGAAAGGAAACAGTAGAACCCCTGGCTTCCCGAGCCTGCTCCATCCCGAGTTCTCAGCAGGGCCAGGCTGGCCTATCTTTCTAGAGGACCCAGCACAGGGCCTGCCTCAGAGTGCAGCCCAGGTAGCACCTGCTGGTTCTGTCTGCCAGGGCCCCAGCCTTCATGGGAGGCCAAGAGCCTTAGGGGAACGGACAGTGAACCCAAAAAAGTACATTGTGATATAAGCCAAAGGGTGGCCCCAGTGAAAGGCTTTGTAGGAGTTTGGAGCAGGTGAGGTTGTGGAGGCAGTCAGGGACTTCCTGGAGTGGTGTCCTGGATTAGAGCTCAGCCTTCCCTGAAGGTGGTGGGGCTTGGTTAGGGGAAGGGGTCTATACAGAGGATTCTTTCCAGAGGGTGGGGAGCCAGACTTACCGTGCCATATGAAGCAGTGGGTTGAGGGGCATGAGCAGAGGGGTGTGGGCATGCTTGCCTCAGGCCAGCCCTGGAAGGTGTGCAAAATGGCCCTGGGTAGTGATGGGCTGTTGACTGATTGATCGATTCATTTATTCAAGTTTATCCAGCACCTCCTCTGTGCCAGGTGCTGTGCTTGGGGCTAGGAGCTTAATGATGAGTAAGACAGATGTATCCCTTCCCTCCTGAGCTCCTGGTTGAGATGGGAAGGCTGAGGAGCAAACAGACTGTTTCAACACACTGTGATCAGTGCCAGGACAGAAGAGATACAGTGTCCCCTAGAGCAGAGAGGAGGCTTCAGCTTGAGACCCGGGGGTGGATCTAGGAAGACTTTCCAGGAGAGGTGGAGCTGAGATCTGCAGGATGATGAGTGAGCTGGGAGTGGGGGTGAGCATCCCAGAACTGGGAGAGGGGTGGCATTCCTTTCAATGGGTGAGGATCATGACATGGGGAGGGGAAGAGGAGGCGAGGTGCAATGGCAGATCTTGCATGTTGTGCTGCATTAAGGAATTATCCGGAGGGCACTGGGAAACGTTTGAAAGGTTTTAAGCAAGGGCTGGATGGGATCCGATTTGTGTTTTGGAAAAAACCTCTTTGGCTCAGGTAGAGAACAGGTTGGAGGGCACCTGAGTTGTCCAGGCTCAGTTCCAAGACAGGGAAGAGCCCCTCCCAGATGCAAGCCCTGTGAGGACAGCATGGTGATCCTCTTGCTGTTACCCTACAAAGTCCTGTAAAGGGTGTTGCCCAAGTCCCCTTAAGGGAGGACACCCGGTTCCGGATGATGGCTGGTCTTCTTGCCCATAGGGTCCCTTCCTTTGGCTGGCTGTGAGGGTGGCTCAGCTCTCTGGCACCAACAGGGAGAAGTGGGACTCACCCTGCCAGGACTGCATGTTGAGGGGTTGGTGGAGAACATTTTGGAGAGGGCAGGAGAGAGCCAGTTCTCAAAGAGGGAACTGGTTCAAATCAATCTACTAATGCCTGCCCCTCCTGCCCCCACCACATGCACACAGGTGATTCATTTGGCCTTTAAGACTAAAATGCCAGTAGTTCCCATTGCTTTGGGTGGGGGATGTGGGGAGGGAGACAGTTTGCCCTGCACTAAACTCAGCCTGTGGAGGAGAGCAGATGGGATACCTGGGATGTGGTAGAAATGAATGTCATGGGCTGGGCGTGGTGGCTCATACCTGTAATCCCAGCACTTTGGGAGGCCGAGGCAGGTGGATCACCTGAGGTCAGGCGTTCAAGACCAGCCTGGCCAACATGGTGAAACCACGTCTCTACAAAAATACAAAAATTAGCCGGGCATGATGGCAGGTACCTGTAATCCCAGCTACTCAAGAGGCTGAGGTGGGAGAATTGCTTGAACCTGGGAGGCGGAGGTTGCAGTGAGCCCAGATCACACAATTGCAGTCCAGCCTGGGTGACAGAGCGAGACTCCATCTCAAAAAAAAAAAAAAAAAAAGAAATGAATGTCATAGTTGAGGGGACAGGTTGGTGGGGGCTGGACTTCCAAGGCTTCCTGGCCTGGGAAGGAAGCAGGGGGCGTTGTGGAACCTGGAGTTTTCGGGTCAAATTCTGGCACTTGAGCTTCTCCAAAAGCCACCTGTGTGGGCTGGGGGTGAAATGCCAGGGTTATGGGGAAGGTTTCCCACCCCCTCCCTGCAAGAAGAGAGGAATGGGAGGGCAGGGGAGGGCTGTTTGGCCAGGCCCCTGGTTCAGCCAGCTCTGGGAACCCTGCCCAAGATGCCTGAGACAATGCCGGGATGGAGGCTGGCCTGGCCAGAGGCAGGCCTGGGAGGGGGCAGGAGCAGTGCCCACTTCATTCACAGTCCTGGCCTCTGCACAGTGGCCCACAGCACCACCCCCTACTCTTGGGCTCCCTGCCCAGTCCTAGGCTTCTGCCTACCCCTTGGCAGTCACCAGCCATGCCATTCTCCCAGAAGGACTCTTTCCTAGGCTGGTCCTACCCCCTCTGAGGGATAAGTGTGTTTCTGAGAGTTAGTATGTGTCTGAGTGTGCTTCAGGATGTGAGTGTATATACATGTGTGGGTGTGTGAGGGGGGTGAATGTGTGTAGGAGTGTTGGAGTGTGTGTCTGCATGTATGTGTGTGTGTATCTAAGTATCTGAGTGTCTCCATGTATGAGTGTATAGATAAGTGCATGTGAGTGTGTCGAGGTGTGAGAATGTGTATATAAATGTATGAGCGTATATGAGTGTGTATGAGTGTGTGTATGACAATATGTATATAAATGTGTGTGCATGAGACTGTATTTGAATGTGTGTGTGTGTGGGGTGTGTGAGATGTATGTGAATGTGTCTATGAATATGTATATGAATGTTTTTGTGTTTTGTGTGGGTGTGTGAGAATGTGTATATGAATGTGTGTGAGTGTGTGGGTGTGTAAAATGTATATGAATGTGTGTGTGAATGTGTATGTGAGTGTGTGTATATGAATGTAGGTAGGTGTATATGAGTGTGGGTGTGTGAAGATGTATATGAGTGTGTGTGTCTATGAGTGGGTGTGTGGCAATGTGTATATGAATGTGTGTGAGTGTGTATATGAATGTGTGTGTGAAGATGTATATAAATGTGAGTGTGTATGTGTGTATGGGTGTGTGTGAGGGTGTATATGGATGTGTGTAAATGTGTATAAGTGTGGGTGTGTGTAAATGTGTATATGGATATGTGTGTGTGTGTGAGAGGATGTACATGAATGTGTGTGTGTGTGAGGGTGTATATGGATTGTGTGAATGTGTATATGAATATGTGTATGTGAACGTGGGTGTGTGAAGATGTATATGAATGTGTGTATATGAATGTATGTGTGTGTGTGTGAGCGTGGGTGTGTGTGAAGATGTATATGTTTGTGTGTGTGTGTGAAGGTGTATATGGATGTGTGTGAATGTGTCTATGAATATGTGTGTATGTGAGCGTGGGTGTGTGTGAAGATGTATATGAATGTTTGTGTGTGGGTGTGTGTGAAGCTGTATATGGATGTGTGTGAATGTGTATATGAATGTGTGTGTGTGTATGTGAGCGTGGGTGTGTGTGAAGATGTATATGAATATGTGTGTGTGTGTGACGGCGCATATGGATGTGTGTGAATGTGTATATGAATATGTGTGTGTGTATGTGAGCGTGGGTGTGTGTGAAGATGTATGTGAATGTTTGTGTGTGAGTGTGTATGAGGACTGCCCACTCTGCTCCTCCCCTTTCCTCCCGCTCCCCAGCCATTCTGACTGCGCAGTGGGTGCTCTGACCTTTCATTTGGACCAAGGACCACATGACCGGCATTTCTCAGGACAGCCCTCATTCAAACAGTTCACTCCCCCTTCCCCAACCAGTGCCGTTTATTTTTCCAACCCACACAGCCTCATATTCAGGGTGGAAAATGCAGTCACCCATCTCTGGGATCCTCCTCTTCTCTTTGAGCTCGGGAAGAGTGGGACTGGAGGCCTGGAGGGGCCATGGCAGGTTCCAGGAGAAATGGACCCTACTTCTGGGGCTCTAGTAGGGAGCTGGGAGCTGGGGGAGGGGGGGTTGTGGGGACAGGCTTCTTTGTTCCCAGACCCAGGCCTGGCCTGGATTTTTCTGGAGGGGACAGTGGGAGGGAGCCCTGGCTCACAGGGAGAACTGGGATTTGGTTATTAAACCAAGTTGCAAGTTCAGTCTGCTTTCCAGCCAACTTTTCTTCCCACCTCACTTTCTCCTCCAGATAATAGAAATACCCTGGAGGGGTTCCTTTTCTCCCTGGCAAGCTGAGGGAGGCAGGGGCCCTGCCATTGGCCACTCCCTGGGCCTGGGCCAACTCCCCACCCCCGCAACAAGGGGTGCAATTACATCAGCTGCTCTCTCTCAGGCTCTGGCTGTTGCTGGGGGAGGTCCTTGCC
Source organism: Homo sapiens (assembly GCF_000001405.40). NCBI lineage: Eukaryota > Metazoa > Chordata > Mammalia > Primates > Hominidae > Homo > Homo sapiens. The sequence continues at coordinate 44,043,735 of NC_000006.12, read as the reverse complement.
CTACTCTGATGCTGGCCTCCTGACTTTTGACTTTCTCTGACCCCTTCCAGGCCTTGAAATCATGGCAGCAGCAAGACCCAACTGGGGCAGCATCATGTCTGGGTTTGAATCCCGGTTCAGCCACTTTCCAGCTGTGTGATGTGGGGCAAGTCAGGTAACCTCCTTGGGCCTCAGTTTCCCTATCTGCAACTGGGGATGACAATAGTGCTCTCTTCCTAGGTTTGTTCTGGGTAATCACTGAATTAATATTTGTTAGGTATTTGTGTTTTACCTTGCACTATGTACGTGTTGGTTAAATAAATACATCATTTCCCTAATGATGGCCAGCTAAGGAATAGGTGGATGGGGTGGGTCACTGACCCACTAACCCCTGGCTTCATGCTTCAGCACTTACTCATTCCCTGGCACTTAGCTCTTATCCCTGCATAGACCCAGGAAGTCTGTGACTTTTTGCTCTCTTTCTCAGGGTTTAAATTCCACCCCTACTATTTACCCTCTGTGGCACTTTGTCTCCTGGGGCAGGGATATCACAGCAGAACACAGAGGCCAGCTCAGGAGAAAGTCTCCCATCCTGACTTGTCTCTCCTCCACTTGTGCCACAGCAGCCACCCCCAGGGAGGCCTGAAGGGAGGTGCCCCAAGTGGCAGGTCTCTTCCCAGTGCCTTAGGTCTTTGCTGTTCTGGAGAGGAAGTGGCAGCTTTGCCTGCTGGGCTAGGGACTTAGGTTTTGGTTTGAGCATGGAAAAGACTCATTCACAGAAACTCCCCTGCCTTCCTGAGGCAATGATCCTGATCCACTAACCAGCTGCTCTCGCTGGGGCTGGGGGAGTGCAGGGGGCTTTGCTCGCCTTGAAGGGCTGGTGGAAGGATTCCTCCCCAGCTTCTCCCTTTTCCCCAGGCTCAGATCCCACCAGGACTGCAACCCTTAGCCCTGTCTGGTCTCCCCTGCAACCCTTGAGGCCACCCTGGAGGCTCAGCCATCCATTCACCCCAGGTGGGTCCCACACTGCCTTAGCTGCCTCTTCCTGGCCCTGTGGCAGCCTGCCTCCTCTCCCCTCCCTCCTCTGGTTGCTCTCATTGTGGGTCTGGAAACTGAGGTAGCCTTGTCGCTGGGGCCTGGCTTCTCGATGCCCAGAGTCCTCCAGCTCTATTCTGCTCTCAAATATGGAGCAAGCACCCACACTGTGCTCTCCAGTGCCTGGCTCTGATGGAAAGGGCCAGTTGGCCCTGGTCACCAGGGAGCCTCTTGACCAGAGTGCAGCCCTCAAAGAAAAGCCAAAGGTCCATGAGATGTCTTCCTTCCCTCCCCTCCCCTCCCCTCCCCTCCCCTCCCCTCCCCTCTGCTCCCTCCCAGAAATGTTCATTGGGCCCTGCCTTTGTAGCAGGTGTGGGCTGGGCCCTGACCATAGAAGAAGACTTCCTTGCCTTGAAGTTCAGAGGGAACCTGGTTGCAGGCCCCAGGCAAGGCTTTCCTTTCTTTGAGTTCCACAGCTCTGCTCACTGAGGGGTTCCAAGGCAGAGGCTGAGTCTCCACCATCAGATCGTGGGCTCCCTGAGGGTAGGGCATGTGGTTTCTGCCCCTCAGAATCTTCTGCATTCATTGATTCACAGTTCATTCATTTACAGCACTCAGGAATGCTTCTGTGGGCCAGGTTGTGCCGGGCCTTTGTGAGCTGATCTGTTTCAGCAGGTGCCATCTAAACTGGTTTCTGGTGGATGAGAAGAAGCTAGTTCTGGGAAGAGTGTTCCAGGCAGACAGAACAACACGTGCAAAGCCAGGAGCCTGAGAGCTATTGGGGTAGGCTGAGGCAGGAAGGGGCTTTGAAGATACAGTGACTCACAGGAAAGCAGGGGCCTGTCTGGGGAGCTGAGGAGAAAGAAGTCCTTGAGAATGGTTGAAGATTTTACTTCTGTGGCAGGAGAGAAAACCTAGGAGAGTGTCAAGTATCATTGCCCAAAGGAAGACAGGAATTCAGCATTCTGCGGAATCCCTGACTCATCGCTGGGGGTGGAGGGAGGTGGGAGAAGACTCGGCTGCCTGTGCTTCATTTCTAGCCTTCCAGGAGGACGTCAGCAACCTCCTTGCAGATTCCTTCCTCCTCTGCCCCCTCAACCTCCCTGCCCTTGCAGGGAATGAATCCCGGAGCTCTAGCTGTCATCGAGTTCTCCCTGTTGTCTAATCCTAGTCTCTCCTGCTGCATTCTTGCGTGTCCTTGGAGATTAACCACAATTTGGGGCCTGCAGTGTCTTTTCCCAGTGCCTGGCAAAGGCACTCCCTAGCCTTAACCTGTCCCCACTACTGTCCTGGGCCACAGAGGCTGGGTCCAGGGCATGGGGGTAGTTTCCAGGAGACAGTTTGATCCTCAAACTGCAGGCCAAGCCTCCATCTTGATCTCCAGGATTGCTTGAGGTCTTAAATCCCACTGGAGAGGTCTAGAGAAGCCAGGAGAAGCCGAGGCTCTCTGTTCCTGTCTCTTTCTTACCATGACTCTTATTTCTCTTTTCCCTGTCTCTCTCCCCATCTCTTTCTCTCTTCCACTCTCTCTCCACAGATCCCACCCCACCCCAACCCCCACCCCCGACATCTTTTTCTGGTTCGGTCTTCCCCTCCCTCCTTCTTGCTCTCCTTTTCTTTCAGTCCCTTGCCCTCCCTACCTGTAGGACTCAGTCTCCATTCCCATCCCTAGCCCTCTTTCTCTCTGATGGCCCCTGGCAGTGCTCGGGAATGAGAATGAGGAGGTGGACTTGTGGGGCTGCAGGTGGCCTGGCAAGTGGCATTGTGCAAGATAGCTCTCTTCCTTGTTAGGGTCTGAGGGGATTTGGAGGGCCGGCCCTAGTCAGCAGCCTGGCTTTCATTCCAGGCCTGTTGGAGGAATTCATAATAAAGGGCCTGGCACTGAAGTCCTGGGTGGCTTTAATTTTCTGGAAGAGAGGCAATCCAGTTGCTTCCCTAAGGGGGAAACCCTGTGTACCCAGCTGAGGGAAGGTGAAGAGCATGTAGTAGTTAGGGTTTAAGCCTCCCCTGCAAAGTGTCCACCTCCAAACTGTTGGTGGGACTGAAGACAATATTTTGTCATGGAGAGGGGACTGGTTGAGAGGCAAGAAACAAAGGAGGAAGGAGACCAGACCCTTCTCTGGCCAGTCAGTAGCTTCCCTGGGTACCTGAGCCAGACTGGGTATGCCTGCCCTCTTTATGGGCATCTGAAGGAGGCAGGAGATGAAAATCTCCGAGTATGCAGAGGAAATGAGCTCCTAGAGAAGAGGCGAGGACAACGGAAACAGTCAGTGGTCCTGGGGTGGCATGATAGGCCTGGAAAGCCGGGAGGAGTGTTTCCTCCAAAAAGCAAGCAATGCCTTTTGGGGAGAAAATGAAGCTATGTTGGCTGGATTCTGGGGGCTCCTGTGAATGAGTGGTAGAGATGCTGTCCCTGGGGGTCAATAGGCCTGGGGCTCAAGTAAGGTCTGCTTACACCAGGGATGGACAGATGTCAGAGGGCCCTGCAGTCTACACAGCTGTGTGGAGCACCGTGCAGAAGCCGAGGGCCTGGCCCCCAGCCCTTAAAGCCTGGACCTGGGAGCTCAGGACTTCCTCCCTCTTGAAGTGGTGGGTGAGCCCTGAATATTTTACCTGAACGTGACACAGGGCCGGGGGAGGGAACTGTGAGAAGAGGAGAGAGTTTAGTAACTATCTTGGTGGCAGGCCCAGAGTGGGTGACCAAGGGCGCTGGGGCTTGTAGGGCTGAGGGCAGAGCACACCACTGCCCACCACCAGAGCCCCAGGAACCCCCAGGACAGTGTCCCGCTCTTCTTCTGAGGTCCTTCCCCTCACTGCCTCTGTCTTTCTGTGTCTGTTTTCGACCCCCCCTTTCTTTGTCCCTTTCTTCTTTCTTGTCCTGTTCTCTGGTCGTAACTCTCCCATCGGGCCCTCCTGTCTTTCTCTGTGTCTGTCGCTCTCTGGCCCCCACATCATGGTTTCTTCATACTATCTAGTACAAGGGGAACCCCCTCTCTCCATAAACCCACTGGATACTGGGTGACCCCTGCCTGTGTGTGTGTGGTGGGGGGGTGCATGCACTGAGCACAGGGTGCAGGGGGGTGCGTGTGCCCCAGGCAGGAGTGAAGGGCGTGGGTGAGTGTGGAGGAGCTACTGGTTGAGCCAAGGTGGGGCAGGCTGTGAAGGGTCTGGTTGAAGATGGAGGGGTGAGGGCTGGGGTGGGGGCTCCTGTCGCCCTGGGTGGACTGCAGGGTTAGGCTTTCTCAGCAGAGGCAGCCCTAGCTCTGCCCCTGGGCTCCAGCTTATTCTAGGGAAATTTCAAGAGCCAGCCCCACCATGGCCAGCGCACACAAAGCACATTGTTCCACTCCCCAGGCCCTTGCCCCTGTCCCTGCCAGGGTTGCTGCCAGTTCCTGGAGGCAAGCTGGCAGCCTCACTCCTGAGGCCAGGGCTGCTCACCTGGCTCAGTGGGAGTTCCTCCCCTGCTGACTCGTCACCGTCTTGAGCAGGGCCAGGAGCATGCCAGGCTTGCTGACCCTCAGAAGTGGCTCCCAGTGGCCCTTTCTGCCAGCTGTCCCCTCCGCACACCTTTCCCCATTCCAGGAACTGGCCCGGCTGTTCTGCCCTGTGTTCCTACCCCAGCTTTTTCTTTCTCATGAGTCTTAGCAGAGATCAGGTCTCCCACGTGGGAAGATTGCCCTCTCTTTACTCCATAGTTCAGGCATCAGTTCCTGTCTGCAACTCACCTCCTCTTGGAGGCCTTCTTTGGTTACCCACTCTCCATCTCAGATAGCCCATTCCTCCTTGCTCTGCCAGACTGCTGGACCCACAGCAGACACACTACATGATATCCAAGTTTCCTGGCTAAGTGCCATCCCAGGGAGCAGCCTGGGGCAAGAGGGGGTACTGACCAACACCCACCACCTGCCAGGCACTTCCCATGCATTATTCACTTTGTTCCCGCAATAGCACCCCGGTGCTATTATCCCCATTGAACGGATGAGGAAACTGAGGCTCTGAGAGGTCAACTGATTTGCCTGAGGTCACACAGCAAAATTTCAAAGCTAAGACACTGTCAAAATGATGTGGGGATGGCAGGGGCTTCCAGGGCAGAGGGAAACAAACCATCCAAGGGAGTCAGTATGTCCCAGCTCCAGGGCATGTTAGGATGGAAAGTCCAGATGTTGCTACCAGAGTTTGGGATGGAGGCAGGAAGATGGATGAAACGACCTCTTGCGGGCTTGCCTGGGTTTAGCATACTCTCTGACCTTTCAGTGAAGAACCCGCAGCACCCCTTTCAGAGGGCTCCCCGCTTTGCCTCCCCTGAGGCAAACACTTAATAGCTCCCAGGCCCCGCCCAGTTCTCCCCAGACCCACCTCTTGTTCCCCTCCTCAGGATAGGCTCCATGGTGCCTGGGGAAACCTGGCTCAGAGCAACCCCCTTCTTCCTGCTCCAGTGGGCACCCTACGCTGCTCCCCTCCTTGAACCACTTAGGCTAGGATACACCTAGGATTTCTACCCATGGCCCTCCTCTGACTTTGCGGTATCAGAAGAACCTGGACTCAGACTTCCCATCCCTGGTGACCATCCATAGCGCCCATCCCTCCATCTCCCTCCTTTTCCCATCCTGTCTGTGCTCCTCTTTCTCTCTTACCTTTGATGTACCTACTATGTGCAAAACTGTGCTTGTGTCAGACCCATGGCCTGAATCTATGCTAAGCAGGTCCATTGACGGCCACCCAGACGAGAACATGAAATAGGGTAAAGGGGTGCAGGCAGTGTATTGTGAGAGCTCCAGGGCAACAGCGAGTGCAGGCGGGTGCCATCTCAGAAGTTTTCCTGGAGAGATAGCGTTGAACAGAGCCTTGGAGGATTCTGATAGGCAGGGAAGGGGGCATTTGTGGAAGGCAGGCCTGCAGGCTGCTCCCCAGTGTGGAAAGGCCAGAGGAGTTTTCCATCTTGGACTGTGAGCTGCTAGGCAGGGCCCGTATCCTCCAACACAGTGCTTTTCAAGCTACCTGAAAGAACGACTAGTTTTTTTTTTTTTTAAATCCCAATCTGTCGGCCGGGCGCAGTGGCTCATGCCTGTAATCCCAGCAATTTGGGAGGCTGAGTCAGGCAGATCACTTGAGGCCAGGAGTTCGAGACCAGCCTGGCCAATGTGGTGAAACCCCATCTTTACTAAAAAATACAAAAATTATCTGGGTGTTGTGGCACACACCTGTAATCCCAGCTATTCGGGACGCTGAGACATGAGACTTGCTTGAACACAGGAGGTGGAGGTTGCAGTGAGCCGAGATTGCGCCACTGCACCCCAGCCTGGGCGACAGAGCGAGACTCTGTCTCACAGAAAATTCCATATTGTATAATGCAAAGAAATGATTAGAAAGATAAAATAAGACAAAGTACAGTTTTTTTTTTTTTTTTTAGACAGAGTTTTGCTTTGTTGTCCAGGCTGGAGTGCAGTGGCACGATCTCCGCTCCCTGCAACCTCCGCCTCCCGAGCTCAAGCAATTCTTGTGCCTCAGCCTCCTGAGTGGCTGAGATTACAGGCACCTGTGACCATGCCTGGCTGATTTTTTTGTATTTTAGTAGAGACGAAGTTTTACCATGTTGGCCAGGCTGGTCTTGAACTCCTGAGCTCAGGCAGTCTGCCCGCCTCAGCCTCCCAAAGTGCTAGGATTTCAGGCTTGAGCCACTGCGCCCGGCCCAAACTCCGATTTTGTATTGTGGGATTCAAGAGAAAAAATTGCTATAAAGAGTCTAAATGCCTGTGCTTGGTCTCCGCACGGACTTTGTCCCTGGCTGGTCACAACCCTAACAGTAGGTTGTGACCAGCATTTGAAAAACATGAAGTAGAATAGAATAGAAAACAGAGTGCTTTACATGTTGTAGGGGGAAGTGTAGTTTTGCGCAATGTTCATTTCAAGTTTCTGCACACCCATGTGTGTTGGCATTGGGTTGGGGGTGAAATGCATTACCGTGGGTTGTAGTTGGGTGCCCTCCCATGGTGCCGTAGGGGCTGGATCTCCTCTCTGGCTCTCCTGTCCCCATCCTAGCTCCGTTGCCCTCCATCTAGAGTCTGTTTCTTCATCTCCTCCTCTCCCATCTCTGTCCCTCTCCTGGTTCCACAGCAATGGTCCTGCTCAGTAAACCTTGGCCCTTCCACTTTCCTGATTGTTTTTTCTAGACAGTCTTCCTCCTCCCTTACCTTTAACAGAAGCTGTCTTCCTCCTGGATCCTATGTAATCAGGCCCCAACCACTATGCTTAGCCCAGGGCAGCCCTGAGACACAGAAGAGGGAGTCCCTGCCCTTGAGAAGGGAGTGGCAGTGCTGGGGAGTCAGAGCTGTACTGGGGAGTCAGGGAATGGAATGTATAATGCAAAGAAATATGTGACAGGAACTGAACCAGGAGCCTGGCCAAAGGCTCCTCCTTCCAAGCTGGTGAGGAGAAGACCTGGTGCTCGATGGAGGTCCACAGTTGGTGGACCACGCAACCCTATCCAGGGCTCCCACTTGGCTGGTGCCTCCTCTTTTGAGGTTCTGCTGATGCCCAGCTCCCACTCTATGGACATACTAACATTTGTTTCATCGATTCTCTATAAATAAACCTCTGGGTTGCTTCCACTCTTTTTGGAATCATGAATAAACAATGCTGTAATGAACATCTCTGTATCTCTCCCTCACCACACCTGAGCTACTGATTCCCAGAGGTACCCTCACTCCAGCTCTTGTTTCTTACATCTTTATACACACACAATCCAAATTCCTCCTGCTTCTCTCAGCATCCAGCTGGCCTGGTCTCATGTCATGAGGCTAAACATGAGCCAGAGGTTTGGAAATGTGGTCTCCTTCCTCAGGCCGTGCACCCTCCTTGCTCACAACTACTCATTTGGTTTCTTCATCCATACTTGCCAAATATCTAGCTGTATCCTCAGGGCTCTTTGACTGCAAGTAACAGAAACCCTGATTCAAAATGGTTTAGACAATACAGGAAGTTTTCATTTCCTGAGAAAAGTCCCTAGGGACCGTGGGTCTAGGGAGGGTAATTGAGTGGATCTATCACATAATCAAGGATCCAGGTTCTGTCTGTTTTTCTGCCCTGCTATCCTCAGCGTGTTGATTTGCTTCTCAGGTGCTATAGCGCCCTTCATGGTTGTAAGGTGGCTGCTCAAAGTCCAGACATCGCATCCAGACATAATATGCCTGGAGGTTGAAGAGGGGCCATATCTTTCTCAAGGTCTGTTTTTCAAATAAGGAGAACTTTTCCCTGGAGTGCCCCTAGAAAACTTACTCTTGAGTTCTCATCAGCCAACATTAGGCCACATACCCATTCCTTTAGAGAGAATGAGGCTTCGCTAACTGGTTGGTGAGGCACAGGGCCTTACTGTGGAGGAGGCGGAGAGGGTTGGGTTTTAAAGGAGGAAAGGGGTGTGGGGACAGAGGCTGAGTAGACAACCAACCATGAGTACCAAAGTGTCCCCAGTGGAGAGGACTCTGCTTCTGTGTTGCTCAACCAGCTGGCCCTGTGATCCTACTCTGGAGATTTACCTTGACTCTGATTCAGTTAGAAAATATTTGTTGAGAAGATGGAACTCCTGAGGAAGTTTGTTGTAATGCGAGAGAGTGAGAGCCAGGTTAGGGTACAGGACTGGGAGAGAAGGCAGAAGCTGCCGAAGATGCAGACAGGAGGTCTGAGCACTCCAGCCCTTCTCTCTGAGGGAAGGAGTTAGGAGGGACTCAGTGAGTCCCTGTTTGGGCTGGGTTGGACACAGGGGACTGACTGACTGAGGTAGCCTTTGAGGTAAGAGGTCTGGGTGGGAGGGCACCTATCCCAAGCCAAGGTCCCCTAACTTTTCTCCTGACCCTCAGGTGGGTCTTGTCCTTGCCCCCTGAGCCACAGAAGGACAGGAAGAAGAGAAGGAGGGCTGTGAGTCAAGAGCCTACCTGGGGGGAAAGAAAAACACAGGAAGTGACTCAAGGCCTGTAGGGTGGCCAGGTGGCCAGCAATGCCCCAGGATGGACCCTGAGGGAGTTGGCTGAGGGCAAGGGTCCCCTCCCCAGAGGCTGCCGGTGCATGCCATCCTGGCTATTTCTGCCAACCGTGTTTCCCACAAATCCTTCCCCTCCTCACCACAGCAGGCTGCCCACTCACCCACAAACCCCGTGGCCAGCTGTTGCAATTCCTGGCTCTGGTCCACCCCCTGCATCCGGGAGGCTCAGCACCTCTGACCCCAGAGGGTGGGTCAACCCCTTCCCCTGCCTCTCTCCCTGGCCTTCACACCCTGAAGGAAGAGATTCCAGAGCCACCAGAGGGTGGGGGTCTTCTGAGTCAATCAGTGGCCCCTGTGTGCATGCACGGCAAGGTGGAGGATCTGGGCCCAGGCAGAGTGACAGGATGTGAAGGTAGAGGGAGCCCCAGGAACCGCTGGATCCTTTCTGTGTGCACTGTCAGAGGGGCCTTTGTCCTGCCCACTGGAGGCCAGGACCCCAGTGAGTATTAAAGTGATATTTTGCCTGCCTTTACCACTGTTTTTATGTATTAAGCTTCCTTAGGGACCTCCAAAGAGAAGTGGATGGGCCCAGGCATGATTAAAACATATTATTTTAAAAATATGTTACACATAAGGTTAACAATTTGTTTTTTCACTTATGTTAGACTTCCTTCCATGATGGTATATACATAAAGCTTCCTTATTCTTTTTTATTTTTATTTATTTATTAAATAGAGACAGGGTCTTCTTATATTGCCCAGGCTGACCTGAAACTCCTGGTCTCAAGTGGTTGATCCTTCTGCCTTGGCCTCCCAAAGTGCTGGGATTTAAGGCATGAGCCACCATGCCCAGCCCCTTATTCTTTTCAATAGCAGCAGAGTAGTTTGCTCTGTGGATGTGCTATTATTTACCTAACCACCTCCCTATAAATGAAGCTGTGATTTGTTTCCCTTTTTAAAAATTATAAACAATGCTGCCATGAACAGCTTTGTACATATATCTTTGGGCAGTTGCATAATATCCTAGAAGTTAAACTGCTGGGTCAAAGAATATGAACATTTATTTATTTATTTATTTATTTTTATTTTTTCTGGGATGGAGTCTTGCTCTGTCATCCAGGCTGGAGTGCAGTGGCGTGATCTCGGCTCACTGCAACCTCTGCCTCCCGGGTTCAAGCGATTCTCCTACCTCAACATCCCGAGTAGCTGGGATTACAAATGCCCACCACCACGTCCAGCTAATTTTTGTATTTTTCGTAGAGATGGGTTTCACCATGTTAGCCAGGTTGGTCTGAAACTCCTGACTTCATGATCCGCCCGCCTTGGCCTCTCAAAGTGCTAGTATTACAGACATGAGCCACCGCACCTGGCCAGAACATTTAAAATTTAAGAGATAACGCCAGGCCGGGCACAGTGGCTCACGATTATAATCCCAGCACTTTGGGAGGCTGAGGCGGGCGGATCATCTGAGGTCAGGAGTTCAAGACCAGCCTGGCTAACATGGTGAAACCCCATCGCTACTAAAACTACAAAAAAATTAGCCGGGCGTGGTGGGAGGCACCTGTAATCCCAGCTACTCTGGAGGCTGAGGCAGGAGAATTGCTTGAACCCAGGAGGCAGAGGTTGCAGTGAGCCGAGATCGTGCCACTGCACTCCAGCCTGGACGACAAGTGTGAGACTCTATCTCAAAAAATAAACTAAACTAAAATAAAATATAATACATAACGCCTAATTGCGGCAGAGTGTACTAATTTTCATTTCATTAGCATTGCATGAGATTGCCTGTGTTGCCACGTCTTCCACAACGCTGTATAGTATCACCTTCTTCATCTTCGTCAATCTGATAAATGAAAAATTAGATCTTGTTTTAATTTGCATTTAAAATGATTAGTGAGATTGAACATTGTTTATATTTTCATTAGCCAGTTGTGTTTTTTGTGAATGACCTGTTTGTATTCTTTGCCTATATTTTGCCATTGGATTGTTTAATCTTTTTCTTACTGTTTTAAAAAATGTCTTATTTTAAATTAGGAAAATTAGCACTTTGTCATACATCTTGCAGGTACTTTTCTCTTATTTTGTCCTTTGATTTTGTTTATGGAGCTTTTTCCTTGAATGTCTGCGTAGGTACATTTGTTAATCTTCTTTGTTATGACTTCTGTTTTGTTCTATGACTAGGAAAATCGCTATCCCAGGTTCACGAAAACATTTACACATATTTTCTTCTGGCACTTTTATGACTATTTTTAAAATGTTTTCCTTTCTTTAAATCTTTGATCCTGTTGGAATTTATGTCCATATTAGGAGTGATGTAGCGAATCCAGATTTATTTATTTTTGATCCAAATATCTGACTAGTATCTCAATTTATTGAATTGAATTCTCATGTTTATTTGGGCCTATTTAAAATTGTTTTATTCTTTCCAATTGATCTGTATGCAGGCACCAGTCCCACACTATTTTAATTATTGTAGCTGTATACTATTTTTGAAAAATGTTTTATAGTGCTACTCTTTCCTTGTTAGTTTACTTATTTTTCCTTCCAGGAATGTTCTATTCATTTATATTTATTTTTCCAGAGGAATTTGTATGTAATCATTTTGTCAAATTATCCCCCAAAAGCAGCTGATATTTTGTACAGAAGTATGCTGAATTTATAGTTTAATTATGGTGACACTGACATGCTTACAATATTACTGACTTTTTATCCAAGGAAAAGGTCTTTCTCCATCGATTCAAGTCTATGTGTATGTCCCTCATTTAGCTTTTACAGCTATTTCCATGTATCTGCACATTTTTTCTATGTGTTTTATGTTAGGTTTTTGTTAACCTTATTAATGGGATGTTTTTCCATATTCTTTTATTAGTTATTTCTTGTATTTAGGAAATCTTGTTTTTAAACTAGCCACTTTGATAAATTCCTGATATTACTAAAAGTTCTTTAGCTGATTCTCTTGGAATATCCAAGTATAGAGTAATATCATCCAATGATAATAACTGCTTTCTTTTTACAATATTTATACCTCTTATTTTATTTTTCATCTAACTGCATTGTCAAGTAATTGCAGAACAATATTAAATACTAATGGTGATAGTTTATGGGGAGAGCTGACGTCAACTTTAACGGGACTGCTTTTAGAGTCTCCCCATTAAACATGTTGGGAAAATTAATCTATTTTACATGCTAATATAGTAGGTTATGTTGAGTTTCCCAGAATTTGGCTTTCTTGTACTTCTGGAAAGAATCATACTTAGTCTTGACACATTCTTTTGTCAACACAACTTTCATCAATACTCCCTTCCTTAGCTCAGAACTTCCTCCGTCGTTCATCTTCCTCCCTTGGAAGCAGAGGCACAAAATCAGGGCTGGAGGTGTGAGGCGGGGGCATGGCCAGGGAAGAGCTGAGGCTCAGGACATAGCTGTTGGCCTCCTGTCCCGAAGGAATGAGGATCCACAAGAGCCTCCTTAAGGCTGACAGAGTATGTGGAGACGAGCAGGGGGTTGAGAAGCCCTGGGGGCTGGAGAGGACTGAACAGCAGGGGGCAGGGGTCCTTGGAAGAAAACCAGGACTCTTCTGCTTGCCCCCTGAGGAAGCCCTGCACCTCTGTCACCCTCAGGACTATCTTGAGCCCCAGTCTTTTGAGGGAGGCATGATCCAGAACTTTGGGCCTCTCCCAGGCTAGTGGACTCAATGCAGGCACAGGTGGCTACTCTTACACTAGGACAGGGAGGCTAAAGGAGAGCCCTGAAGGTGGCAGGAGGTCAGGAAGATGTCAGCCTGGCATGGCTATTTCTTAACATTTGCAGCATGCAGCCTTCATGCAGCAGCTTCTGAAAGCAGTGACCACGTCCTCCCCCCTATCTCCTCCAGCATCCCTAGGACTGTTCTTTGGTCCTAAACATATGAAGTCACCGCACCCTCCCTCCATTTCTTGAAGCAGTTTCGAAGTCCTCTGGCCATGACCCTTTCTTAGGAACCTGGCTGACTTCAGCATCACTCTTGGGTGAACATTGCTGTGCCCAGGGCTTGTTGGAGAGAGGAGAGGGTTAGAGGGAGGGAGGGAGGGGATTTTCCAGTGTCCCCTCTGTCCCCTCTGGGCAGGGATTGAAGTGGCAGAGGGTGTGGGCGATGTGCTGAGGCCAGGTAACCAGGAGACAAGAGAGCCCTTTAGATGTCCTCCCTGAGCTGCCCTTCCTTTCCTTACAACTGTCAGCTCTAGGAGCACAGAAGAGGAAATTCCTTGACCTAGAACCTTAGCATCTTCCAGGCCTACAAACCTTTAATTAATGCAGTCATTTAAGAGGAAGGAAGGTGGTTTTGTAACTGTGTTGTATACCTGAGTGAGTATAGACACATTCTCCGCTCTTTCATCAGGAGAGAAAATAGAGCATATAGACAGGTGTGGGGGTAAACTGAGTTTTAGGCAAAGTGAGAAGAGCATGGTCAGCCATTGACAGGAGGCCAGCAAGAGTGAGTGGTGGACACCCTGCTCTGGAGGCAGGGGACTGAACGACGTCTGGATGCTGACGAAGCTGTGAGCATTAAAGGGTTCTTGAATCTTTTCCTGCTACTTTTGGTGCATCCCAGTAGGGACAACTGAAGCCAACCCTATTTCCCAGCCATGGGAGACTGGGAATATAGTGGGAAGACTGGTCAGCAGGAAGGGTCTCCTGCCATCAGACTGGGGCTAAGGACAGAAGTACAGCTTCTGACAAGAAAGGCAAGAGCAAGGCGGGTCCCAGCCTTGGGGGATCCAGGACCCTGGGCAGGCACTAAAGGCAGGGACTTGGATAGAAAGAGGCAAGATGGGCCCTGGAGGTTGGATGTGCACACACAATGAGGGCTAGGCCTTCAGAATGAGGTGGGGTGCATGGCAGAATGAGGAGCCCTTTGGGCATTTGAGGCACAACCCAGGAGGGCTTTCCCTGGAGCCATCTTGCAAAATCATGGTGGATTCTTGACTTGTGTGGCTTCCTGTGGAAAAGTAGGTGCCACTGGTGGATCCTGTTAAGTGCCCTGGCATGAGTCTTACTCATTTCCAGTCTTCTCAATTTCTGCACCAGGCTCAGGCCTCCGGGGGAAGTTTCTAGTAAACGCATCCCAGATGTGCTGTATGAGGCTGAGCCAAGAGGGCAAGATGACTGATTTTTGGAAAAACAATGCAATTTCCATAGAAAAGCCTCTTCTTTGGACAGATACCACCTGGTGTTAGCAGCTTAGGGACACCAACAGCCCCTGCCCTCCCCTCCCTAGAACCAGCGATCCTCAGACTTGGAGGGATCCTTTCCAAACTGTGCTAGAAGCAAAGGAGAGATGTGGCAAAAGGGGAAGATGGGAGATACGGCAGAAGGCAAAGTTAGAGAGAATGTTCTCTGCTTTTAAGGGCTCATGCAATTAGATGGGGTCCACCTGGATGACCCAGGAAAATATCCCGATTTTAAGGTCCTTAACCTTAATCACATGCAAACTCCCTTTTGACAAGTAACATAATGTATTCACGAGTTCCAGGCATTAGGGTGTGGACATCTTTGGGAGACGTTATTTGGCCTGCCACAGCATTTATGCATTCAGTCTTTTCTCCAGGCACATTATCTTTGTAAGGAAATATTTGTAAAGTGTGCAGTATTATCTGCTGGCAACTTGATATAATTTCTCTCCCCTAACCTATGCTTCCCTGGCCAGCAGGGGCTGGAAGCCAGGGAGCTACAATCCTCAGAATCCTCGCCAGCCAATGAGAGGCACTTTCACAAGATTTGGCAGATGGAAAAGAAGCATAAATCATAATATTTTCCTGGTGGCAGCTGTGGGCAGCTGTGTGGGCTTCAGCAGATAGGAGATTTTTGAGAAGCCTCCAGGCATTTTCTTTGCTTTGGTGCTAGAGGCTCAGGTATCTTGTGGTTTCAGCAACTTCCTAACACCCTAAAAGCTAGCAAAGAAACCAAGCCAGCCTTTCCACACCTTTGTATACACTAATTCCCAGGGCTAAATCCCTTTCTGCTTGCAATGCCTAGAGTGGCTCCCATGTTCTTAACTGACTGATACAGAGACCTTGTTGACTGTAATGATTTGTAACCAGCTTGCTTTCACTTAGTAATAGATCATGAAGACAAACCTGCATGCAGATCTTTCAGGAGTCTTAAAATTTTCCACAAAATGTGAGTTTTCAGGCCAGGCGCAGTGGTTCACGCCTGTAATCCCAGCACTTTGGGAGGCTGAGGTGGGCGGATCACTAGGACAAGAGATCAAGACCATCCTGGCCAACATGGTGAAACCTTGTCTCTACTAAAAATACAAAAATTAGCTGGGCGTGGTGGCGCATGCCTGTAGTCCCAGCTACTTGGGAGGCTGAGGCAGGAGAATCGCTTGAACCCAGGAGGCAGAGGTTGCAGTGAGCTGAGATTGTGCCACTGCACTCCAGCCTGGTGACAGAGTAAGACTCCATCTCAAAAAAAAAAAAAAAAAAAAAAAAAGTGAGTTTTCCTGGCTGTCGGCTATACCATCACATGGATGTATCCTAATTTATTTAGCCAAGACCCCATCGTTAGACATTCAGGTGGTTTTTTGTTTTTCACTTTTATAACCCACACTGTCAAGAACATCCTTGGCCATCAATCTGTGTGCACAGTCAGGAGTATTTAATTATAATGTATTCTTGAAGCGCATTTTTTAGTTAAAGGGCATTAACTTTTTGAAAGCTTTTATGGCTGTTTCTAGATAAGTCATCTGTGTTTTCTTCTCTTGGCCTCCAGGACACTGCCCTCTCCCAGTTCTCCTCCCACCTCTCTGGCTGTGCCTTCTTGGTCTCCTCAACCTCCAAACACTGGAAAGACCTAGGGCTCAGTACTGGCACATCTTCTGTGTCTCCTCTGTGCTTACTCCCTTGGTAAACTAAGTCACTGTCATTGCTTTAATACTATTTATATGCTCATGACCCTTTCATTTATATCTTAGGCCTGAGACTTTCCCCTGAACTCCAGACTTGTGTATTCAAATTGTCTGCTTAACATCTCTTCCTGGAGGTCTAATGAGAAGATCAAAATCAGTATGTCCAAAACTGAGTGTCTGATCTTCTCTCCCAAATCTTCATTCCCCATAGTCTTCCCTCTCTCAGTAAATGACAACTCCTTCCTCCAGCTTGCTCACACCCAGAAACCTCGGAGTCGTCCTTGACTTCTCTCTCTCTTTTCCTTACTCCCTTTGTCCAATCAATGAGTAAATCCTATCAGCTCTATCTATCTTCAAAATACATCCATAATCTGGCCAAGTGTGGTGGCTCATGCCTGAAATCCCAGCACTTTGGGAGGCCAAGGTGGGTGGATCACTTGAGCTCAGGAGTTCGAGATCAGCCTGGCCAACATAGAGAAACCTGTATCTACTAAAAATACAAAAAATTAGCTGGGCCTGGTAGCACACACCTGTAATCTCAGTTACTTGGGAGGCTGACACACGACAATCACTTGAACCCAGGAGGCAGAGGTTGCAGTGAGCCAAGATTGCGCCACTGCACTCCAGCCTGGACGACAGAGTGAGACTCCATATCAAAAAGAAAAACAAAAACCATCCGTAATCTGACCACCTCTCACCCACTCACCATGACCACCTGGGCCAAGCCACCTACCTCTCTCAGCTGGATTATTGCATGGCCCCCAACTGGTCTTCCTGCCTGCCCCCTTGCTTAGCCAATTCTCAGCAGTGGCCAGAGTGATCCTGTTAAGAGCAGATCAGATCGTGTCACCCTTCTGCTCAGAACCCGCTGGTGGCTCCCATTTCCTCAAGCAAAAGCTGACATCCTTATAGTGGCCACAAAACCTTAACCAGCCCCTACCCTATTGCCCCCTGACCTCCTCTCCCCACCCTCGGCTCACTCAATCCACCAATGCACTCCAGCCACTTGAGCCTTCTTGCTGTTTCTCAAACATCCCAAGCAAGTGCCCACATTGAGCCGTTGCACCAGCTGTTCCCGCTGCCTAGGACACCTTCCCCAGGTGTCCATGTAATGGGCTCCCTTGCTTCCTACAAATGTCCGCTTTGTACAGAAGGGGCCTTTTCTGACCTCTTCATCTAAAATAGCAGCCCCTAGTCATCCTAACACTCTCCTTTTCTACTTTAGTTTTCTCCATAGCATGTATCGCCATCTATCAAGTATGTATCAACATAAACTCACCGATTTTGTTTCCTCTGTGTCTCTTTTCATTAAAATGTGAGCTTTTTTAATTTTATTTTATTTTTGAGACGAGTCTGGCTCTGTCGCCCAGGCTGGAGTGCAGTGGCACGATCTCGGCTCACTGCAACCTCCGCCTCCCGGGTTCATGCCATTCTGCTGCCTCAGCCTCCCGAGTAGCTGGGACTACAGGCACCCACCACCACGCCCGGCTAATTTTTTATATTTTTAGTAGAGACGGGGTTTCATCGTGTTAGCCAGGATGGTCTCGATCTCCTGACCTCGTGATCTGCCCTCCTCAGCCTCCCAAAATGCTGGGATTACAGGCGTGAGCCACCGTGCCTTGCCTAAAATGTGAGCTCTTTGAGGGACAAATGCTTTTTCTGTTTGGTTACTGATATCTGCCCTAAGAGAGTACTGGAGTGTAGCAGTTGAATGAGGAATATTTCTTAAATGAATAAGTGAATTTGTTATTTTTCTTCTAGTCTACAGTCCTAAGGCAGCACAGAAGGCTCCAACATGGACTATTTGTAAAGCATGTCACAGTTCACATGTGTGTCACAGTTAACTCCACCAGATTCTGGCAGAGAGGAGGCTGCAGTGGCAATAAATGTTCCCTCCTACGTGAGGGATGTGGATGTGTTAACTCACCTGATGGCGGGAATCATGCCACAATATATACATATATCAAATCATCACATTGGACACTTTAAAAATATACAATTTTATCTGTCAACTATACATCAATAATGCTTGAGGGGGGTGGGGAAGAGCATTGTTTCACTGTTAACCCTTTTTGTGCCATAGTTTTTTGTCTGTAAAATGGGGGAAATAGTAACAACCATCTCATAGAGCTGTCAGAATTAAGTAAGATAATTCATGTAAATAATTCACATAGTGTCCAGCACATATTAATCACAAATAATTGTAAGTTACTTTATTCCCATTTTATAGCAGAGGAATCTGAGGCTCAGAAAATTTAAGAATTTGCTACAGGTTGCACAGTGAGAGGTAGAGTGAGGTTAGAACCTGTGACTTCCAATTCATCATACTTTCTCCGTTAAACTCAAGTTATAGAATAACCTAATTAAGGGTGTGGGACTCTTCCCCCAAAGCCCTAAGGCCAAAAAGAGCTGTGGAGCCTCTTGATTTCCTTCTTTTGTTTGAATCCTCGCCAAGACATTTCTGGCAAAGTCATCAGCTAACCTCTATTGGGATAATCTGTGCCTGGGGGACCCACTGCCTCCCAGGCTGCGTATCCACAATAAGGCATTCAGTTTGTTGTGCTATAGGATCAAGGTGGCAGACGGTGTTAGGTGCCTGCTTTTCCTCCCCACCCTCCTTCCTAATACAATTCCAGCTCTCTTCAGGGCAGCAGCAGTGTGCCCAGCAAAGGCTAGACTTTCTGGGCTCCTTTGCAACTAGGGTGGGCCTAGACATGGCCCTGGCCATGTTTCTTTCTCCAGGCCTGAGGCCTGGTGGAGGGGGCCTGTGGGCAGCTCTAGGGAGGGTCTTGCCCCCTGAGACATGGAGGTGGCAGGCCCAGGCTGTACTCCTGGGCTTCCCATCCCTGGTTGTGCCAAGGAGGGGTGTGGTGGTGCTGGGGGAGGGAAGGGGGCCCTGGTGAGTGGGGAGCATGTCCTTGCAGGATCAACTGTATGGTTTTCTTGCTTAAAGGGGGGAGTTTTCAGCAGGCAGCATGCTCTGCTCTTCTCTCTCCCCACTTTTCTTGCCTGCAACGTGGATGTGATGGCTGGAAGTCCAACAGCCGTTCTCTGAGCAAGAACGAGGAAGCCACAAATTCAGGCGGGAGGGGCAGAAAGCTAGAGGGAGCCTGGGCTGTGGATGGCAGCACACACGGCTGTAACATCAGCGGTAGCCTGCTGCCACCTTTGTGCATCTCATTGTGCAAGGAAAATAAGCCCTCCTCAGTGATGCCTCTGAAAAAACTAAATATCCAGCAGCAGAGGGAGGGCTAGATAAATTACAGCACCCATGTGGTGTGATACGATGTGGCCTTGAAAAATCGTATTGTGCATGACTGTTTATTAAGGTGGGAAGTTATTGCTGAAAAATACGAATGCTAAGAGTATGTTCAGTATAGTGTCAATGTCAAAAATCCGTATACGTGCCCCGTGATCCCCAGCTCTAGCTCTCTCAGGGTATACTGTGCCCCAGCAGCTGCTGCTCTTATTCTGGACTGCCACTGCTTCCCCCACTAGACCTTGTGGCCTGAAGGACAGAACTGCGTCTCGCCTTTCTGGAGCCCAAGGGCCTTGCCCAGGCCCCAGCACCGACCAGGCAGATAGTAAACATCTGTGGAATAATTGAATGAGGAATTGGCAGCCAGAGACTCCATGCCACCCTTTGCTGCCTGCTCAAGGTTGGTGGCCTTGAGGGTCTGGGGTCCTCAGGTGCCTGTGTTTCCTGGTCTTGCTGACCTCTCTTGGCTGGTTCTCTGCCAGGCACTATCACCACACTCATGTTGGTCTCCCAGGCCAGAGGTGGTGGTCTCCACCCTTGGCTGCTTGTCAGCCTTGTCTGGGGAGTTTGAAATAATTACCAATGCCTGGGTCTCACCCCATACCAGTGGAATGAGAAGCTCTAGGAATGGGCTGGCTTTGAAGCCCAGGGACCAGCTGCCTGCTGCCCCTACACGGCCCCTGTGACAGACAGTGAGGAATAGGGCTCAGTTATGATCCTAGAAGTGGAGCTCAGTTCTTGCCAGCCACTGCCCGCTGTAAAGAGATCATCCCTGCACCATTTCACTGTACACAGGCAGGGTTCTGGCCGCCCCTGAAGGGAGCCCTCTAGGAGCAGCCATCCCACCTGAATGGATGACCATGTGGGAGTCCCATAGGCCAGACCCTCTCTAAGACTTCACTAGATTAACTCGTTGAGTCCTCACAGCCAGCTGTGACATGGGTATCACTACCACTATTGCTGTCACCATCTGCATTTTACAGAGGGGCCAACTCAGACACAGAGAGGTTAACTAGCCTGCCCCAGGTCATACACCTGGCCAGGGACAGGGTGGGGTTCCGTCCCAGGCAGCCTGGTGCCAAAGTCTGGGCTGATGTGTCTCAGCACCTTCTATGTGCTAGGGACCTTCCCACAAAGCAGCAGTCCCAGAAACTTGAAAGGGAGAAGGTATGGGTAAGAATTCAAAAGAAACAGGAATATTGAGAACAGCATACTCTTCTGCACTTTTTTCCAGATCTATCTTGGCCGTGGGTGTCACTCCTGCATTTGTTTCCCTCTGACCCTGTCCTTGTCCTCTCCTGCTTGTCCTTCTGGAACCCTTCCCCTTGTCCCCAAAGAACCCAAGCTCCCTTTAATGGAATGGTGCTGTAATTGCATTACCGCCAGGCCCGCTGGCTTGGCCGCCGGACGCAGGTGGGCATCCAGTGGGTGAGGCAGGGGCAATGGAGACAGATGGCGCCCGAAGGGAGATTCGATTACCTGCTTCTTTCCCAAAGCCAATCCGCCTGATAACTGCGTTATGGCCTGTTATTGATAGGCTTCCTCTCTGCTGCTGCTGGAGATTTGGTTTGTCTGTGACTTTTTACATCCGTAGGAACTCAAAGATGAATGAGGCAGGGCCCAGCTCGGAAGTCTAGGGAGGACAGAGGAAGGAGGTGGCAGGCATGAGTGCTGTGGGGACCAGGGGGAGGCAGGAGGTCAGCCAGGGCCACGTTAGAGCTTGGGGTGAGGAACATTTGGTGAGACAGTCAGAGAGGATGGGGCTGGAGGCGGGCATGCTGGGGCCTTCAATGCCAGGCTGAGAAGGCTGGTTTGTGAGAATTGGGAGCTTATGCTAGGCTCCTGAGCAAGGACAGTGACAGGTGAAAATGGCTTTGGGGAAGAGGAGCAAGTGGGTATGGCAAACATAGGGCAAGATAAGGACTGCTGGGACCTCTGTCTGCCCCTGTGAGTACAGAGAATGAATCAGTGGCTCGGACTCACTGGGTTCAGACCAAGGAAAAAGGGAAGTGAGGCAGACACCCACAGACACTGGGCTAGACCCTTGCCTATGCTAACTCTCACTCAGTCCTGGAAGCAGGCCTATAAGGCATCTTGGTATAGCAACCTGGAAATGGCAGCCTGGTGAGGATGAGTCATCGCGGGCTCACACAGTGGAGCGGAGGTCCCACCCGGCCATCCTGATGCCAACACACGTTCTCCCCAGTGAGCAGCTCGGCCTTCCAGGGCTCAAGAGGCCAGGGGTGATGTCTGGAGGGGCAAGAAATAGCCACACACTTTCCTAACCCCTCTTTCCTGCACTTAGAGCTCACAACAACGGCCAATTCAACTAGCCACTGCCTCCCAAACACATCAGCTGACACATGTGCTCTATCTAAATGATGCTCACTTGACAAACAAGGGCGTGGGGCTCAGAGAGGTCAATGGCCTGTCTGGACCACACAGCGGCTGCATGTGACAGGCTAAGCAGCGCTTCCACTGCAAGCCTGTCTGGTTCCCTTCACCACACTGTGTCCATCCCCAGACTCTGGCTCCTGTATTCCCGGACTCCACTTTCTCTAATCCTGCGATTAGTGAGGAGGGGGAATTGGCAGTGTGGCTCAGAACAAGCTGCTCAGCGTGGAAACTTTCTCTGAGCATCCCCAGGCCTGCCTCATCCCCACTTCATCTCCCTTTTATATCCCAGACCTCTCTCTCTCCAGGCCTGAGGCCTGGTGGAGAGGGCCTGTGGGCAGCTCTAGGGAGGGTCTTGCCCTGTAAGACATGGAGGCGGCAGGCCCAGGCTGTACTCCTGGACTTCCCATCCCTGGTTGTGCCAAGGAGGGGTGTGGTGGTGCTGGGGGAGGGAAGGGGGCCCTGGTGAGTGGGGAGCATGTCCCTGCAGGAAGCCAAGAGTCTCGGAGGAGGACCAAGAATGGCTGGGCCTCAGCCCAGCCCCTAATCCCTCTGCACACCCTCCCTTCCCTAAGGATTTTCCCTTGGAAAAATGTGTTTAATTTTCTCAGCTCAGAGACAATGAATGGAGGATTTGGGGTGGGGTGAGGATGGGTGATGGAGGAGGCCCATGGAGTTTGCCATGGGAAAAGACGAGCAAATGGCAAAACCAGTTTCTGACATGCCCCCTCCTCAGAAAGAAGCTGGAAGCTCAAGCCTGACTATAGGACCAGCACAGCCCCTGGCCAGCCGCATGCTGCAGAGGCTCTGGCTGACTGTCTCTGCTCGCCTGTTCTGTTGTTTGCATGTTCTCAGAATAGGAGACCCCTAAAGACAGAAACTGCATGTGTCCTGCGCAGGAAATCTTGTATTGGTGAGTGTAATTACTGTGGTGGGGTGGACAGTGACAGAGGTGGTCATAGTGGTGGAGGCCACGGTGGGCGTGATGACGGTGACAGTGTAGTGGTGACGGGGGTGGTCATAGTCATGGAAAACCCTGAAACCATGATGAGCACGGGGAGAGGGGGCAGAGGTTGAGAGATGGGCTTCGTAACTTGACAAACCTGGGTGTCCATCCCAGGCCTATCTCTCTCTAGCAGTCACCTGGGCAAGTCAGCCTCTCTGAGTCTCACTTTCCTCATCGGAAAAATGGGATTCACAGGAGCTATTGTGGAGTGTAGGGATCTGAACACTGCTACCCAGGGTGGGCACTGACTCCCTCAGATTTTTTCATTTCATGGGGTTTATTAGCCCCTCTGTCTGCCCAAGAGCCTTCCCTTCCGCCCACAAACTTCCTCCAGTTGTTCCCACTAGCTCTTCCCTGAATCACCACCTCAATTCCTTCCTTCCTTCAGAGCCCCACACATTCTCAAAAAGAAGTCTACACACACTGCCTCTATTTCCTGACCTCCCACTTGTTCCTAGGCCCTCTCAGCAGCCTTCTGGTTCCAAACCCTATGGAAACTGCGCTCACCAAGTCAGCAGAGGCCTCCTCCTCTCAGCCTCAACTTCTTGGGGGAAATTGGTTCTAGGGCCAGCAAGACTTCCAAAGAGCCTCTTCCCAGCAGGTTCAACCTCCCATCATCTGAAAGTCTTTCTGCTCCCCTCAGGGATCCCCCACCAAGCCCTCTGCCCCTGAAGGTTGGTGCTCTGAGGGCATCCTCCTCTCTCTGTGCACTCGCCATCAGAGTGGTTTAGCTCCCCTTGTTCCAATTCCAGTTGGCCACAAGCAGCTCCCAAGTCAATTTCTCTGGTTCACTGTCCATTAGTTGACCCAGCTAGAACCCCACCCCTGGCTCCTGACGCCTCTCCTGCTGGACTCTTCAGCATGTTGGATGAAGGCCATTAGTGCTGAACTCACCATACTCTTCCAAGATCTGCCTGCTCCTCCCCATCACCCCAGAGCAAGCCCTTGGCTCCTCTCCCCTTCCTAGAAACTCCCACCAGTGTTGTCAGTTCTCTTGGGTCATGATTCCTTAAAAATGAACACAGAATCTAATTTTATTTTCAAAACATGAAAACAGTTCACCATTTAACTTTGCTCTTATTAAGTCTATTATCCTGATTCATCCTCTTTGGTATTAAAGTCAATAAATCGTATAAATCTTGAAACTTTTTTAACTCAGAAAAATAAATTCTGTTATGACAATCCTTGACATGTTAATCTGTGTTGTGTAAACTGTTAGCTTTAAAACACAAAATGCTTTTTTTAACATGGTTGTGTCTTAGAAACTTCCTGCACATCATTGTGCTTGCTTTTAGTAACAGCAGACTAGGTAATGGTGATCAACCTTCTTGCTGAGGGCAACTAGAAGAGCTATATATTTTTTTAAAAACTACCACTACCACCACAACACCAGACCATTTGAAGCATCTGAGCACTAATAAGACAAACAAGATAGTAGACAATTATTGAGCTAGGATATGGAGAGGACTGAGACTAGGGAGGTGAGCTTGGCTTATTTTTTTTTGAGACAGGGTCTTACTCTGTTGCTCAGGCTGGGGTGCACTGATGTGATCACAGCTCACTGCAGCCTTAACCTCCTCAGCTCAAGCAATCCTTTTGCCTCAGCCTCCTGAGTAGGTGGGGTCACAGGTGTGCACCACCACACTCAGCTAATTAAAATTTTTTTTGTAGAGATAGGGTCTTGCTATGTTGCCCAGGCTGGTCTGGAACACCTGGCCCAAGTGATCCTCCTGCCTCAGCCTCCCAAACTGCTGGGCTTATAGACTTAAGTCACTGCACCTGGCTGAGCTTGGCTTTTAAATGCTTTTCCTCTGGGAATGGAGGGAGTGAGTGACTGAGAGGTTGAAAGGTTAATCAGCGCTTTTGAGGATCTGGGGATATGAGACAAAGCCTACCAAGAGGAGTATTTGGTAAACCTCCTTGCTTTGGATTGAGACCCCAAAGGGCTGTGCCTGAGGACTAAGGATAAACTGGAAGTAGACAGGTTCTTACAGTGACTGCCGCTCTGCTTAGACTCATCTCAATTCCTGAAATTGGATTAAGGCGATCCAATGTTGCTAGTGCCCTCAGGGTCTTGCAAATCCTCTCTGGAAGAAGATGTCATCCTGGTGTCAGATAATTTCTACAAACAACTTTGCACCTGCAATGTCCAGAACACACACACACACACACACACACACACACACACAAACAAAAACAACTCACAAAAAAACAAATAAAACACACACATACACACAACAAACCAAAACCAACACCAAAAACCAAACACATGAGACTGGACAACATGAACAAACATAAAAGCATATACAGCAGGGGTTCTAGATGTTGGAATTATCAGATGCAGATTTTATAATTAAAAAAACAGCAATGCTTATTATGTTCAAAGAGATAAAAATACATGATGGAAATAGACATGGTTTGAGAATTTTGGCAGGGAATTGAAACTTTGTTAAAAAAATTAAAATTCTAGAACTGAAAATTATAATACCCAAGACTAAGGATTCAATGGATAGGTTTAAAAGTATATGAAACATAGCTGAAGAAAGAATTACTGAATTAGAAGCTAGATTAGAAAAAATATCCAGGCCAGACATAGTAGCTCACGCCTGTAATCCCATCACTTTGGGAGGCCGAGGTGGGTGGATCACTTGAGGTCAGGAGTTTGAGACCAGCCTGGCCAACATGGTGAAACCCTGTCTCTGCTAAAAATACAAAAATTAGCTGGGTGTGGTGGTGCATTCCTGTGGTTCCAACGACTTGGGAGGCTGAGGCAGGAGAATCGCTTGAACCCAGGAGGCAGAGGTTGCAGTGAGTCGAGATCATGTCACTGCACTCCAGCCTGGGTGACAGAGTGAGACTCCATCTCAAAAAAAGAGAAAAAAAATATCCAGAATGAAACATGGAAAGGTGAAAGAATGAAAAATATAGAAGAGAGTCTAAAAGACATAAAGAAAGCAGTTAGAATGTGAAAGAGAATAGGGCAAAAACAATATATGAAGGGATAATGGCCGAGACCTTTCCAAAACTGATGAAAGATATCAATCCATATACTCAGTTAAGCCCAAATAACCTAAAGCAAGAGAAATAAAAAGGAACCGGCACCTAAGCCTATCAGAGTAAAACTAAAGAGTATACCTTTACTATCAGAGTAAAACTAAAACCTGATCATCAAAGATAAGATCTTTATTTTTTAAAATTTTTATTTATTTATTTATTTTGAGACAGTCTCTGTCACCCAGGATGGAGTGCAGTGACATGATCTTGGCTCACTGCAACCTCCGCCTCCTGGGTTCAAGCGATTTTCCTGCTTCAGGCTCCCAAGTAGCTGAGACTACAGGCATGCGCCACCATGCCCAGCTAATTTTTGTATTTTTAGTAGAGACGGGGTTTCACCATGTTGGCCAGGATGGTCTCGATCTCTTGACCTCGTGATCTGCCCACCTCCCGGGTTCAAGCAATTCTCCTGCCTCAGCCTCCTAATTAGCTGGGATTACAGGCATGCACCACCATGCTCAGCTGATTTTTGTATTTTTAGTAGAGATGGGATTTCATCATGTTGGCCAGGCTGGTCTCAAACTCCTGACCTCAAGTGATCTACCCGCCTCAGCCTTCCAAAGTGCTGGGATTACAGGCCTGAGCCACAGCGCCCAGCTAAGGAGATCTTTAAAATAGTTAGATGAATAAACAGATTACCTTCAAAGGGGCAACAATTAGTCATGCAGCTAATTTCTTAATGGAAACAATGGAAGCCAGAATATGATGGAATTCTTTAGAGCCCCATATGAAATGGAAAAGAACAAAGTGTTTTTCTCAACATGGAACACTTCTGGCATATATGTGGCGATTTCTCCCTACCAACAATCAGCTCTCTAGTGGGCACCAATTGAGTGTCAATACTGACACTAACTTAATTCAATACTGACACTAACTGGAGTTAATGTAGATCACATAGGTCTAAGGACAGTCCCACAAGACTGCCTCCCATTTCAGATGACAATTACAAGTGCCAGGTTGCAAGGTATGCTTCTGACTAGCAGGCTATAAATTGGGGGTTTCCCCTCTCCTCAGGTTCAATTAAATTTCTTGAGAGGCTCACAGAACTCAGGGTAACACTTTACTTACTATTGCCAATTTATCACAAAGAATTATTTTGAAAGATACAGATGAACAGCCAGATGGGAGAGCTACGCAAAGCGAGGTATGAGGGAAGGGGTGTAGACTTCCATGTCCTCTCCAGGCACACCACCTTCTAGGAACCACCATGTGTTCAGCAATCTGGAGGCTCTCTGAATCCAGTCCCTTTGGGTTTTTATGATTGATCACGACATTGGCCTTTGGTGATCAACTCAACCTTCAGCCTTTCTCTCCTCTCCAGAAGTTGGGGCGGGGGTCTGAAAATTACAAGACTAATCACATGGTTGGTTCCCCCGGCAACCAGCCCCATCCTGAGGCTATCCAGAAGCCCCCAGTCACCAGATATCTCATTAGCTACAAAAGATACTTATCACTTAAGAAATTCCAAAGGTTTTAGGAGCTGTGTGCCAGGAAACTGGGATGAAGACCAAATATAGTCATGTGTCTGAGAAATGCATCATTAGGCAATTTCATCATTGTGTGAACATCATAGAGTGTACTTACACAAATATAGATGATATTGCCTACTATTCTGGGCTATGTGGTTCTAGGCTACAAACCTTTGTATCACGTTACTGTGCTGAATATTATAGGCAATCGTAACACAATGGTAAGTATTTGCATATCTTAACATGGAAAAGGTACAGTAAAAATGCAACATAAAAGATAAAAAATGGTGCACTTGCAGGGGGCACTTACCATGAATGGAGCTTAAAGGACTGAAAGTTGCTCTGGGTGAGTCAGCGGGTGAATGGTGAGTAGGTGTGAAGGCCTAGGACATTGCTGTATACTACTGTAGACTTTATAAACACTGTATACTTTGGCTACACTAAAATTATTTTTAAAATTTTCTTTCCTCTGTAATAAATCAACCTTAGTTTACAGTAACTTTTTAACTTTATAGGCTACTTAATTTAAAAAGTTTTTGATTCTTTTGTATTAACATTTAGCTTAAAACAAAAACACATTTATAGCTGTGCAAAAATACCTTCTTTTAAAATACTTTCATTCTGTAACTTTTTTTCTGTCAAAATTGTTTTTAACCTTTACAAGTTTTTTGTTAAAAATGAAGACACAAGCACACATATTAGCTTAGGCCTACACAGGGTCAAGATCATTAATATCACTGTCTTCCACCTCCACACTTTGTCCCACTGGAAGTTCTTCAGGGCTGATAACACATGGAGCTGTCCTCTCTTCTGATGACAATGCCTTCTTCTAGAATACCTCTGAAGGACTTGCCTGAGGTTGTTTTACAGTTAACTTTTTTTTTTAGTAAGTAGGAAGATTATACTCTAATGATTAAAAGTATAGTACAGTAAATACAGAAATCAGTATCACAGTCATTTATGAACATTATCAAATATGTACTGTACATAATTTTAAGTGCGATACTTGTATGTGACTGGCAGCACAGGAGGTTTGTTTAAACCAGCATCACTACAAAGACATAACTAACATGCTGCACTAAGACGTATGATGGCTGCAATGTCAGTAGGCACTATGTCGTATGATGGCTGCGATGTCAGTAGGCAATGGGAACTTTCAGCTCCATTATAATTTGATGAGACTGCTGTTAAGTATGTTGTATGTTATTGACCATATGTTGTTTTGTGGTGCATGACTATATACATTTCTTATCATAAATAAAAATGTTACAAGGGCTAAAATAAAATGGGCAGCCTATAATTTAATGCCCAGAAAAAAGTATTCAAGAAGGAAGGTGAAAGAAATATATTTTTAGAAAAATAAAACTGACAATTAATTACCAGCAGATTTGCATTAATAGGACATTTTATTGGCAGAATAAAATAATTCTAAATGGAAGAATAGAGATACAAGAAAGAATAAAGAGCAATGAAAATGGTATACATGTGGATAAATAGCAAATATATGCTACATATAAATAATAATAATAATGGTGTTTGGGAAGAGTTAAGGTTTTTAAGGTTCTTGCATTTATTTTGGGGAGAGTAAAAGAATCTATTAACATTAGGATTTGTTAAAAAGGCATGCTGTAATCTCTGGGTGGCTACTAAAAAATTATAAAAAAGTGAATAACTTCCACATTTTAAAAGGGGGATAATTAAATAAAATAATTCCAACAGAAGGCAAAGAAAGGAGAGAAAAAGGAGCATAGGTAAGTAGCACACATAGCACTTAGTATTGGTTTAAGTCCAAATAAACAGTAATTCCATCGTATATAAAATGACTATTTTTTCCCATTAAAAGGCAAGGATTTTCAGACTTATTTTGGATAAGAACCCAAATCTGGCACAGTGGCTCATGCCTATAATCTCAGCACTTTGGGAGGCCAAGGTGAGAGGATCACTTGAGCCCAGGAGCTACAGACCAGCCTGGGCAACATAGAGAAAACCCATCTCTACAAAAAATACAAAAATTATCTGGGCGTGGTGATGCATGCCTGTTGTGAGCAGTGAGCATGTAGAGAGGTGTGATCATGCCATTGCACTTCAGCCTGGGCAACAGAGTAAGACCCTGTCTCATAAAAAGAAAAAAGAATCCAAATCCAGCTACACCCTGTACATAGATGTACCTGAAATATAGAGATAAAGTAAAAGTCAAAGATAAAACATGTAACACTAACAAAAACAAAAAGCTAGTGCAGCTATGTTAAAATCAGACTAAACAGATTTTAAAGCAAAGAGCATTGCTAGATATACAGACATTTCACAATGATATAATGTTCAATTTTCCATGAAGATGTAATAATTCTACATTTGTATGCACCTGATAACTTGGCCTCAAAATACAGCTGGCCCTCTATATCTGTGGGTTTCATATCTGTAGATTCAACCAACTGGAAATCAAAAATATTTGAGGAAAAAACAACAAAAAATAATGCAAAATAAGAATAATACAAATAAAAACAGTACAGCATAATAACTATTGATATGGCATTTACATTGTATTAGATATTATAAGTAATCTAGAGATGATTTAAAGTGTATAGGAGGATGTGCATAGGTTATATGCAAATACTACATTATTATATATAAGGAACTTTAGCATTCCAAGATTTTGGTATCCGCAGGGGTCCTGGAACCAACCCCAATACTCAATTTGACACGCAAAGTCCTCTGTGATCTAGCCTCAGGTCACCTTCCTTTCATCCTCCATCTTCCACTGCTCTCCTTTCCAAAGCCTGTGCTCATTCCTCAGCCACCTTCACTCCTAGGCTCTAGTCCTTTCCCCACTATTGACCATTTTGTCTGTTGTGCCCTCTCCCACTTTCGAGAGTGACAGGTCCACAAGTCATCCTTCAAAGCTTAGCCCAAATGACACCTCTACAAAGTCTTCCCAATGACTCACGTTAGTCTTCATCTCTCCCATCATGCCCCAAACTTGGTGACTGCTAGTGGATTTTGAGGCTAGATACCATTGAAATCACCAAGAAACAGAACTCTTGGATCCTCATTATTAGAATACCTATGAGACAAATTTGCTGCTTAGTCTTGGGCCAGTACCTTATCCTCCCTGGCTCTTAGTTTCTACAACTGTACAAGAAGTACTTTGGACTAGAAGTGGTGTTTCTCCAAGGAGAATAGGGGTGCAATGCTTCACTATGCAAACTGCCTTGTCCATTGTGGGATCTAGCATGCCCGGCCTGGGGCACCCAATGCCAGAACATCTCTAATCACTATTACAATGAAAAAGACTCCAAAACATTTTCAAACACTCTAGAGACCATCTCCACTAGACTGGGTGATTCCTTAGGATCTTCCAGGTGAGATACTCTTGGAATCCTCTGGTTGGCGTGTAGGGACCACTGGTGGCCCAGAAACATGCAGAGGGCTGGACAGCGGGCCAATGGTGGGGAATAAGCTGGAACCAAGCTGGAGATGATGCCCAGGCCATATCCTGGCTCCTGAGGGCAGAACTAGTGTTCAGATTCCCAGCCTTCAAAGGGGCATGAACTCTCAAATGGCTCAGGCCTTCTTTTTTTTGAGATGGAGTCTCGCTGTGTCGCCCAGGCTGGAGTACAGTGGCGTGATCTCGGCTCACTGCAACCTCCACCTCCTGGGTTCAAGCAATTCTCCCGCCTCAGCCACCCGAGTAGCTGGGACTACAGGCGCCACCAATACACCTGGCTAATTTTTGTATTTTTTTGGTAGAGACGGGGTTTCGCCATGTTGGCCAGGCTGGTCTTGAACTCCTGACCTCAGGTGATCCACCCGCCTTGGCCTCCAAAATGCTGGGATTACAGGAGTGAGCCACCGCTCCCAGCCCTTTAGGCCTTCTCGTCTGGGGAGCTCCAGTCTGTCCTGAAGAACAGAATGCAGCGAGTAGGTGATGCCCCTGGGGAGGAATGGCTCACTCGTAGCAGGACTCTACAGGTGGGGCTGGCTGGGGCTAAGAGGGGGTCATGGGCTATTAGTGGAGCTGGAATAGCAAGCAAGAAGAGTCAGTTGTCCTATGCAGGCAATCATAGGAAGTTGGGTGGGGTGGGTAGGGGGACAGTTGTGACTTGGGCAGATGGAGAGGGCTCAAGACTGACCACTAGGCATGCCAGCAGTGGTTATGGACAGCAGAACGGTTGTGTTGCCCTCCTGCAGGGGAGAATGCAAACACACCTGGTTGTCCAGACTGGGTGGTGGAGAAGTAAGGGCAGAGAAAGTTCTCGTGTAAATGAGCATGATGAAGGGCAGCAAAGAGTGATGAGGCAACTGCAGAGCCGCCTCTCCTCAGAGGTGGTTTGTGGTGGGGCTCTGGGGGAAACCAGAGTGTTGCCCAATGTTAAGAGCTCAGAGTGAGTTTTCAGGAAGTTCTGGGAATCGTTGCAGTTGTTGATTCACTGAGTCATCCATTCAACAAGGATCTCCAGGGTTGGAATGAGAACACCCCAATCTTGTACATGTTCTGGGACCATAACTCATCTGGTGTGAGGTATCAGAGATTTGGTGACTGGGAAAAGAGGAACTTGGAAGGGGAAGAATTTGTCAGTGTTTATCCAACTGGGCCCAGTGGGGAGGCAGCTCTGAATCGAGAGAACTGGCCTCAAGCAGATGATGGGGGTCGTGACAAAGAAAGAGGGAGGAGGAAGGCTAGAAAGGATTATTTCAGGTACTGTCCCACCTGATCTAATGCCTGCAACCACCCAGTGAGCCCAAGGCTATGATTTCCCCTATTTTTCAGATTAACAAACAGAGGCCCAGTTCTTGAGTTCAGAAGGGCACTTCTTCAGGCTCACCGAGCTTGAATAGCCCTGAGAATCTCCAAACTGCCTTTGCCTCGATGTCTGCAATCTGTGGGTCTCAGATGGTGACTGCCAAAGTGGAAGGCAGTTTCTGTGTCTACTGTGGATCTTTCTGACAGCAACACCTGTCCCCACAGTAGCACCACCAGTTTTCCAGAAGTCTGGTTATATGGCTGGTGTCCCAGAATCTGCTCACCCATGGACAAACACATAAAACTGAATTTTTAAACTTTCCACACCAGAGACCAAGTCTTGGTGACTACACAATGTCAGCTAATGTGTTTTGAGTGTGTGCTATGTGCTTGGCACTGCTTTTAGCAGTTCAGATATATGAACTCATTCATTCCTCACACCAACCTGGGAGGGACATGCCTCTGTTATCCTCATTTTACAGGTGGAGAAACAGAAGCCTGGAGATGCTGAGTAACTTGCCCATAGTCTCACAGCTGACAAGTGGCCAAGAAGGATTCAAACACATGTGTGCTGGCTCCAGTGGCTCCAGAAGTCTGGTGAGGGGCTACCTGAAGCACATTGCCCCCTAGAGTTAAGGACAGCTGGATCTGGGCTCCGGAAGCCTGCAGTTCATTTCTGGCTGCACAACCAATTAGCTGTGTGACCTGAAGCGCATCTCTCACTCCCTCTCTGAATCCCCATTTTCTCCCTGGTTGAATGAAAGGATTCAACTGGATGGTCCCTAGCTTGGTTGGTTGCAGCTCTGACATTTCAAGAGGCTTCATCAGGCTAAAATAAGCACAAGAGCCACGCTGCGGTTGGGAAAGGGCAGCCTGGGACGTGCGTGCGTGGAAGCTGGGAGGCTCTCCATGGTGAGGAGGTGTAGAGGGCTAATTGCTAGTGCATGAGCTCAGCTGGAGGCCACTTTCTCCACTCTGTGCCCACAGCTGGCTGTGAGTCACTGACAGGTCACCAGCCACAGTGGGGCTGCTGGAGACAGGGCAGACCCTGAACATGGAGAGAAGACAAGTCTGACCCGGTGCTGGCCTTAGGGGGCCCAGGGGACTTGCATGCTCTTCCTAGTCCCTGCCTAGTGCTACTGCACCCTACTAGGAAGGCACCCCATCTCCATCTCCCTGAGCACAGCACCCCTTTTCATGGCAGCTCTGCCAGCCCTGGCACTCTGCCACTCAGCTCACATACACTGAGTAGCCATGCTGTGCCAGCACTGAGAGACCGAGGCAGGTAAGAGATGATCCCTGCTCTTAGGAAGCTTGCAGGCAAGGGGTCAGGGCCTGGCCATGTGTCTCAGTCTTCTGAACCTGCCAGTGGGGGCTTGGAACTAGGGCACCTGCACATGTCCCAGAGCTGGGGCTGTTGAAGCACCTACCCCTGCCCTCTGCAGGATGGCCAGGTGCCAACCCCACTCCTAACCCTGAGGAGGAGGCTGCCAGACAGGCCACGACCTCAGGACAGACGTGTGCCAAAGGGTCACCCCTGGGAAAGTGGCCCAAAGGGGGTTCTAGAAAGTTACCTCCTTGAGAAAGCTGAGAAGGTATGGGGAGCGGAGTCAGGGCTGAGCTTCTCTCAAGACGCTTCTCCTTGCACTGCTATGAATGTCTTCCAGCATGACCTGTCTGGGGTTGCTAGAGAGATTCAAAGTGTGTTTTCTGCCTCTGTGCGTGTGCTGCGTGCATCTCTCACTGGGCTCTTTGAGGACAGGGCCCATGGCTCGTTGCCTACCTGGGGTCTGGCATAGCGCCAGTCTCACAGACTCACTTCTGAGACAAACGTCAGAGGTCTCCAGTCTTCTGTCCAGCATGTGAAATTCTCTGTAGTATTCAGTGGTAGTTTCATTCATTCATTAATTCACTCACCATTCATTGGTTCCTTCATTGAAGCAACAGCACCTCTGTGAAGCGCTACTTTTGCTTCTGCTTAAACTCATTCCTGAGAAGCTCGTAGTCCTTTGGGATCATCCAATCGACATTGTGACCATCTGACTTTTAAGATTTCCTACTGTCGGTGATTTAAAAACTGACTCCCTGAGTTCACCTTCTGCTGGCATTTCTTCTGCTCCTGGAGAACCAGTTTAACCCTTCTTTGCATGGCAGCCTTCAGAGCATTCAAGGCATGCTCAACTCTCTTTCTTCCTTTCTTCCCCCCTTCCCTTTCCCTTCCCCTCCCCTCCGCCCTCCCTCCCTTCCTACCTCCCCACTTTCCTCCCTCCTTCCCTTCTCCCTTCCTCCCTCCCTTTCTCCCTCCCTCCTTCCCTCCTTCCCTCCTCCCTCCTTCCTACCTCCCTTCCTCCCTCTTCCCTTCCTCCCTTCCTCCCTTCCTTCCTTCCTTTTTCTTCCTTCCCTCTTTCCTTCTTCTTTCCATGTATAGACAGTTATTGAGCTTCCAGTATGGGACAGGCACCAGGAAAACAATGGTAAAAAGCATATACAGCCCTTGACCTCATGCTACTTACAGCCTAGTTAGGGAGGCACCACAGATCAACCAAATGGGTACCTGCAAAGCTGCCTCTATTAAGTGCAACCCCAAGACCAGGGCGAGGCATCAGGTAGAGCATGTAAAAGTGGGATAGCATCCACAGAAAGGGCTTTCTTTCTTGGGGTGAAACACCCCTGTGGCGCTTCCTTAGATGATGGGGTTTCTGGACTCCTCCCCACCCTGTCACTCTTTTTGTCACTGTCCCCTTGAGGAGGTCCCCAGGTCTGGACCCACTGCTCCAGGAGGGCCTGGCCAGCTTGGTGCCCAGGGAGCAGCCCCTCTCTGGTTGGACTCAGCCCTCCCATTAGTGCAGCCCAAGTCTGCACGCTCATTGCTCCCTGAGGGGCAAGGCTCCTCCCAGTAATGTTCACACAAATTGTTCTTACGTGTGGCCTCCCCCAGACT
The DNA here is from genome assembly GCF_000001405.40 of Homo sapiens. Lineage (NCBI taxonomy): Eukaryota > Metazoa > Chordata > Mammalia > Primates > Hominidae > Homo > Homo sapiens. The sequence goes on along the minus strand of NC_000006.12, from coordinate 44,008,997 downwards.
GTGTTTGAGCTGTTGAGTGTCTCACCTTGAGTTCGAGTCCTCGCGCTGGTCCTGTGAATGCTCATCTCTCTGGTATGGCCTATTCCCTCCACCCATCAGGGTCTGTCCGAGTCTGGATTCTGCTGCTGGCTGTGAAGCTCAGGGATGCATTCCCTGTTAATGTGACCAGGAGGGAGTCTGCTTATCCTAGATTAGGTACCTACAAGCAGGTTCTCAGGGAATATGAGGAGTTGGGGCACTTACAGGCCCGAGCTATGGAATGGCATCTGCCCTGGGGCTCCAGAAAGAGGTGCACAGGGCCTGAGGCTTGAGCTAAGCAAGGTGCTGCTGTTCTGTGATCTCTGCCCCGGCTCCCGTGCCCCTTCCCAGCCCATTATCAATACAGATGGGGGAGTGGGGCCAGATGCATGTGTATTTGTGTGTCTGTGTGGTGTGCACACACCTGTGTGTACATGTGGGTACAATGCGTGAGCCTGTAGGAATTGCCTGATAGGCCTCGCTGTTGGCTGGCATCCACCTTTTGCCATTGGTAACCCTGTCACTTGGAGGTAGCCAGGTCATCAGAGCTCTGGCTAGGGCTCCACTCACCTGCCCTGCCTAACAGCCACACCAAGTGGCTCATCCGCCCTGCCTGCAGGGTCCTACTCACCACCCCAGCCTCCTCAGGAACCTGGCCAGGACCCCCTCCTCAGTCCTTTACTTCTGCCCACCAGTCTCACTGCTGCTGGTGCCACACCCCCTCTCCCAGCCCCCAGCCCACTCCTTGCCTCAGCCCCCACAGGAAGCCTTTTAAAGAGACACCTGGCCCTGCTACTTCTCTGTTTATAACCCTTTCGTAGCATGGTCTCCCATGAAGGAAGTCCAGACCTACCCTGCCCCTCTTGCCCAGCCCCAGCCAACCCCCCAGCCTTAGCTTGCCCCACTCCCGCTCCAGGCTGGGCCATCCTGCACGACTCTCACTTCCCTGCTGTAACTGCAGGGAGCCGTGTGCTCCAGGCTCCAGGCCTTTGTGCAGGCTGCTCCTTCTGCCTAAAATTCGGGCCCCGCCAACTCACTTCAATTGTCACCCCCTCCTCATCCTTTCGGGCTCAGTTTAGACATGGGCTTCTCCAGGAAGCCCTCCCTGACCGTTCTCCTCGCTGTCACAGACTGTAGGCTCTAGGAGGGCAGGGTCCGTATGGGATTTATTACAGTGTTTTCAGAGGTGAATACTCAATAAATCTTATTAAATGCGTGAAATAATCTCTATGGATTTCTCATTTGATATCTGTAAAATGAAAACAATGCTATGTGACACACAGGGTTCTGAAGAGGGCGGTGGGAAATGATGTCTATGAATTTTCCATCATGGTGCTAGACATATAATAGGTGCTCCAGAAACATAGTTCTAATTTCCCTGCTCTTTAATGTTTATGGGTAAACACATGTTTTCCATTTAAAAAACTGAAATTTTGGAGTCCTTTTGACCCCAAAGCACGACTAGCTTCTTGCTGTCCAGGTTTCCACTCAAATGTCACCACCTCACCAAGATATTTTTGGACCACCCCATATAAAACAGCGCCCCCACCCCACCCCATCGCTCTCCACTCTAATACTTGCCACACCATGACCTGAGCTTTATGATTTTTTCACTTGTTGATCATCTGTCTTTCTCTGCCTAGAATGTGAGCACCATGAAGGCAGAGAACTTGGCTGATTTTTTCATTGCTGTAGCCTCAGTGCCCAGAGCCGTGCCTGGCAACATAGCGGCTGTCTAGGGGTTTCCAGGGCCAAGGCTGTGAAGTCTCTAGGCACTCTCTGGGGACAAATGCCAGAAAGAGAGAGAGACAGAGAGACAGAGAGAGAGAGAGAGAGAGAGAGAGAGAGAGTGTGTGTGTGTCTTTGTTTGAGATGGAAGGGCAGAAGTCGGTGAGATACCTCTTCCCTTCCCTCATTGTACATCTCAGGGAGGTGGGGACTCGGGGAAAACTCTCACAGCAGCTCCCTGGCCATGTTTCCTGAGGGAAATCAGGAGCAATGGCCTCTCCAGGGCCATGCAGATGCAGGTTGCTTGGGGTGCAGGGGAGGGGGCAGCACCTCCTTCGTGGTGACCCTGGGCATTTGGAACTGAACACGAGCCTTTCTAAGCACCCCTGACTCACAGCATCAAGGAGAGGCTGGGGCATATCTGTGGTTTCTCCCTTGAAGGGATCTGCTCTGCTGCCCCAAGCTGGGAGCCCAGGCCTAGGCCTGCCTCTTATTGGTGACTTTTTTCTTCCCTGGGCTGTACTTGCTCCTCTCTTCACTCTTGCCTTCCTGTCATCAGTGTCTGATGGGCCCTGTCCTACCTGCGTTCCCTGTTGGTATCAAATTCTCACACTTGTGGATGGAGTGGTGCAGCTCCCTGAGTCTCCCCTACCTATGCTGCCCGCCTTGGGCTTCCTGGGGTCAGCCCCCAGCCCTCAGCCACTGCAGGGCCCTGCTGGCCCTCCCACCCTACCACTCTGACCCTCCTCCGAGGCATGTGAGAGGGATTCCAGAGAAGAACTCCCAGAGCCTGCCACCCAACCTGCTGCCCCTCCCCACTGATGAAGGACACTCTGTCTCCACTTGGCCCCCGCCACCCCTCTAAGGGGGCTCAGCATCAGATAAGCCTATCTGACCTCTGGCTTGGATGGGTGGGGAGGGCAGAGAGCAGTGAGGGTTTGCCCAGGCAGTGACTTTGGACCCAAGTGTGGAAAGGAACTCCTGCTGGCTCAAGCCCCAGCCCCAGGCCCAGGGGTCTGAAATCACAGCCTCCTCCTTAGAGCTGTCGGCACCCCTGGTTCTAGAGCTCCCGGTCCTGTCAGGGTCCCAGAATGTTTGAGCAGGAAAGGATTTCAGAGTTCATACGTTTGTGAAGTGGACTCTGCAGTGCCCAGGAGCTGATCTGTGCGCACACGTATGTGTGCATTCGTGTGTCATGGACTAACCGCTGGGGCATGAAGCCCACCCCTATTTTGACCAAAGAACCCCCGACCTTTTTCCTATGTTACCACAGAGAACAGAGATGCCACATGATTTACAATTTAAACAAGAGGATTCACTGTTTGAAAAAAAGGTTTGAAAATCAGGAAAGCTAAACAAAAGTCATTTTACATATGGAGAAACTGAGACCCATATGTGTAAATGGCTTCCCAAGGTCACAGTGGTGTCAGTGGCAGAGCTGGTACTGTACCAGGCTGCCTGGATCATAGACTGATGTTTTTGCCAAGACCAGCCGAAATGTTCCTCTCAGGAGGTGGCAGGTGGGGGTGGAGTGCCAGGAAGGCACTGTCCAAAGAAGTGGGTTAAGGTCACAGCCTCCCGGCTCCCAAGGACCCCCTGAGAACAGTTGCTTTGGAAAGGTCACTCAGATGTGAACCAGAGGCTTGAGGTTTTGGAGTGGAAAGGGGCAGGGTAAGGAAGAATAGAGTAGGGGGAGGGCGGGGGACAGGGATTCATCCTCCAGGTTCCTCACACCCCCACTGGGAGCAGCGCCCCCCCCCCAAGCACCTGATTTCAAAGTCTCCCCTCCACTGAAGGGAGGGGCAGAGGGAGCTCATGACTGGCATGGAGGGGGCTGGGTGGCCCTGAGGTAATGACTGCTGGGGTGGGGAGGCTCTGAAGCAGGAACCTGAACTTTCTGTCTCAGAGTCTGCCCTGGCAGTCAGTGGCAGAAATGGCACAGTAGGGGGCTCTGTGGCACTCACTGTGTCTCCCCCAGTGCCCAGCTGGGGACTCAGGAAATGCTATTGAATAAATGGATTGTGTCCTCCCTCCCCCAGCACCCCCACAATCACCAGCCTCCTCCCTCTCCCTCCCCCTGTCCTTTAGAGTCTACAAGGACTGAGTTATTCTTAGTAAGTTTCATTCATCAAAGCGTGACAAATGGTGTCCTGGGAGGAATGCCTGGGCGCCATGGGGAGCCAGAGGGTGGGGTGGGGTGCAAATGTCCCATTTGAGGGGAGAGGCCATTGCCTTCAGGGAGCTCCAGATGGAGGGGGAGACAGCCCTGTCCTCATGGGAATCTGTCTGATGCAGAAGACACAAAGAACCTAGTCCCAGGGGAGACACAGTCCCTGTCCTTTGGGGGAGGCCCCAGTCTGAAGGGGGGAGACAGCCCTGCCCTCAGGGAGCTCCAGTCTGAGGGGAGATGCAGCCTCATCCTCAGGCAGCCCCAGTCTGAGGGGGACACAGCCCCATCTTCAGGGAGCTCCAGTCTGAGGGAGAAGCAGCCCTTTCTTCAGGGAGCCCCAGTCTGAGGGAGACACAGCCCCGTCCTCAGGGAGCCGCAGTCTGAGGGGAGACACAACGCTGTCCTGAGGGAGCCCCACTTTGAGGGAGACACGGCCCCATCTTCAGGGATTCCCAGTCTGAGGCAGACACAGCCCCGTCCTCAGGGAGCCCCAGTCTGAGGGGAGACACAGCCCTGACTCAGGGAGCCCCAGGCTGAGGGGAGACACAGCCCTGTCCTCAGGGAGCCCCAGTCGGAGGGGAGAAACAGCCCCATCCTCAGGGAGCCCCAGTCGGAGGGGAGAAACAGCCCCATCCTCAGGGAACCGTCAGTCTGAATCGGAGACACAGCCTTGCCCTCAGAGCGCTCCCTGTGATAGGAGATAATCCTCCCATATTCCCCCCTTCTCCAGCCCTTAGTGAAATCCCAGCCTGAAGGGAGAGATCCAATTTCCTGTTCTCAAGCAACCTCTAGTCTCATGGCAGAAAAATAGCTACCATCCCTGATGGAGAAGATAGGGTGCCACCCAAGTCACGGACTGAAACTCAAGATGACAAAAGGGAGTGCTGGAGGGGTATCCGGGAGCATGTGCAGCCACCACGGCCACTGCAAGTGGGGAGCCTGACGATGACAGAGAAGAGGGGGCTCCCAGAGACACTTGACTGGGCACCCTTACCAAGAAACATGCAGACCACAAAGGGGCAGCAATCATGGGGACTAAGATCCTGACGCTGAGGAAAAGGATGTAGGCACGGGCCCAGCGGGCCGGTCTAAATCAGAGGTCCACCTTCACTGGGAGGGCAGTCGGAGAACCCACATTGTCTGCAGACTCTCACATTCAACCTAAAACCCATGTACTCATTGCAAGCCAAACAAAACCTCACTGAAGGTAAAACGTGGCCCAAGGCCATGAGTTTGCAACACCCTGGACCTCAGGAAAGAATTGCTGATAGAGGAGAGCTCTGAGCCTGGTTTTGGGGGAAGGAGCTGATGGCCAAGCTACCCCTTTAATTCTGGCCTTCGGGCCTGGCTTCTATCTTCAGGGCCTCTCTCACCCTACCTGACATGGGAGGCCAGAGCCACCTCACTCCTCACCAGCTCCCCTATGGCGGCCACAGCTGGCCAGCAGGCGGGGCCTCCGTGTCTGTGGCGGGGATGTCACCTTTCTTCGCAGGAAGGTAATTTCCCCGCCAGGGGAGGGAGTCCGTCGTGCTGCTCATAAAGCCACTGTTAAACGAGCGGGTCTGGGAGTTCTGGCTGGGCGGACTTCCCTTCCCTTCTCCGTGCCTCAAGTGCCAAACGGGGGTACTGCTGCCCTGCGTGCCTTTGCCACTCCTCCCACTGAAGGCTAACTTTCCAATAGACCTCACTGTTTCTGTCAACGAAATAGGTCCCTGGCCCCTCCCCACTCTCCCAGTCTCTTCCAGCAGAGACCTTCCAGGACTGTAGGTTTAGGGGAGTGGAAGGGCCGGCTTCGGTCTCCCCAAGTTCTGCCCCCAGTGAGGCCTCATAGCTCTCCTGGGACTGAGGGGCAGTCCCAGAGGGCGGCAGGAGTTGGCAGCCAGTGGTCCTGGGGACCGCGAGGTGGGTGGGTGGAGGGTGGCGAAGGGAGGGTTCCGGGACCGGGGAGCGGCGTCTTAATTACGGCGCGTTGGCCCAGCGCCGCGGAGCGCCGCGGATGACAGCGGCGGTGGGTAATTAGAGCGCATTAGCCGTGCCCCTGCAATCCTGTAATTTCTTCTCGCGCTCGGGGTGTGTTGTAGGAGGCGAAGCGATGCCGGCTTGGCTGAGTCAGACTCTCGGAAGCCCAGGAGGGGACGCAGGGGGCGGCAGAGGCCGCGAAGAAGGGACTCCCGCCGGGGGAGGCGCAGACGCAGTCCTCTAGGAGTCACCTGTCCCGGGCTCCTCGGCGCGCGCGCCCCGTCGGCGGCGGGAGGTGGTGGGAAGGGGGCGTGACCTGCGTCTCCTCCCGCCGCCGCCGCCGCCGCCGCCGCCGCGCGCTCTACCGGCCCGCGAGTCCTCCGCGACATCCGGGCCAGCGTCTGCACCCAGCCACGTGTCCTGCCCCTGGTGCGCAGGTGGACTGGAAAAGAGGAAGGCAAACGCAGTGGCTAGGCGGAGACCTCCCAAATCCCACGTCTCCCCGAGAATCCCCGACGGGCTACAGACCTAGGGCAGCCATAAGAAAAAACGTCAGCTACATCTCGAGGGAGTGGGGTGGAGTGCGGGCGCTTGCTCTAGTCGAGCCCTGACATCGATTCTGCGGGGGCGGGGAGGAGTCGGCGCGGGGCTGGGGCTGGGAGGGGAGTTTATTTATTAGCCAGATTAGCCAGCATTAATGGGGGAGCGGTGGCGGCCGGCGGCAGCAGGGACATAGCTGGCATAGCTGGCATAGCGGCGGGGCCTCCTGCGGCGCGGGGCTCCGCGGCTTCAAAGGGGCTTAAAGAGGCCCTTGGTGGCACTGCCACGGCCCCGCGGGGGAGGGCGTGGGCGCGGGCGGCGGGGGAGAAGGCGGCCATTGTGCACCGAGGGATTAGGGCTCTGGCCTGGAAGGAATTTTAAACTGCCGCGAGCCGGAGCCCCAGGACTCTCCTCCTGCCCCACCCCTGCCCTCCGGAGCACGCTGAGGTGTTTACCTGCTTTCCTATGTCTGGGGTGGAGGGGGTGTCCTCTCTCCTCCCTCAAACTGGAGGCACCTAGGGTTACCAGATCTGGCAAATAAAAACACAAGACTTCCAGTTAAACTGGATACTTTAAATAGTGTAAGTCTGTCCCAAATATTGTATGGGACAGACTTATGCTAAAATATTATTCGTTGTTTATCTGATATTCAATTTAATTGGACGTCTTGTATTTTTTTTCCTGGCAGCCCTTGAGGCATTGAAATCTCTAATCCATGTCTGGAAACAGATTGATGGTTCCCGAAAGTCCAGTGGGTATGCCTCATTTGAGAGATCCCTAAGGGCAGGGTCGTGTCTCTCCCCTTACACTGGGAGTTTCCTGAAGCCCAGATACTGAGTTTCACCCTAAAGAAGGCAGCTCTGAGAGCACTATATGTGTCCCCCGTCAGACTGGGAGCTTCCTGAGGACAGGGGCTAAATTTCACCCATGAGAGTAACGCTTCAAGGTCAGTGTCTGTGACCTGTGACACTGGGGTTTCCTGAGGCATGGTCTGTCCGCTTCCTAGAGGGCAAGTCTCTCTCCTCCCTCACGTCTCACTCTCCCACCCCCACCCCACCCCAGGCTGCTGGAGGCTCCTCCTCCATTAGTGTTGCTTCCTGCCCATAGGGGGTGCTAGGGGCCCAGCGGACTGGCCTACGGATGGATGGGACCTGTTTATTGGGACTCGGGGCTTCAGTCCTTCGGGGTTGATGCACTTGAGAATAATGAGGGTGGGGTCCCCAACCTGTGAGGCTTGCTGAGGCAGTTGAGGGCCAGGTCTACTGGGGCCAGAGGCGGTGGCCAGCATGTGGGAGAAGCTCTGGGTGCTGGGTACCCACTGTTTCTTCCAGGAAGGGACAGTGTGGCCCTTGGTACAGAACATCCTGCCCACCTCCTCTCATAACCATTGAAGCCAAGCCCCAGTCCTCCACCAGCCTCTCCAGACCCCACTGCCTAACCTTTGCTTGTGCTGTTCTTTCTGCCAGAAACACTCTGTCTTCCTGCTTTGAGGACAGCTGAAGTCTTGCCACTTCTTCTGGATGCTCTGACCATCAGTAAGGTGGGCTGCTTGTGCCTGGGGGTCTTCTGGTGAAAAGAGCCCTCCATCTACTCCCTCCTTCCTCAACAACTTTGGCCACAGGGGCCAAAGAGGGGGCCAAGGTGGGGGAGGGGAGAGACAGGAACATTGGGGGAGCATAGGCAGAAGGGGAGTAAGAATAGGAACCTCCTTCCCCCCAACCCATCCCCCTGAAGCCCCTTCACAAGTCCCTTCATCCCCTCAGGGCCTCTGAACTCTTTCTCCTTGAAGCTGAGGGAAGCCCTGGAGAAGCGCTTTCCCACGGTCACAGCCTCAACAAACCCCTGCCCCCTTCTCCTTTGACTGCAGCCACCTCAGTCTCACCCTCCGCAGAATGCAGGCCCACTCCGTTGCTGAAGGGCCTCCTCCTTGGGCCAGGGCGCCTGCTTCTGCCAGTGGCATCATCACCCCACTCCTCAGCCGCCAGTCATCAGGTTGGCAATTAGCTACTTCCTCTCAGCTGCATGAGGCCACCAAACGTCACAGCCCCTCCCCTGGCCTGCCGCGGCGGGAGTGCTGGGGGCTGCCCCTACCCTTTGTAGTCAGTGCCAAGTCCTGGCTCAGTCCCCCTTCCCTACAACCTACTGAGTGCTAGGGTAATGAGCCTCCCATCTAGGGAGCTGAAAGCCTCGCTGCCTTCTCCCCGCTTCAAACCTCCTCCCCCATGTCACCCTATCCCATTGGGTGAGGACACTCCCGCTGCCTGGGTGGGGTGATGCCTGCTCAAGGGCACTAGCAGCCTGGGTGGGGCTTAAGACTCAGGTGTCTCTGTCCCCAGTCACAGGCGGTTTTCACCAGCCCCTTACCTGGGGCCCAGGAGTCTGAACTGAAGATGGTGGCAGTTATTTGGGAAGGGGAGAGAAATGGGGACTCATTCTACAGACCCCCAAACATGCAGGGGGCAGGCCCTTCATGAACACCCACATGGGCTCATTTGCCTGTGTCTAGGCACACACACGGTTACAATCTAGGCAATGTATGCTCCACTGCACTGTACCCACATGTGCCCCAGGTGGGCAAGTAAGCCCACTTGCCCAGATACCTCTCATGCCCACACATCCCTCCTCCAGGTGTGTGCATGCAAACTCACTGACATACAGTACTCAAAAAGGCAGTGAGCTTGCTGCCACACCAAAAACAAAACCGGGACCCTACAGAGGAATCTAGAAGCATGGGAGGGAAGGAGAGACCACCCCAACACTCGCTACCCCACAGACCAGGGAATCTTCCTGGGGAAGGATGGGAGGAAGTCTGCACTTCAGGGATATGTGTGGGGTACGCAGGTGGGCCGTGGTGGAAGCAGTTGTGTTGGAGTCTGGGTTGGGGGTGGAGGATGTGGATTTCCAGAGAGAATTGAAAAATTCCAACACATATAAACAAAGGCATGTGATCTTAGGCAGATCACTTAACTTCTTGGGGGCCCCAGTGACTGCATCTGTAAAATGGGAATAATGAGAACACCATTTAAACTTGGTTGTCAAATTTATTTTATTTTTATTTATTTATTTATTTTTAGAGACACGGTCTGACTTTGTTACCCCGGCTGGAGTGCAGTGGTGCAATCATGGCTCACTGCAGCCTTAACCTCCTGGGCTCAAGTGATCCTCTCGCCAAGGCTAGGATAAGTAGCT